>NC_000010.11:132992687-133341576 GCF_000001405.40 Homo sapiens | reverse complement strand
GGCGTGGTGGCATGAGCCTATAGTCCCAGCTACTTGGGTGCCTGAGGCAGGAGAATCGTTTGAACCCGGGAGGTGGAGGTTGCAATGAGCCAAGATCGTGCCACTGTACTCCAGCCTGGCCAGAGGGAGACTGTCTCAAAAAAAAAAAAAAATCAAGAGGTGGTGAGGATGTGGAGAAACTGGAACCCTCCTATACTGCTGGTGGGAATGTCACATGGTACGGCCACTTTGGAAAAACACATTTTAGCATTTTCTTTCAAAGTTAAATGTCAACTTTCCATCAAATTTGGCAATTCCACTCTTCAGTAACTACCCAAGAGAAAGAAAAGCACACGTCCACCAAGGTTGTGATAAGAATGTTCACCACAACATTATAAACAGCTGACAAACTGGAAACAGTTCATACGGATGAATGGATGAAACCTGGAGAATCCATGGGTTAACAGCAATAATGGCCGGGCGTGGTGGCTCACGCCTGTAATCACAGCACTTTGGGAGGCCAAGGCAGGCGGATCACCTGAGGTCAGGAGTTTGAGACCAGCCTGGCCAATATGGTGAAACCCTGTCTCTACTAAAAATACAAAAATTAGCTAGGCGTGGTGGCACACGCCTATAATCTCAGCTACTCAGGAGGCTCAGGCAGGAGAATCGCTTGAACCCCGGAGGCAGAGGTTGCGGTGAGCCGAGAACGTTCCATTGCCCTCCAGCCTGGGCAACAAGAGCAAAACTCCTCTTAAAAAAACAAAACTAAACTAAAACAAAACAGGTCGGGCGCAGTGGCTCACGCCTGTAATCTCAGCACTTTGGGAGGCCGAGGCAGGCGGATCACGAGGTCAGGAGATCGAGACCATCCTGGCTAACATGGTGAAACCCCGTCTCTACTAAAAATACAAAAAATAATTTAGCCGGGCTTGGTGGCGGGCGCCTGTAGTCCCAGCTACTCGGGAGGCTGAGGCAGGAGAATGGCTCGAACCCGGGAGGCAGGGCTTGCAGTGAGCCAAGATTGCGCCACTGCCCTCCAGCCTGGGCGACAGACCGAGACTCCGTCTCAAAAAAACAAAACAAAACAAAACAAAAAGACAGTAGTAACAACGGGTTACCGTTCAGCGTGGATGAAACGCGGCATGTCCATGAGTTAACAGCGGGAACAATGGGTTACGGTTTAGCAATGAAAACGAAGGCATCACCAACGCATGCTCCTGTCATTGCTGACCACCCACAGCTGGGAGCCGCACTCAGGCAAATGCCTATGGAGCGCCTTCTGTGTGCTGGGCACCATGCGGGCGCCAGGGCCATCCTCAGGGTGAGTGAGAGCCAAACCCAGCTGGGTCTGACCCAGCACAAAGGCGGAGGGGACGGGGGAGTCTGAGCATCCACCCAAGGTCCACCTGGAGACTCTGGGGGGGGCCCCAGACCAAGGAGCAGCCAGGGTTGAGCTGGCCAGGGCACCTGCCCCTGCACAGTGAGGCGGCGAGCGTGTGTGCGTGTGCGTGAGGGTGTGTATGTGTGAGATGTGTGTGTGTCACATGTGTATGTCAGGTGTGTGTGAGGTGTGCGTGAGGGCTGTCAGGTGTGTGAGGTAAGTGAAATGTTTGCGTGATGTGTGTCAGGTGTGAGAGGTGTTTTGAGTGTGTCAGGTGTCTGCTGGGGTGACAGGTGTGTCTGAGTCAGGTGTGTGTCAGGTGTGTGTGAGGAATGTGTGCCACCTGTGTGGGAGGGTGCATGGGGTGCATGTGTCAGGAGTGTGTGTGCCTGAGGTGTGTAGGGGTGTGTGTGCATCTGGGATATATGTGTGAGGGGTGTTTGGAGGTGTCTGGGGTGTGTGTCAAGGGTTTGTGTGTGGGGTTGTCAGTGTCTAGGGTGTGTGTCAAGAGTGGGTGGATCCAGGGTGTGTCTAGGGTGTATGTGTGAAGGGTGTGTGTGCAGGTCAGGGATACATGTGTCAGGTGTGCATGTGTGAAGTGTGTGTGAGTTGTATGTCAGGCGTGTGTGTCTGGAGTGTGTAAGGGATGTGTGTGTCGAGTATATGTCAGGCATGTGTGGCTGGTGTGTGCGTGAGGTGTGTGAGGGTGTATGTGCATGGGAGGTGCGTGTTTCGAGCATGTGTGTGTCTGGGGTGTGTGTGCCTGAGGTATGTGGAGTGTTTGTGTGAGGTGTGTGTGTTAGGTGTGTGAGGGTGTGTGTTAGGTGTGTGAGGGTTGTGTCAGGTGTGTAGATCTGGGGGTGTGTGGTGCGTTTGTGAGGTGTGTATCTGGGTTGTGTGTGTCTGATGCATGTGTGAGGTGTGCATGGGATGTGTGTGTCTGGGGTGTGTATCTGGTGTATGTGTCAGGCATGTGTGTGAGTTGTGTGTGTCTGGGATGTGTGAGGTGTTTGGGGTGTGCATGTCAGGTGTGTCTGGTGTGTAAGCAGTATGTGGGGTGCATTTGTGAGGTGTGTCTGGGGGGGGTGTGTGGTGCGCATCCGGGGTATGAGTCCAGGGTGTGTCTGTGTGTCGGGTGTGTATCATGTATGTGTCAGGTGTGTGGTGTGAGGTGTGTGTGGCGTGTGTCTGGTGTGTCTGTAAGGTGTGTATGGGGGTGTGTCTAGTGTGTGTGTGTGAGGTGTGTGTCCAGTGTTTGGGATGTGTGTCTAGGGTGTTTTGGTGTGTGAGGTGTGTGTCAGGTGTGGGTGTGTCAGGTCTGCAGGGGGTGTGTCTGGTGTGTGTGTGTTTGGTAGGTGTGTGTTTCTGGTGTGTCTAGGGTATATGTGAGGTGTGTTGGGTATGTGGTGTCTGATGTGAGGTATGTGTGTCTGGGGTGTTTGGGTGTATGTGTCGTTGTGTGGTGTTTGCGGTGTGTGTCTGGGTGTGTGGTGTGTGTGAAGCGTGTTTCCTGGGTGACTGGTGTCAGGTGTGTGTTGGGGCGTGTGTGGGTGTGTCTTGGGTGTGTGAGGTGTGTGTGTTTGGGTGTGTCTGGTGTGTGAACTGTATGGGTCAAGAGCGTGTGTGAGGTGTGTGTGAGGTGTGTGTTGGGGGTGTGTGTGAGAGGTGTATGTGATGTGTGTATGGCTGGTGTGTGAGGCGTCTGTCTGAGGGGTGTGTGGCGTGTGTGAGGTGTGTGTTTGGGTGTGTCTGGTGTGTGAGGTGTGTATTTCTGGGGTGTGTGTCAGGTGTGTGTCTGGGGTGTGGGTCAGGTGTGTGTATGTCAGGTGTGTGGTGTGTGTGTGTCAGGGATGTGTTTGAGGTGAGTGTGTTTGGGTGTGTCTGGTGTGTTTCTGGGGTATGTGTCAGATGGGCATCAGGTGTGTCAGGTGTGTGGGGGGGTGTGTTTGGGTGTTTCTGCTGTTTAAGGTGTGTGTTTCTGGGGTGTGGGTCAGGTGTGTGTGTCAGGTGTGGGGTGTGTGTCAGGGGTGTGTGTGAGGTGTGTTTGGGTGTCTGGTGTGTGAGATGTGTGTTTCTGGGGTGGGTGTCAGGTGCGTGTCGTGTATGTGAGATGTGTGGGTGTGTCTGGTGTGTGAGGTGTGTTTCTGGGGTGTCAGGTGTGTGTGTGTGAGGTATGTCTGGGGTGTGTGTGTGAGGTATATCTGGGGTGTGTGTGAATTGTGTGTTTAGATGTATTTGGTGTTTGAGGTGTTTCTGGGGAGAGTGTCAGGTGTGTGTGTCTGGGGTGTGTGTCAGATGTGTGTTTCTGGGGTGTGGGTCAGGTGTGTGGGGTGCGGGTTAGGTGTGTGGGGTGTGTCTCAGGTGTGTGTGTGTCTGGGGTGTGTGTGAGGTGTGTGTCTGGATGTGTCTGGTGTTTGAAATGTGTGTTTCTGGGGGCTGTCAGGTGTGTGTCAGCTGTGTGTGTGTCTGAGGTGTGTGTGAGATGTGTGTTTGGATGTCTGGTATTTGATGTGTGTATTACTAGGGTGTGTGTGTCAGGTGTGTGTGAGGTGTGTGTTTGGATGTATCTGTTGTTTGAGGTGTTTCTGGGGTATGTGTGTCAGGTGTGTGGGGTGTGTGTGTCAAATGTGTGCCTGGGGTGTGTATCAGGTATATGTGTTGTTGGGTGTGTGTGAGGTGTGTGTCAGGTGTATGTTTCTGGGGGTGTGTCAGGTGTGTGTGTCACGTGTGTGTCAGGTGTGTGTCGGGTGTGTGTGAGGTGTGTGTTTGAATGTGGTGTTTGAGGTGTGTGATTCTGGGGGTGTGTCGGGTGTGTCAGGTGTGTGTGTGTCTGGGGTGTGTGTGAGGTGTGTGTGGTGTGTGTGTCGGGTGTGTGTTGGGTGTGTGTCTGGGGTGTGTGTGTCTGGGGTGTGTTTGGATGTGTCTGGTGTTCGAGATGTGTGATTCTGGGGTGTGTGTGTGTCAGGTGTTTGGGGTGTTTGTGAGGTGTGTGTGTGGGGGGTGTTTGTGTGAGGTGTGTGTCTGGGATGTGTGTGAGGTGTGTGTTTGGATGTGTCTGGTGTTCGAGGTGTGGTTTCTGGGGATGTGTCAGGTGTGTGTGCATCAGGTGTGTGTATGAGGTGTGTGGTGAGGCCCGAGCAGGGTCTGAGGGGCGCATGCGCGGCTCCCTAGCCGGGGCGGTGGGTGGGGGTAGAGGGTGCGGGACCAGAGTCGAGGCCCCGCCTCTAGCCGCGTTTCCATGGCGACCACAGCCTCGGTCTCGCAGCTGCAGCCCCCGCCCCGCCCGGCCGCGAAGCGTCTGGAACCGCATCCTCCGCATCCACATCCGCATCGTCGTCCTCCCCGACCGCGTCCTGCAGCAGCTGCCAGTGGAGCCGCCTGTGAGCTATTTCCACATTTCTTGCAGAATGTGGGCGGGGGGCCCGAAGGGGTGCGGGGGTGCGAGGCGCGTGTGCGGGTGTGTGTGCGAGGTGCGTGTGCTCGCGAGTGCGCTTGTGCGTGGCGCGCGTGCGGATGAGGGTGTGAGTGCGTGTGTGCGAGGCGCGTGTGCGGGTGCGAGTGTGCAGGGCGCGCTGCACGGCCGCCCTCCTCCCTCGGGCCTCCTCTGGCTGCCCCAGGCCAGTCCGACCCCGCGGACCCGAGGGCGGTGGTCTCCAGGCTTCCCGTGACGGCGGGGCCCCGGCACGAGGATCGCAGCCTGGAGTTAAGGGTGTCTCCGAGGTGGGGAGGGGGTACCAGTCCCAGCTCCCGCCCAGCTCTGTCCGCCGGAGGCGGGGTGGGGAGGGCGACAGAAGGGGCGTCGGACCAGAGCACCGAGGAGCCGCTGCCCGCACGGGGGTTGGGGGTGGGCGGTGGGCTTGATGGGGGCGTCTGCGTGACAGGCAAGAGGTGGCCAGGAGGCCGGGAGGGGCGCGGCTCCGGAACCACCTGCAGCAGGCTCGGGTGCGGGGCCACAGGTGGCTGGGCTGGAAGCGGGAGCAGCTGCGCGCCCACTCCCCTCCGAGGGGCTGCGCCGACCCCGCAGTGCAGCTGCCTTTTAATAAGCGGGGCAGCCACAGCCCCCTGCAGCGCCAGGGGCGGGAGGCTGCGGTGGCGCCCGCGGGGGCTGGGCGGGACCCTCAGATCCGCAGTCACACGCGCTGGTGCCCGGCCCGCACAAGCCCACCTGCGCGCACCCCCCAGCGTGACGCAGCATTCCATGGTTGGGGGGGGCGCATGCGGAAGCGAGTCTGTGACGTGACCTCCAGCCGAGCTTCCGTGGACTTTCGACTGAGAGCCTGCACCCCCGCCCCCGCCATCCATCTGTCCATCTGCACGGCCTCACTCACCCGCGCCCCCACCCATCTGCCATCAGCATCCCACGCCTTCCCCGCCCCAGAGACAGGAGCCGGGCACTGCCTCCCTGCCAGAGCGCGGCGGGTGGGGCGCAGGGGACCCGCAGAAGATGCCGCGACAGCGCAGGTGCAGGGAGGGGCCGGGAGGAGAAGCAGAGGCGGCCCCCCAGTTCCACGAGCCGCGTGTCATCCGTGGGAGGAGGCCCCCATGACGCAGCAATGCAAAGGGAAGGTCTGGTGTGTGGGGTGGGGGGGTTGGACCCCACACACAGGCTAGTCCCCCCTTTCCAACCCCGCATTCCGCCCGGGGCGCTGGGCCCGGAACCAGAAGCGAGGCTCCAGTGGGCCCCCAATGGCTTTTTCTTCCTGAAGACGCGTCTCGGGCCTGTCTGCGTTGCCATGGAAACCCGCGATGACGTAAATTGGCCGTCCGAGGAGTTGGATTTGAAGTTTGGCTCGAAGGGGACCCCTCAAGCGCAGCTCCTCCTGGCGGGGGTCCTGCCCGAGCGGGGGTTCGGGCGGAGACTCCTGGCGCGGGCCCTCCGGGGCGTGGCCCTACCCTATGGCGCTGCGGGCCCTGGTGCGGGACTGCGCCCCCTTCTCCGCCTCCCCCTCGCCCGTCTGTAGAGAGGCTGGGCTTGCTCTGGGCGTCCGCTCCGGGGAGACCCCCGACCCCTCCTCCTCAGCGGCACCCCCACCCCCGCGGGCCAAGCTCCACCTCAAGCCCCGGCGCTGGCTGCCCTCGCCCCACAACCACGTCATTCCCCGGCCTCTCGGCCCTCCGCTGCTCCGACTCTGCTTCCACCGATCGCTCCTGTATCTGAGCCCCGTGGCGCCTCGTCCGTCTCCGCCTGCACACACACGGACGCTGGCTGCACCGTGAAACCTCGCCCGCCGAGTGCCCATTGCCCCTGCCCGGGCCACGTGGGAACCCACCTCAGGAAGAGTCTTCAGCCCGGGGTGGGTGGTCTGGGGGACACCGCACGGCCTCTTCCAGAAAGGCCCGGCAGGCACAGGGTCGCCTGCGATGAACACACAACAACGAGGGGCACGGGTTAGGGCCCCAAAGCGCGTGGCCAGGTCCAGGACTGGGGGCCCTGTCTCCCCTCGCCTAGCTCCTTCCGGCTCAGAGTGGCCTCCCCCATCCCCTACCCAGCCCTCGTTCACCGGCCGCACTCTCGCCCACGCAGATCCTTCCCCCTCAGTTCTTTCCCCACGCAGAAGCTGCCACCTCCAAATCCTTCCTCCCCTGATCCTTCCCCCTTCAGATCCTTCGCCCCTCAGATCCTTCTCCCTCATGTCCTTCCCCCTCAGAGCCTCCCCCTCAGAGCCTTCCCCCCTCAGAGCCTTCCCCGCTCAGATCCTTCGCCCCTCAGATCCTTCCCCTCATGTCCTTCCCCTTCAGAGCCTCCCCTTCAGAGTCTTCCCCCCTCAGAGCCTTCCCCGCTCAGATCCTTCCCCCCTCAGATCCTTCGCCTTTCAGATCCTTCCCCCTCATGTCCTTCCCCCCTCAGAGCCTTCCCCCCTCAGAGCCTTCCCCCCTCAGAGCCTTCCCCGCTCAGATCCTTCCCCCCTCAGATCCTTCGCCTTTCAGATCCTTCCCCCTCATGTCCTTCCCCCCTCAGAGCCTTCCCCCCTCAGAGCCTTCCCCGCTCAGATCCTTCCCCCCTCAGATCCTTCGCCTTTCAGATCCTTCCCCCTCATGTCCTTCCCCCCTCAGAGCTTCCCCTTCAGAGCCTTCCCCCCTCAGAGCCTTCCCCCCTCAGATCCTTCGCCCCTCAGATCCTTCCCCCTCATGTCCTTCCCCCCTCAGAGCCTTCCCCCCTCAGAGCCTTCCCCGCTCAGATCCTTCCCCCCTCAGATCCTTCGCCTTTCAGATCCTTCCCCCTCATGTCCTTCCCCCCTCAGAGCCTCCCCTTCAGAGCCTTCCCCCCTCAGAGCCTTCCCCGCTCAGATCCTTCCCCCCTCAGAGCTTCCCCTTCAGAGCCTTCCCCCCTCAGAGCCTTCCCCCCTCAGATCCTTCCCCCCTCAGAGCCTTCCCCCCTCAGATCCTTCCCCCCTCAGAGCCTTCCCCCCTCAGATCCTTCCCCCCTCAGAGCCTTCCCCCCTCAGATCCTTCCCCCCTCAGAGCCTTCCACTCTCAGATCTTTCCCCCTCAGAGCCTTCCACTCTCAGATCTTTCTTTCCCCCTCAGAGCCTTCCACTCTCAGATCTTTCCGCCTCAGAGCCTTCCACTCTCAGATCTTTCCCCCTCAGAGCCCTCCCTCTCAGATACCTCCGCTCTCCGACCCTTCCCACCTGGGATCCTACCCCACTTGGATCGTTCCCCAAGTCGGATTCTTCCCCCCTCAGATCCTTCCACCCTCGGATCCCTCCCCCTGCGTCGGATCCTTCCCCCCGCGTCATATCCTTACCCCTTCGGATCCCTCCCCGCACCCCGTTGGGGTCCCTTCCCTTCAGATCGTTCCACCCTCGGACCCCTCCGCTCGGATCCCTCCCCTCCACCCCACCCCCACCCGCGCAATCCTTCCCCGTTGGGTCCCTCTGTCCTTGGATCCCTCACCCCTCGGATCCTTCCCCCCCCCCCACCCCCTCAATCCTTCTCCCTCGGATCCTTCCACCTTGCAATCATTCCACCCTCAGCTCCTTCCACCCTTAGATTCTCCTCCACGCAGATGCCTCCACATTATCTGTACTTGAGTGGCAGCAGCTGGGCAGAAGCTCTGTGACCGCGGGTCCCTTGCTCCTGTTCCCGTGGTGCCTACCCACACCTGGAACCCACAGCGGAGCCTGGCCACTGCAGGGCGAGAAAGACTGGTCACTGCTGGCTCTGGCAGTTAATTGGACATCCTCGCGCTGCTGTCACAAATTACAAGCAGGTGGCTTAAAATAACAAATTCTTTCACAGTTCTGGAGTCAAGAAGTCCAAAATGAAGGTGTTCACGGGGCCATGCTCCCTCCAAAGCCTCTAGGGGAGCTTTTTCCTTGCTTCCTCCAGCTTCTGGTGGCCCAAGCAATCCTTGGGTTTCAGCTGCATCGTTCCAATCTCTGCTCCGTCTACACATAACACTCTCCTATGTCTAATTTCCCTGTTTTAATAACGATACCAGTTTTGGGTCAAGGCCCACGCTGATTCAGGACGAGTTTATTTTAGCTTGATTACATCTGCAAAGACCCTATTTTCAAATAAGATCCCATTCAAAGGCACCCCTCACTCAGATCCTAGGACTTGGATGTATTTTTGAGGGAACATCATTCAACCCACAATGCACCCTCATCATTTGTGGGTTGCAACTGTCTTCTCCCAGTCTTGGTTTCTGCTTCCATTTTTTGAAGGCTGTTTTGATAAGCAGAAGTTCATAGTTTTAATGAAGTCATTTTATCAATATTTCCTTTTATGGTTAGTACCTATTGTCCTAATGAAGAAACATTTCCCTCCCTGAGACCAGAAAAATCTTCTTCTGTATTATCTTTGAGATGCTTTATTGTTTTGCTTTTCCAGTTTAGGTTTATCCACCTGGAGTAGACTTCTCTGTGTAATGTGAGGTAGGGATCAGGCTCATTGCTCTTGATGTGGACAGCGGTTTACTGAGAGGCAGCCATGCTGCAAATCAGGGTCTGTGTGTGCAAAGTGTGTCACGTGGGACTTTTTCCACCACGCAGTAGCCCCACACCTCTCCATTTCCAATGCTGTGCAACAAGCTAGACCCTGGCAGATGAGACCTCCTCCATGTTCTTTTTTTTTTTTTTCCCAGACGGAGTTTTGCTCTTGTTGCCCAGGCTGGAGTGTGGTAGTGCAATCTCAGCTCGCTGCAACCTCTGCCTCCCAGGTTCAAGGGATTCTCCTGCCTCAGCCTCCCGAGATTCTGGGATTATAGGCGTGTACCACCATGCCCGGCTAGTTTTTGTATTTTTAGTCGAGACAGGGTTTCACCATGTTGGCCAGGCTGGTCTCAAACTCCTGATCTTGTGATCCACCCACTTCTGCCTCCCAAAGTGTTGGGACTACAGGCGTGAGCCACTGTGCCTGGCAATCCATGTTCTTTTCCAAGATACTTGATGTGTTCCTGCCCCTCTGCCTTCCATATAAAATGACAGTGCTTGTCAAGTTCATTTTAAAAACCCTGTTGGGATTTTGCTTAAGATTTACTGCATCTACAGATTGGGGGGTGGGTAATTTGTTTAAACATAGAAACTCCCAAAATCCATAGCCACAGCCTTCCCCATTTACTTGGGGAATTTAGCTTTTCTTGGTCTCTGTCGACAGTGTTTCCTGGATTCCATGTGAAGGCCCTGCCCTGTCCCTGCTCCTCAGCTCTTTTTACACCTATTCCTGAGGATTTGATAGTTTTGATATTATTTAAATTGAGTACTTCAATAAATTATTTATTTATTTATTTTTGCCACTGACATATAGGAATGTAACTGATTTCTGAATACCTTAAATCCAACAACCTTGCCAAACTCACTTTTTGATCCTTATGATTTGTCTATATATTCTTTTGGGGTTTCTAAACACAGACACTGTTTCATGGGTGAATCAATCAGAGTTTTACTTTTTCTTGTCTGGCACTGGAGCTCTTTCTTTGTCCTGCCCTACAGCATTGGCTGAGACCTCCAGCACCATAACTTGTAGAACCGCAGATCGAGGCACTTTCAGGATTCACATTCAGTGAGGTTTGCTGTGGGGATTTAGTGGTTCACTGTTACCGGGTTACAGCACTCGCCTCCTGCCTTAATGCACTAATGGGTCCGAGGAATAGTAAATGAGCCCTGAGTCTTACCCAGAGTTACTTCTGCTCCTCTAGCAATTGATCAGATAACGCTTTTTCATTATTCTGTTAATATGGTGAAAAATATGATTGCTTGTCAAATGTTAAGCCAAACTTCATTTCCAGAATACACCCAAACTGTCATGATATGTTACCTTGTTGTATTCGCTGGATTCACGCTGCTTGAGCTTTGGGGCCTCGCAGTGGTGTGTACGTGTGGCGGGGGCTGGCCTGTGAGCTCCTCTCCGCTGCTGTCCTTGCTGGGTTAGGGACTGAGGCTACGTTGGCCTCAGGAGCTGGTGAGTGCTCCCTTGTCTTTCTGGAAGAGTTTTGTGGACGTGCATTACTTTCCCTGTAAATGGTTGGTAGAATGCTGTGGTGATGCTGTCTGCGCCTGGAGTTCTTTGTGAGAGAAGGTTGTAATGACAGATTCCTTTTTTTTTTTTTTTTGAGACGGAGTCTCTCTCTGTCACCCAGGCTGGAGTGCGGTGGCGCGATCTCGGCTCACTGCAAGCTCCGCCTCCCAGGTTCACGCCATTCTCCTGCCTCAGCCTCCCAAGTAGCTGGGACTACAGGCGCCCGCCACCGCGCCCGGCTAATTTTTTGTATTTTTTAGTAGAGACGGGGTTTCACCGTGTTAGCCAGAATGGTCTCGATCTCCTGACCTCGTGACCCGCCCGCCTCGGCCTCCCAAAGTGCTGGGATTACAGGCGTGAGCCACCGCGCCCTGCCTTTTTTTTTTTTTTTTTTTTTTTTTGGCAGAGTTTCGTTCTGTCACCTAGGCTGGAGTGCAGTGGCGTGATCTCGGCTCATTGCAACCTCCGCCTCCCGGGTTCAAGCGATTCTCCCGCCTCAGCCTCCCGAGTGGCTGGGACCACAGGCGCCGCCATAGCACCGGGCCACAGGTTCCGTGTCTACTGCACACAGGACCTTTCTTTTCTCCTTTGATTGATTGAATACATTTTCTTTTTCTGCTTTTTCCATCCATCAGCTCGGAGGTCATCCGCTGCATTCCTTTTCTCTAGAAGGTCCGCCTGAAGGCGAAGCCGGGCACCCTCGGCTTCTCTGGGTTAGTGGGGCCCGCCCTCTCCCAGCCCCGCGGGGCCCTGCTGTGGCTTTCAGCTCCGCAGGAGACCCGCTCTCCGCGGCCTTTAGCGCCAGGCTCGCAGCTGGGCTGACTCGCGGGTGCCCTCTTGTGGCCGCTCTTTCTCACTTCGTGCGTCTCTGGCAGAGAGCCGCCAGACAGAATGAGGACTGACTTCAGGATAAGCACGTCCCATACCGCGTATTGCGTGGGATGCTCTTATATTAAAAATGAGCTCGTTGCTTATTTGAAATTCAAATTTAGCTGGGTCTCCAGCATTTTTATGTGCTGAGTCTGGCACCCAGCTCTCCATACTGATGTCCGGGATTGTCGGCTTTAGGAGGTTGTCTAGAGTCAGGCGCGGTGGTTCATTCCTGTAATTCCAGCACTGTAGGAGGCCTAGGCAAGCAGATCGCTTGAGACCAGCCTGGGCAACCTGACGAAACCCCGTCTCTACACAAATTTTAAAAATTAGCCAGGCGTGGTGGGGCGCACTGTGGTCCCAGGTACTCGGGAGGCTGAGATGGTAGGACTGCTGAAGCTCAGGAGGCAAAGGCTGCAGTAAGCCAAGAACACACCACTGCACTCCCACCTGGGCCACAAAACAAGATCCTGTCTCAAAAAAAAAAAAGAAGAAGAAGAAGAAGGAGAATAAGAAAGAGGAGGTTGTCTAGAGCAGCCACCAGTGGAAGAAGAAGAAAAAAGAGGAGGTTGTCTAGAGCAGCTGCCGTTGGAAGTCTCCCCCTGCTTCGTGGACAGTCACTGGTTGGGGCGCTGTACCCTGCAGTGCTGTGGGGTCCAGAGGGGCTGTGGGGGTCAAGAAGGTACAGCACCCAGCATCTCGCTGGATTTGACCGGTTTGTCCAAGGAGGCTGGCCTGACCACTTACAGCCTGTCCCTGGCTCTGGTGTGAGGAGCATTAGGCCCAGCTCAGGGTCCTCTGGCTTCAGAGCCAGCTGGCGTGGGCATCCAGGGGGCAGCCTGTGGGCAGTGACTCTGTCTGTCTTTGGACAGGACAAGGACTGCCATCCACCATGGTGAAGCTGGGCTGCAGCTTCTCTGGGAAGCCAGGTAAAGACCCTGGGGACCAGGATGGGGCTGCCATGGACAGTGTGCCTCTGATCAGCCCCTTGGACATCAGCCAGCTCCAGCCGCCACTCCCTGACCAGGTGAGGGCCTGGGCCAGCGTGGGGGCCCTTCTCAGGCTCCCCTGGGAACAAAGGGGTGTGGGGTGAGGTTTGTCTAGATATGGCCTCTTCCCAGGTGCAGTAGAGCAAACAGATGAAGGGCCATGGGGGCCAAAGCCCCAGCTGGCCATGGGCACTCTGTGTGACCTCCTGGTCAGCTCCCCCATATGCCAGAGCTGGGCAAACTGGCTGATGGGTAACCGAGAATTCACGCACTGACTCCTAGACAGCACCCCGCCCACGTGCTGTCCATAGGGCACTCAGCAGGCAACGCTTCCCACCCTTCCCCTCGGGGCATGGCCCTGTCCTGGGTTTAGCCTGAGATCTGGGGGTCCTTGGGCAAGTGACCACTGGGGTTGCTTATAGCAGAAACTGGGGAGAAGCAAAGAGCTCAGCTTGAGCCCAGCCCAGTTTGACCCCCCAGGGAGTCATGCAGCATGAAGGGCACCCCGAGTTGTCCCTGCTGGAGGTGGGGGCAGCATCTATGCTGGGGACCCGGGGCAGGAGGACCACCCCTGCTGGCCAAGGGCAATTCTCCAGCACCCTGAGTTGAAGGCAGCAGGCAGAGTGAGGGGCTCTGTCAGCAGCCCAGCCAGGCCCAGAGCTGCCATGCGCCCAGCAGACAGACTTTCAGCGTCCACCTTCCCTTGGCCTCACTTTGTGGCTGCTGGAGCCCTGCCATCCACCAGACAGTCCTGGGAGATGGGTCAGCGTCAACACCACTGCCACGAAGCTGACGCTGGCTCCCTCCCCTCTCAGTTCAGGGCTCTCTTGGGTCCCTGCCAGCTGCCTACTGAGGCCATGGCCATCTCTTTTCACAGGTGGTCATCAAGACACAGACAGAATACCAGCTGTCCTCCCCAGACCAGCAGAATTTCCCTGACCTGGAGGGCCAGAGGCTGAACTGCAGCCACCCAGAGGAAGGGCGCAGGGTAACCACACCCACCCCACCCACTGTGGGGACTCAGGACAGGAGGAGAAGGTGGAAGGCAGCTGGGGGTGCCTGGGTTCCGTCCAGGCCAGTCTGGGGTCCCCTTGCTCTCAGGGAGGAGAGGGTGGCAGTGAGTCATCCCGCCCAGAGCTGGCCCCACCGGCTGCCCTGCACCCACCAGGCCCCCTCCCGAGGCTGCAGGTGCAGACTGACCAAACAGTGGCGCTCCTGAGATGTTTTTCTTTCTGGGAAGTGCCCGCGAGTGCTGCTTGCTTGTTTGCCCAGTGGGTCATTGTCTCATCTTCAGTGACTTACGGGCTTTCTATGTAATACTTCCTTTCTGCAGTATATCTGGCAAATATCTTCTCTCATCCTCTTGTTTAAATCTGTCAATGTTACTAATGATAGCTTTAGTCATTTTTAGTGGACTGTTTCCAAAGCCTTCCATTCTCCAGTAGACAGATCTGCTAGGGCTCCCCGCCCCTGGCCTCACGTTCCAGTCTGCAGCTCATGTTACCACACATGCACCCACTGTGGGCAGTCACCTGGGAGGCCTGGTGAGTGCAGCCTCCGACTCCCCTGAGGCTGCGGCCCCATCCCCTGGGAGCCCACACCGCAGGAAAACTGCAAATTCCTGCAAGACCCACCTGGGTCAAAGGCCACATCACTTTACCTGGTGGCAGATGTTTCCAGAACCCCAGTGGAGGGGCCACCAGCAAGGCCTGGCCCCGAGGGGTGACGCCTGCACACTTGACCCTCGGAAAAGTTGGAAAAGCCACTGGCTGCCCAGGGCGGGGGTGGGGCATCAAGACTGGAGGGCGGGGATGGTCCTGTGCCAGCCCAGCCCCTGAGGAGCTCCCCACAAAGACCGCCCCTGCCTGGCGTGGCTGAGCCCCTCTCTGCCCTCCTGCCAGCTGCCCACCGCACGGATGATCGCCTTCGCCATGGCGCTACTGGGCTGCGTGCTGATCATGTACAAGGCCATCTGGTACGACCAGTTCACCTGCCCCGACGGCTTCCTGCTGCGGGTAAGGGGGCCAGGGCTCTGGTGGGGGGTGTAGAGCCGCCCCTCCTCCCGTAGCCTCCAGGCAGGGGGTGGCAGGGGTGTCTCCTGCTGCTGGGGGAACGTGGTCTCCAAAGCCATGTTCCTGTTACTTCTCTAGAACATGAGATCGTATCTTTTGAAAATTTAAAAGAAAAGATGAGTTAGTGATGGGTTTCTCTTCTTGTAATTTAAAAAATAAGTAAAAAGATGAGGCAGAAAAGGTCACCCTGCAGCCACCTCTCTAGGGGTCATCTGTCCTCCTGAGTGACTTGTGTGAGGTTTTATTTTTATATAACATGATATTAATGCTCCCCACCTATTTGGCAGATATTTTCTTCCATCCTTTTTTTTTTTAAATCTCTTTGTCAATAATGGTTATAGCTTTTAGTGTGTTTTTAGAAAGCCTTTTATTTATCAGAAGTAAAATCTGCTCCTTTTCTCCTTAACTCCATGGTTTATGCTCTGGAGCGCGCTCCGCAGAGTCCTTGCTGCGCTGGGCAGGTCCACTGGTGTCTGCGCCCCTCTCCCTGGGTGGCCCCTCCCCTTACAACGCGCGACCTCCTGCTCCATGCCCCTCCAGGGCCCTGAGTTCTGAACTGGAGGCTGATCTTCGGTGTCCTGAAGCCATGGCTCCATTACAAACTGTCCGCAGTGTCCCCAACCGCAGAAGCGGGAGGGCCTGGGCCCGGGGCGCACAGGAGGGCTCAGCCCCACCGACCCTGACCCGGCCCCTCCCGCAGCACAAGATCTGCACGCCGCTGACCCTGGAGATGTACTACACGGAGATGGACCCCGAGCGCCACCGCAGCATCCTGGCGGCCATCGGGGCCTACCCGCTGAGCCGCAAGCACGGCACGGAGACGCCGGCGGCCTGGGGGGACGGCTACCGCGCAGCCAAGGAGGAGCGCAAGGGGCCCACCCAGGCTGGGGCGGCGGCGGCGGCCACCGAACCCCCCGGGAAGCCGTCGGCCAAGGCGGAGAAGGAGGCGGCGCGGAAGGCGGCCGGGAGCGCGGCGCCCCCGCCCGCGCAGTGACGTCTCCAGCCCCGCAGCCCGGCCCGGGGTAGGTGCGCGCCGCGGGGCTCCGGCCGGCTCTGCCCAGGTCTCTTCCTGGCCTCCCGCCACCGCTTCTGAGCCAAAGACCCCCGCCACCCTTCCCTTCCTCTTCCCTCCGACCCGGCCCGCCAGAACCTCGGGGTTGGGGGTTGCGAATCCGAGCCCGCCGGGTGACGCGGGGTCCGCGGGGAGCCCCTGGCCGCGTCGCCGCTCTCAACCCTCGGGCTCTGTCTCCGCAGCGTCCTCCGCCAGCTCCTGTGACCAGCGCGTCTCCCGATGCTCTCCGCCGTGTTCGTGTCCCCAGGCGCCCTCGCTGCAGCCCCGCCCCCGTGGGTCTCTGACTCTGTCGCTTTTCTCTAAGTAAAGATTTCACGTCCACCGGAGGCTTCCATCTCTCCTGCGCGTCCTCTGCCGGGCTGGCCTTTCTCCCGCCCCCCACCCCGCCAGTTGTGAGTGAGGCCGGCATTGTGCTCCCCCCAGGGACCCCCGAAGGACCCAGGAGAGACCCCGTGGGGGGCAGCTCCCAGGAAGCCGTGGTGCGCCCAGGCGGAGCACGCGCATCCTCGCGCTGCGTGGTCCGGGCCTTGTCCAAGCCCCACCGGGATGTGCCTTAATGGCGGGGCTCCGGCCCACCCAGGGGAGCCTCGGGTCCATCCCTATCCGCTGCCCAGCCCCTTGTCCTGCTGGTTCCCCGACCCCCCGCCCCCATCTACCTGGTGCTGGGCCTGGGCCCCGGGCGTTCCCCCTCTGACAGGAGTGTCTGCCTCCCGGGGGACCCCTGGTTCTGGGCGGCACCCATGAGCAGCTCCTGCCTCCTAGATGTGTGGCCCACAGGCATAAATGACCAAGTGAAGAAAGGAGTGAATGGGGGCGTCTGAGTGGGGAGTGGGGCCTGATGAGGGGTGAGCTCTGGTTCCTGGGGGCTGGGGTCTCCCGTGTCCCTGGAGCCAGATGAAAGATGGTGAGGCTGAAACGCCAGGGGAGCCTGGAGCTGCCATGAGTCTCCCCCAGCATCCCCACCCCAGCCCCAGCATCCCCACCCCAGCCCCAGCATCCCCACCCCAGCCCCAGCCAACTCCCGGCACTGAACACTACAGGGAATGGACTTCCGGCAGATCTCACCCACCACCTGCACCACCCCAGCCAGCAGCAGCTCTGCAGCCCCGCCCACCCCAGCCAGCAGCAGCTCTGCAGCCCCGCCCACCCCAGCCAGCAGCAGCTCTGCAGCCCCGCCCACCCCAGCCAATTGCAGCACTGCAGCCCCGCCCACCCCAGCCAATTGCAGCACTGCAGCCCCGCCCACCCCAGCCAGCAGCGGCTCTGCAGCCCCGCCCACCCCAGCCCCCGACCATTGGTGGATGGAAGCCCCCCACCATTGGCTCCCAGGCTTGCTGGCTAGGTGCGGGTCTAGGCAGCTTCCCAGCTCAGTGGGACTGGCCTGCTTTGGAACAGCGGCAGTGCCCAGGAAGCCTGTGAACTGGGCCTGCCAGGGAAGCCATGGTGAGCTGGAAGCCAGCCAGGTGGGGTCAGGGAAGGCAGGGCCATGCACACCACACCCTTCACTGCTGGGCTTCTAAGGGCATTGGCCAGATGAACAAGCACACGCAGAACTGAATTGGCCCTGATGGCCTGCAAGGGAGGGGGGCCCGGGGCCTGGGGCGTCAGCTGGGATATATGGGGGCAGGGAGTCTCTGCATGGCCGATGTTTGAATTAAAATACAGCTTTCCCCTGTATTTTATTATTATTATTATTATTATTATTATTATTATTATTATTATTATTTTGAGAGGGAGTCTAGCTCTGTCGCCCGGGCTGGAGCGCAGTGGCGCGGTCTCAGGTCACTGCAAGCTCCGCCTCCCGGGTTCCCACCATTCTCCTGCCTCAGCTTCCTGAGTATCTGGGACTACAGGCGCCCGCCACTACGCCCAGCTAATTTTTTGTATTTTTAGTAGAGACGGGGTTTCACTGCGTTAGCAAGGATGATCTCAATCTCCTGATCTCGTGATCCGCCCGCGTCGGCCTCCCAAAGTGCTGGGATTACAGATGTGAGCCACCGCGCCCGGCCTTATTATTATTATTTTTTTGAGATGGAGTCTCGCTCTGTCACCCAGGCTGGAGTGCAGTGGCACGGTCTCGGCTCACTGCAAGCTCCGCCTCCCGAGTTCACACCATTCTCCTGCCTCAGCCTCCTGAGTAGCTGGGACTACAGGCGCCCGCCATCGCGCCCAGCTAAGTTTTTGTATTTTTAGTAGAGATGGGGTTTCACCATGATAGCCAGGATGGTCTCAATCTCCTGACTTCATGATCCATCCACGTCAGCCTCCCAAAGTACTGGGATTACAGGCGTGAGCCACCACGCCCAGTCTGTATTTTTTTTTTTAACATTTCGAGATAATTTCAAATTTGGAGAACAACTGTGATCATGTAAAGAACTCCCATGCACCCTTTACTGAGATTGCCCAGTGGCTGATGCCCTAATCCCTTTAGTGTTGCTGTAAAAAAAAGGAGGTTTATTTGGCTCACAGTTCTGGAGGCTGTACAAGAAGCACAGCATCAGCATCTGCTTTTGGTGGGGCCTCAGGCTGTGTCCACGTATGCTGGATGGGGAAGCAGGCCTGGTGTGCAGAGACCACAGGGCCAGAGAGGAAGCAGGAGAAGGATGGAGGGAGGTGCTAGGTTCTTTTTCTTTTTTTGAGACAGGGTATGCTCTGTTGCCCAGGCTGGAGTGCAGTGGCACAATCACAGCTTGCTGCAGCCTCCACCTCTTGGGCTCAAGTGATCCTCCCATCTCAGCCTCCTGAGTAGCTGGGGTTACAGACATTGACCATATCATCTCTTTTGTAGAGACAGGGTTTTGAAACGTTGCCCAGGCTGGTCTTGAACTCAAGTGATCCACCTGCCTTGGCCTCCCAAAGTGCTGGGATGACAGGTGTGAGCCATTGCACCTGGCCATACCAGACTCTTTAACAATCAATTCTCGGCTGGGCGCAATGGCTCACGCCTGTCATCCCAGCACTTTGGGAGGCCAAGGTGGGCAGATCACTGTAGGGTCCAGTCCTAAGGGGCTTAGCAGGTGTTCTCCCCATGTGCGGAGACGAGAGATTGTAAGAAATAAAGACACAAGACAAAGAGATAAAGAGAAAACAGCTGGGCCTGGGGGACCAATACCATCAAGAGGCGGAGACCGGTAGTGGCCCCGAATGGCTGGGCGCACTGATATTTATTGCATACAGGATAAGGGGGCAGGGTGAGGACGGTGAATCCTCTAAGTGATTGACAAGGTGAAGCAAGTCACGTGATCATGGGACAGGGGGCCCTTCCCTCTTAGGTAGCCGAAGCAGAGAGGGAAGGCAGCAAATGTCAGTGTTTTCTTCTATGCACTTACAAGAAAGATCAAAGACTTTAAGACTTTCACTATTTCTTCTTCCACTATCTGCTACGAACTTCAAAGAGGAACCAGGAGTACGGGAGGAGCATGAAAGTGGACAAGGAGTGTGATCGTTGAAGCACCACAGGGAGGGGGTTAGGCCTCCGGATGACTGTGGGCAGGCCTGGAGAATATCCAGCCTCTCACAAGAAGCTGGTGGAGCAGTGTTCCCTGACTCCTCCAAGGAAAGGAGACTCCCTTTCATGGTCTGCTAAGTAATGGTTGCCTTCCCAGACACTGGCGTTACTGCTTGACCAAGGAGCCCTCAAGCGGCCCTTATGCAGGTGTGACAGAAGGCTCACCTCTTGCCTTCTAGGTCTCTTCTCACAATGTGCCTTCAGCACCTGACCCTATACCCGCCAGTTATTTCTTGGTTATATTAGTAACACAACAAAGAGTAATATTAAGAGCTAATGATTAATAATGTTTATACTAATGATTGATAATGTCCATGATCATCTCTATATCTAATTTGTATTATAACTATTCTTTATTCTAACTATTTTCTTTATTATACTGCTACAGTTTGTGCCTTCAGTCTCTTGCCTCGGCACCTGGGTAATCCTTCACCCACAGATCACAAGGTCAGGAGATCGAGACCATCCTGGCTAACACAGTGAAACCCCGTCTCTACTAAAAAAAAAAATACAAAAAATTAGCTGGGCGTGGTGGCGGGTGCCTATAGTCCCAGCTACTCAGGAGGCTGAGGCAGGAGAATGGCATGAACCTGGGAGGCAGAGCTTGCAGTGAGCTGAGATCGCGTGGCTGTACTCCAGCCTGGGTGACAGAGCAAGACTCCGTCAAAAAAAAAAATCCATTCTCGGGCCAGGTGCGGTGGCTCATGCCTGTAATCCCAGCACTTTGGGAGGCCAAGATGGGCGGATCACAAGGTCAGGCGACCAAGATCATCCTGGCTAATAGGGTGAAACTCCGTTGAGAGATGAAGCCAGCTGCACTTCCTGGGTTGAGTGGGGACTTGGAGAACTTTTCTGTCTTACAAGAGGATTGTAAAATGCACCAATCAGCACTCTGTAGCTAGCTAGAGGTTTGTAAAATGCACCAATCAGTGCTCTGTAAAAATGCACCAATCAGCACTCTATAGCCAGCTAGAGGTTTGTAAAATGCACCAATCAGTGCTCTGTAAAAATGCACCAATCAGCACTCTGTCACTAGCCAGAGGTTTGTAAAATGCACCAATCAGTGCTCTGTAAAATGGACCAATCAGCACTCTGTAAAATGGACCAATCAGCAGGACATGGGCAGGGACAAACAAGGGAATAAAAGCTGGCCACCACTGCCTCCCCACCCCCAGCCGGCAGCGGCAACCCGCTTGGGTCCCCTTCCGCAGTGGGGAAGCTTTGTTCTTTCACACTTCACAATAAATCTTGCAGCTGCACACACTTTGGGTCCATGCCACATTTGAGCTGTAACACTCACCACAAAGGTCCGCAGCTTCATTCTTGAAGTCAGTGAGACCATGAACCCACCAGAAGGAACCAACTCCAGACACACTACACACCGTCTCTACTAAAAATACAAAAAATTAGTGGGGTGTGGTGGTGGGTGCCTGTAGTCCCAGCTACTCAGGAGGCTGAGGCAGGAGAATAGTGTGAACCCGGGAGGCGAAGCTTCCAGTGAGCCAAGATTGTGCCACTGCACTCCAGCCTGGGCGACAGAGTGAAACTCAAAAAAAAAAAAAAAAATTCCTCACAGGAAGTAATCAAGCAAGAACTCACTCATTACCTTGAGGGTGGCACCAAGCCATTCATGATCTGCCCCATGACCCAAACACCTCCCATCAGGCCCCACCTCGAACATTGGGGATCAAATGTTAACATCCAAACTCTAGCAGTTGGCATTCCATCCCATCTGCTCTATCACATTCCACCACCTCGTCTATCTACCTACCAGCCTATCAATCATCTGTCACCTATTGTCTATGGCCTATTATCTATCATCGATCACCTATTGTCTATAATCTATCATCTATTGTCTATCGCCTATTATCACCTATTATCCTCTATCATCTATCACCTATCGTCTATTATTTATCACCTACTGTTATCTATCATCTATCACCTATCGTCTACTATCACCTAATGTCTATTGTCTATTATCTATTATCTATCACCTATCGTCCACTATCTATCACCTACTATCTATTGTCTATTATCTATTATCTATCATCTATCACCTATCGTCTATTGTCTATCATCTATCAATAATCTGTCGTCTCTTTAGCTGCTACCTACTACCTTTTTTTCTGAGCCAATGAGTGAATGGGGCATCTGAGTGGGGAGTGGGGGGTGGGGCCTGAGGAGGGGTGAGCTCTGCCCCAGGGACGGGCATCTCCCATTCCCCTGGAGCCAGATGGGAGATGAGAAGGGCCCAGGGGCTCCTGGAGCTGCCGTAAGTCCCACCCTCCCCACCCGGCCTGGCAACTCCTTGCATTCAGAGGAAGTGACCTCTTTATCCGTATATACTTGAGTGTGGATTCCCTGCAAACAAGGGCGTCTTCTTACGGAACCTTCATGCAATGATCAAAATCAGGAATTTAGGTTTCCAGATCCACACAGCCCACGTGAGAGCCAACAGGATGGGGGTGGAAGGGCCTCTGGCTTCCCTGTGTGCGAGCATGGACGCACGTACAGAGAGGAGGGGGCATGGATTGTGTGTGTGAGAGTGCGTGTGTTAGTGTGAGTGTGTGAGGGTATGAGCACAGACGTACTGAGAGGAGGGAGTGTGGATGACGTGTGTGAGCGTGTGAACACGGACACACAGACAGGAGGGGGTGTGCATTGTGTGTTAGCATGTGTTAGTGTGAGCATGTGAGTATGTGAGCACGGACGCACAGAGAGGAGGGGGTGTGGATTGTGTGTGTGTGAGCGTATGAGTGTGTGAGTGTGAGCACAGATGCATATACAAAGAGAAGGGGTGTGGATTGTGTGTGTGTTAGTGTGAGCGTATGGACGCACATAGAGGAGGTGCATGGATTGTGTGTGTGAGCGTGTGAGTGTGAGCACAGATGCACAGAGAGGAGGGGCGTGGATTGTGTGAGTGTGAGCGTGTGTGAGCAGGGACGCACATACAGAGAGGAGGGGGAGTGGATCATCTGAGTGTGCACGTGTATGAGCATGAGAGGCAGAGAGGGGCAAGGGGGACAGTAGGAGTCAAGGAATGTGTCCACCGTGTTCCCAGCACTGGGCTTCAAATCTGGCTAATTCTTGGAGCTCACCCGTCACCTGCTCATCTACAGATGGGTAAACTGAGGCCCGCGGCAGAGGCCTTACCTTCGCGCAGGGTGGCTGGAACCGGGAGGATCTCTGGGGACCCCTGCCCTGCTCCCACACCTCCTCCCACAGGCTCCCAGCCGCCTGCCCCTGGCAATGCGAGGCCTGGATGCTGGGCCAGGACCACCACAACCGCCGACTCTGCACCGCTCCGCGCGGGGCCGCCCACATCCTCCAAGCGCGTCCCTCCACAGTGTCCGAACTGACACCCAGCGGAGAAGGGTGCTGACGCCTCCAGGAGGTGGCGCTGCAGCCAGACACGCCGACCTGGGCCGCGGGGAAAGGGGAGGACGGCGGTCGGTCGCCTGAGGTCTTCATCTCCGCACGCCCGGGGGTATCGACCGGCTGCCAGTGGAGCAGACACAGGCACAGCCCGTCCGTGTGAGGAGCGGGCGAAGGGGCCAGAGGATGAAGGGACCGGGGTTGGCGGCCCCGGCCTCCGTGTTTCCTGTGAAGGAGGACGGAGACCGGCACTGGCACCCACGGCTGCACTTCAGCTCGGAGTCGTCCATGCACAGCTGGGCCCTGGCCTCTCCACCTGTGCGTGTTCCCGGGGATGCGGCCATCTTTCCATCTCTGCGTCCGGGGGGAGGGGGGTGGGGGGTGTGGTCTTTCCATCTCTGTGTCTGGGGGGCAGGTGTAGTCTTTCCATCTCTGTGTCCTCGGGGGGTGGGGTGTGGTCTTTCCATCTCTGTGTCTGGGGGGGGGTGTGGTCTTTCCATCTCTGTGTCTGGGGGGGGGGGTGTGGTCTTTCCATCTCTGTGTCTGGGGGGGAGGTGTGGTCTTTCCATCTCTGTGTCTGGGGGGGGGGTGTGGTCTTTCCATCTCTGTGTCTGGGGGTGTGTGGTCTTTCCATCTCTGTGTCTGGGGGGGGTGTGTGGTCTTTCCATCTCTGTGTCTGGGGGTGTGTGGTCTTTCCATCTCTGTGTCTGGGGGGGGTGTGGTCTTTCCATCTCTGTGTCTGGGCGGGGTGTGTGGTCTTTCCATCTCTGTGTCTGGGGGGGGGTGTGGTCTTTCCATCTCTGTGTCTGGGGGGGGGTGTGGTCTTTCCATCTCTGTGTCTGGGGGGGGGGGTGTGGTCTTTCCATCTCTGTGTCTGGGGGGGAGGTGTGGTCTTTCCATCTCTGTGTCTGGGGGGGGGTGTGGTCTTTCCATCTCTGTGTCTGGGGGGGGTGTGGTCTTTCCATCTCTGTGTCTGGGGGGGGGGTGTGGTCTTTCCATCTCTGTGTCTGGGGGGGAGGTGTGGTCTTTCCATCTCTGTGTCTGGGGGGGGGGGGGTGTGTGGTCTTTCCATCTCTGTGTCTGGGGGTGTGTGGTCTTTCCATCTCTGTGTCTGGGCGGGGTGTGTGGTCTTTCCATCTCTGTGTCTGGGGGGGGGGGTGTGGTCTTTCCATCTCTGTGTCTGGGGGGGGGGGTGTGGTCTTTCCATCTCTGTGTCTGGGGGGGGGGGGTGTGGTCTTTCCATCTCTGTGTCTGGGGGGGAGGTGTGGTCTTTCCATCTCTGTGTCTGGGGGGGGTGTGTGGTCTTTCCATCTCTGTGTCTGGGGGGGGTGTGGTCTTTCCATCTCTGTGTGTGTGGGGGGTGTGGTCTTTCCATCTCTGTGTCCTGGGGGATGGGGGTTGTGGTCTTTCCATCTCTGTGTCCTGGGGGAGGGGGTGTGTGGTCTTTCCATCTCTGTGTCCTGGGGGGGTGTGGTCTTTCCATCTCTGTGTCCTGGGGGAGGGGGGGTGTGGTCTTTCCATCTCTGTGTCCTGGGGGGGTGAGGCCTTTCCATCTGTGTGTCTGGGGGGGGGTGTGGTCTTCCCATCTCTGTGTCCTGGGGGCGGTGCGGCCTTTCCATCTCTGTGTCCTGGGGGAGGGAGGGTGTGGTCTTTCCATCTCTGTGTCCTGGGGGGGTGAGGCCTTTCCATCTGTGTGTCTGGGGTGGGGTGCGGTCTTTCCATCTCTGTGTCCTTGGGAAGGGGGGGTGCAGTCTTTCCATCTCTGTGTGTGGCGGGGTGCGGTTTTTCCATCTCTGCGTCTGGGGGGGGTGTGGTCTTTCCATCTCTGCGTCTGGAGGGGGTGTGGTCTTTCCATCTCTGTGTCCTGGGGGAGGGGGGGTGCGGTCTTTCCATCTCTGTGTTTGGGGATACAGTCTTTCCATCTCTGTGTTGGTGGGGGGTGCAGTCTTTCCATCTCTTTGTCTGGGGTGGGTGTGGTCTTTCCATCTCTGTGTCCTGTTGTGGGGGGTGTGGTCTTTCCATCTCTCTGTCTGGGGGGGTGCGGTCTTTCCATCTCTGTGTCTTGCGGGGGTGGTCTTTCCATCTCTGTGTCTGGGGGGTGGGTGTGGTCTTTCCATCTCTGTGTCCTGTGGCAGGGTGCAGTCTTTCCATCTGTTTGTGTGTGTGTGTGTGTGTGGGGGGGGGGGGGGGGGGGGTGGTCTTTCCATCGCTGTGTCCTGGGGGGGTATGGTCTTTCCATCTCTGTGTCTTGGGGAGTGTGGTCTTTCCATCTCTGTGTCCAGGTCGGGGGGAGGGGTGGTGCGGCCTTCCTATCTCTGTGTCCTAAGCGGGGGTGTGGCTGTTCCATTCTGTGTTTGGTAGGGGGGTGCGACCTTTCCATCTCTGTGTCCAGGGAGGGGGGTGTGGCCTTTCCATCTCTATGTCTTCGGGGTGTGTGGCCTTTCCATCTCTATGTCTTGGGGGTGTGTGGCCTTTCCGTCTCTGTGTCTGGGGAGTGCAGTTGTTCCATCCTGTGCCTTGTCTGAGTCCTCTTGACAGCTGCAACCTGGAAGCCACTTCCAGGTGTGTCGGGAGTTGGTTCCTTCCAGTGGGTTCGTGGTCTTGCTGACTTCAAGAATGGAACTGCGGATCTTCGTGGTGAGTGTTACAGCTCTTAAAGATGGCATGGACCCAAAGAGTGAGCAGCAGCAAAAGTTATTGTGAACAGCAGAGGGTCACCACTGCTGGCTGGGTGGCGGAGGGGGTTGTGTGTGTGTGTTGGAAGGGGCAGCTTTTATTCCCTTATTTGTCCCTGCCCATGTCCCGCTGACTGGTCCATTTTACAGGGTGTTGATTGGTCCATTTTACAGTGTGCTGATTGGCCCATTTTAAACACTTCTAGCTAGCTACAGAGCATTGATTGGTGCATTTTTACAGAGCCCTGATTGGTGCATTTTACAAACCTCTAGCTAGCTACACAAAAGTTCTCCAAGTCCCCACTCGACCCAGGAAGTCCAGCTGGCTTCAGCTCTCACAGGTCTTGCAGCTGAAACACGAGCATCTCTGCCGGGCGTGGTGGCTCATGACTGTAATCCCAGCACTTTGGGAGGCTGAGGCAGGCAGATCACCTGAGGTCAGGAGTTCGAGACCAGCCTGGCCAACATAGTGAAACCCTGTATCTACTAAAAATACAAAAAGTAGCTGGGTACGATGTTGTGTGTCTGTAATTCCAGCTACTCAGGAGGCTGAGGCAGGAGAATCGCTTGAACTCAGGGGGCAGAGGTTGCAGTGAGCCAGGATGATGCCACTGCACTCCAGCCTGGGCAAGAAGAGCGAGCCTGCCTCAAAAAAAAAAAAAAAAAAAAAAAAAAAAAAAAAGAAGAAAGAAAGAAAAGAAACATGAGTATCTTCTTAGAAACGGATGCAGCCCACGTACAGTTATGATGCTGGCTTTGAAACAAAACAGTAACATTCTTCATACCGAAGTTTTACACTCCCCACTTGTCAGAAGAAAAACTGAGACAGAATAAACAAATCGCTTCCAGGCAGAGATGAAGCTAGGATTGGAAGCCAGGACCAACAGTCCCCGAAGGGTATAGAACAGTCCTGCTGTGAACAAAAGAGTTTTAGCAGAATCTGCTGTTGTGGAAAGGGCTAATACATCCTCGTGGAGCGCTGCCGCCAGGGCTGTGCTGCTGGCCTTGTGCAGGGAGCTCACGCAAGAGCCAGAGGATTCAACGGGCTGGGGCAGGATCTTCTCAGGGAGATGGAGAACCAGCAGTAAATCTGCGTGTTTGCATTTTTCTTGTGTTGTGCTTTCTCAAGCAGCCGACAGGCCCCGGGCGGCCCCACCACAGCCACCCTCGGCCAGTGCTCATCTCCCACCCCACACATGTGCGTGTGAAACCTCTCTTCACTGATGCACCCAGGCCTGGGCTTCAGGCTTTAGTGTCTTCCCTTGAGTGCTTGGGAACCTGCCTTCAGTTTTCAGAGCACGAAGCACTGTGCCATGTCAGCTCTGAACCTGAGGCCCTTGAGATTCCTTGACTCCAGGTTGCTGGAGAGCTCTCAGCATCATCCTGTGGAGCTGGGCAGCAGCTGCAGATGACCACCCACTGCCTCCAGCCAGACCCAGAGCCCCAAAAGGAGTGGGCTGTGAGGCAATGCCAGGGGCAGGGGGCCAGGAGCACACCAGTCACATGAAGGGACCAGCCCCACAGGGTCTGTGTGTTTTTCTCCCCGTGTGCAGAGACAAGAGATCGTAGAAATAAAGACGCAAGACAAAGAGATAAAAGACAGCTGGGCCCGGGGGACCACTACCACCAAGACGCGGAGACCGGTAGCGGCCCAGAATGCCAGGCTGCACTTTTATTGGATAGAAGACAAGGGGGCAGGGTAAAGAGTGTGAGTCATCTCCAATGATAGGTAAGGTCACGTGTGTCACGTGTCCACTGGACAGGGGGCCCTTCGTCATTTGGCAGCCAAGGCAGAGAGGCAGAGAGAGAGAGGCAGCTTACGCCATTACTTCTGCATATCAGAGACTTTTAGTACTTTCACTAATTTTGCTACTGCTATCTAAAGTGCAGAGCCAGGTGTACAGAATGGAACATGAAAGCGGACTAGGAGTGTGACCACTGAAGCACAGCATCACAGGGAGACGGTTAGGCCTCCAGATGGCTGCGGGCGGGCCTGACTGATATCAGGCCTTCCACAAGAGGTGGAGGAGTAGAGTCTTCTCTAAACTCCCCCAGGGAAAGGGAGACTCCCTCTCCCAGTCTGCTAAGTAGCAGGTGCTTTTCCTTTGCACTGACGTTACCACTAGACTACGGTCCGCTTGGCGACGGGCATCTTCCCAGACGCTGGCGTCACCGCTAGACCAAGGAGCCCTCTGGTGGCCCTGTCCGGGCATGACAGAAGGCTCACACTCTTGTCTTCTGGTCACTTCTCACTATGTCCCCTCAGCTCCTATTTCCGTATGGCCTGGTTTTTCCTAGGTTATGATTGTAGAGTGAGGATTATTATAATATTGGAATAAAGAATAATTACTACAAACTAATGATTAGTGATACATATATAATCATATCTATGACATATATCTAGTATAACTCCTGTTATTTTATATATTTGTTATACTGGAACAGCTCGTGCCCTCGTTCTCTTGCCTTGGCACCTGGGTGGCTTGCCGCCTATATCACATGCTGTGGGAACAGGGCCGCTGGAGGAAGACGTGGTCGGGAGTCTCTGAGCGCCCTAATTTTATCAAAACAGAGTGATTTCTCCAGGACACACTGCCCCCAGTGTATCTCTGCAATCCAATGCCAGCCCCAATCTCCTGGCCTGCATTTCCTGATGCAGGCTCTGTGGTCCCCGCTGGCACTAGTGATGGATCCTGCACCCTCTGGGGCAGCACCCCCCACTCCCCCAGCATCCCACACACCCCCAAGCACCCCATGCCCCCAGAGCCAGTGCCCCTCCCTGTGGGCATCAGATCCTACCCCCACCAGGTCTACTCCCTAAGTGGTGTGGCAAGGACAACTGGGTGTGGCTCCCAAAGCCAGGAGGTCCGGGACGAGGTGGAGTGCTGTATCCTACCCCATCACCCACCTCTGAGGGGTGCCAGGACTTTATAAATCTTCCTGAAAACTGAGGGTGGAAAACAGAATACCCATGGGTAACAATAACCACTCCGCACCTGACTCAACACAGAAATGAAGACTCAAGACCATCAGTGAAAAATACTTATTTCATGTGTTTAAAAATACATTCTTAGGGTGGGCCCTGCAGGAGGAGACAGGCCGTCCACATCTCCTTCCCAATAGTGTGTCCAGGTCGTTTCCAAAATCTGTGGGTCCCTCACAGCTTCTGATGACAGCTGCTAATGCCATTTGCTGAGGAACAAGGATGGGGAGGATGGCGAGGGCCTGGCCCCCAGGGCGGCCACACCAGAAGGTCGGAGAAAGGCCCAAGGCGGATGCCACGCCCAGCAGTGGTGACTGCCCCCCACTCCTTTTCTGAGTCTATCAGCATTGTTTGGTTTTCTTCTTGTTGCTTTTAAATCCTCGAGCGGCACCCTGACCAAAGCAGATGGTAGAGGGTATTCTGGGATGGAAGAAAGTTTCTATTAGATGCTGTATTTGCCAACCAACAACCCAGGTCATAACAGCACTTGTGTGTCTCCTTCTCATTCTCTTTCACTCTGGGAACATGCGGAATGCAGAGCCGGCCCTCCTGGGCCCTGGGGCAGCTCCCTTTCCACAGCCTGAGACCTAGTTCCTGTGGGGGGTCCCCGCCAGCCACCAACGCACACCCGCTGGGAAGAACTCCGCAGAGAGGGCGGCTCCTGCCAAGCCCTCTGGGGCTGAGACTTCCTGCTACCCCATGTCCATTCCATGAAAACCCCTACTGTCCCAGCCCCCCGGGGCTCATTCACAGGCCAAAGTCCAGGCATCTGTAAGGAGGGTGCAGGGAACATTAAGTTCATCGTTCCACCTGTTTGGAGTCTTTGGTGATGTTTTTCCCCACTTGTTCACCGTTTTTCCCAAATTAATTTAAAATCAACTTTAACTAGAAAGGCAGACGGCACAGGTGACGCTAGAAAGGCAGACAGTACAGGTCATGCTAGAAAGGCAGACGGCACAGGTCATGCTAGGAAGGCAGACGGCACAGGTGACGCTAGAAACGCAGACGGCACAGGTGACGCTAGAAACGCAGACGGCACAGGTGATGCTATTAAGGCAGACGCCTGGGTTGTGACTGAAGCAACTGCAAGTGAGACTCTTTCCATCCCACTCAGACAATGAGGAAAAGTGAGTGGTGCTTGGCATTCCTGCGCTTCAATGGCTCAAAAACAGAGTATGCGAGAGAAACTAAGTTATTCACAGGACCTGAGATATCTGGACTTTCTTCTCTGGCGGAAGCCGATTTTCTTACCCAGCGTTACCTTTCTGAATTCAGTATGAGAAGAGCTGCGGCCCAGGTGCAGCCCAGAATCCTCAGCACCGAACACATGTTGAGAACGGGTTTCAGAAAGAGCTCAGACACTGACCTATGTCTGTAGATCCGCCTCTCACCTGCCGGTGCAGGGGAGGCTGCCACAGGCTCAGAGCAGATTTCCATGGCCTCCCCTTCTGACCGCTCTCCACTGTCCCCTGGGGCTTCTGCTGAGGCTGGGCTGCGGGGAGAGAGCAGTGAGTAACTGCCCTGCACGGCTCCCACAGCCCCTGTGTTCCCCAGAAATGAACATGCAAGAAAGAAACTGGATTTCCCTGTAAGTAGCATATTTTCTTACTATTTTGGCATAGTCTGATTTTATAGTGTGGTTTAAGATACTGGGAAAAGGAGAATGATTACAGCAAGGCCATTGTTTATATAATAGAGTCTGCATCTTATAAACTTAACTGTAACAATCATACTTTTTTTTGAAAATAGTATTTTTATGGTGCCAACGGTGCCACGGGTCTTTTTATGAGTGTGAGAAATTTGCTAAAGTTAACCAGAGACTATAAACTAGTCTCTTCCATAATACGAATGTCTTAATCCAGCATTGCACGGTTTTTCTCCTTAAAATGATCCCTCGGAAAGGAGACAATTACTTTACACGTAAGTCTTTGTAAAGCCTCCCACATTGCAGTGGGTTCTCCCAGTTCTTTTATTTTAAAGAGCAAATTACTACTTGAGAAAATGTAGAGTCTGAAAAACTCTGATCAATAAAATTGTAGATGATTATGAAAGTTCACCTCATCAGTTAAAAAAAGAAGAAATATAACACAATTTAAAAATTGTTCCGGCTGGACATGGTAGCTCATACCTACAATCTCAGCACTTTGGGAGGCTGAGGCAGATGGACGGCTTGAGCCCAGGAGTTCACGACCAGACTGGGCAACATAGCAAGACCCTGTCTCTACAAAAAATAGAAAATTTTGCCGAGTGCGGCGATGCGTGTTGGTAGTCCTAGCACTTTAGGAGGCTGAAGTGGGAGAATCGCTTGAGCCTGAGAAGTGGAGGTTGCAGTGAACCTACATCACACCACTACACTCCAGCCTGGGTGTCAGAGCAAGACCCTGTCTCAAAAAAAAAAAAAGATTGTTCCTGGAAGTATTTCCCAGAGTGCACTCTAGGCAGGAACATGTTAATCAACAGCTTTGTCATCAAGTTCATATGCGCACAACCAACCAGGACAAAAGGAAAGCCAGGGCTGCATGATGTGTGAGCACGGCCGACGGCTGCAGGAGGTACAGACACGGCCCCGAGGGGTGTGAGTGCGGATGACCACGGCCGACTGCTGCAGGAGGTACAGGCATGGCCCAGAGGGGTGTGAGTGCGGAGGCGCTGCGCCCGCTCATTCCCACACCCCCTCTGCTGCCTCCACCGGCACAGAGCTGGGCAGCCAGGGGCTCCCCTCCAGCCTCCCTTCGGCAGGGTGGCCGCTGGCACAACCACCTGTAGCTGTGTTGCCAGGGCTTCAGGTACCTGCAGGTGAACACCCCATTAGGTGACACACAAGTGCTTAATAAGTCTGACCGTCTATGCATTCCGGCTAGTTGGAAACCTTTTCCTAAAATCAAAAGCAGACACGTGCTGAGCCTGGCGGCTCCCTACCTTCTGCTTTTCTTTGGCTTATCAAACCGGAAGTCCGCGGGGTACAGGTGCATCCTCACCATGTGATCCTTCCGGTCTCTGCTGGTCTTGAACTTCTCTGTGCAGCCTTCTACCAAGCACTGATACTGAAATGGAGACCGTGTCACCTCCCTCTGACCCCTGGCCCTCCCCCACCGCCATGCCCCCGTAGCAGAGCTGCCAAGGGCGGAAAGGTGTCCCCGGCCTTGCCCGAGCACCCGAGAGCTGGGGGCAGCACTCTGAGCCCATCACCAATGGGGGGTGGCCTCGGCGGCTGTGCAGTTGTCACCCACCATGTCCTGCCTCTCAGACAGGATCTGGAAGAGCGAATCGTGCCACTCCAGGATGTGGGCGTCCAGCAGGTGTCCGGAAGGGAAGGCCCGCTTGCAAAAGGAGCAAACATTTCCGTGCAGCGTGTGGTAGTGGTGCTCGTAGTCGTCCAGGGCATCGAACACCTGGCAGCAGCCGGCCACCTGGCAGGCAAACGCGGGCACCCTGCCAAGGAGACGTGCTTCAGGAGCCCTTCCTCCGGTGCGAGGAACCAAGCTGGACTTTCTGCACAGTTTCCCTTTGAGACGTCCAATAAAGCCCCTATGCATCTTTTGCAATCCCAAACCCTCTTTTTATGAATTAAGTTTCACAAACAGGCTAGGTGGTGGAAGAGTCGGCCACGCCAAAGCTGGACAGGCACAGCGCCTCGGTGGGGCGGCCGCACATGGAAGAGCGGCAGCACAGCCCCAGGGACCAGGCACCGGTCAGGGAGGCGGCGCAGGAGTAGCACTGGCTAGGCACTGCCCATTCGCTTACCTGGGCTTCTCAGGCACGTCGGCCACCTGCATGATCACGTCCTGGAGGTAGAGGTGGCGCTGCACGTCCCCATCCTGCAGGAAAAGTGCGCCGTGGGCGGGGCCAGGTGACTCGCGGCACGCCCACCGCGTCAGGCCTCGCCCACACCCGTGGCCCCAGTCATCCCGCGCTCCGGTCCCGCCCCACAGCCTCAGGCCCCGCCCACTCCACGTTCCGGCCCCGCCCCACCACCTCAGGTCCCGCCTGTCCCAGGCTCCGGCCCCGCCCCGCAGTCGTAGGCCCCTCCCACTCCAGGCTCCGGCCCCGCCTCGCCGCCGTAGGCCCCACTGGATCCTACAACTACTTTTTCCCTCTTTTGCTCACGCACCTCGAAGAACTGGTGCTCCCGCGGGAAGCGCACGGGGCGCGCAACGAAGCGAAAGGGCGCGGCCCCAGCCGCGGGATCCCGCTCTACAGGCAGCGGCTCCGCCGCCCCGGGCCCCGCAGCGAGGCGGGCGCACAGCGCGGGGGGCAACTGCATCACCCCGGGCGCGGGCGGGCGCAGCCTGTCGGCCACCGTCCGCGAGCCGAGCCGGACGTGACGTCACGCTCACTTCCGCCGCCGTCGGGGGCTGCGCGGGGGCTGTGGCTCCGGGACTGCGGTGAGTCCTGGCCGAACGCGGGCGCGGGCGTGATGAGGGGGTTGGGGGACTGCCAGGCCCGGGGGGGCCCACGAGGCGACGGGGCTGGCGGGACGCGGCTCTTCCCGCGCGCTCCCTCTGGCTGTGCAGCGGTCCCCGAACTCTGGGGCCGAAGCCCTTCGGGCCTGCACCGGCCAGGCCAGCGTCTTGCCCCGCGGCCCGACACTCAGCCGGGGCGGGGCGGAGCGGGCCTCCGGGTCGTCCCGGGTGTCCCCTCCCAGCCCTGGGAAGCCGGGTCGCAGGTCCCCCTCTCGCACGCCCTCTCCCGTCCGCCTTGCCCCGCCTGTCGTCTCCCGCTGCAGTCCCTGGATCTTGTTCCCTCTAAACCAGTCGCGAACTGGAGCCAAAGTGACTCCAGTTTTATTGTAACCGTTTTTAATTTAAAGCCCTTGGGTGACTTCCCGTTACTTTAGTTCAAAGGCCCTTTCCTGGTTTGTCGGGGTCCTGTCGACCTCTCCAGTCCCCGCAGCTCCCGTGAAACACAGGACCTGTGCTAGGTGCTCAGGGCGTGTGGGGGAAGGCATCACAGGAGGGCGCGGCAGCCTTGTAGGAGAGACAGACGTCAGAGTAAAGAGTCACCTAATTAAAATGGTGAATGACAACACACGCGGGAAGCAGTGGACGCTTCAGATCTACTGCAGAGAATGGGCCCAGTGGCGGATAGAGGCTTTAGCTTTCTCGTCTGTCACCCAGGCTGGAGTGCAATGGTGCGATCATAGCTGATAGATCGCTGCGGCCTCAAATTCTTGGGCTCAAGTGGTCCTGCTGCCTCAGCGTTCCAAAGAGCTGTAACTGCAGGCGTGAGCCACCATGCCTGCCCCTGTACTTTTTCCATGTTTAGATACACAAATATCTCTGTGTTACAGTTGTCTAGTGTTCAGCACCGCCACCTGCTGGGCAGGTTTGTAGCCCACGAGCAAGAGGCTCCTCTAGGTGGTTTAGGTGCATTGTAGGCCGTACACCATCCAGGTCTGCGAGTGACTCTGATGATCGCACAGAAGGAAATCATGTAACCATACGTTTCTCTTTTTTTCTTTTGGAGATAGTGTCTCTCTCTGTCGCTCAGGCTGGAGTGCAGTGGCGCGATCTGGGCTCACTGCAACCTCTGCCTGCTGGGTTCAAGCGATTCTCGTGCCTCAGCTTCCCAAGTAGCTGGGATTACAAGTGTGCGCCACCAGGCTTGGCCAATTTTTGTATTTTTGGTAGAGACTGGTTTTCACCATGTTGGCCAGGCATTTCTCAGAATGTTGAGTGATGCATGACTGTACTTTCTGTCTCTGTAAAAGCCTTTGGGCTCTTGACATTTTCCACAAGTTGTAAAATAACATTTTTCAAACCAATTTGTACAGTTAGCTTTGAGCTCTCAACAGAGACTCTTTTTCACGTCCCTCTGTGTTTTAATCACTTGGAGTGTGTGCTCACTAGGAGTGTGTGCCCCGCTTGTCCGTGGTGGAGTGTGACATGCGTGCATTGCTTCCCTCAGCACGCGTCCCTGCGGTAGCTCACAGCCTCTGTGAGGAGGACGTCAGTCCCTCCCAGTCACAGTTGCTGGGCCTGTCAGTTTGTGTGATTAATAGTAAGAATTCAGGAGCATCAAGAAGGCCAAGTCAGCGGCCATGGCTAGACGTTCCTCCAAGAAGCAGCCACGGCTAGATGTTCCTCAGAGCTGTGTTTTCAGTGGGACGCTGTGCATTTCTGGCGGGACAGCTCTGTTGATGATTAGCATCCCCCGCCCTTGCCCTCTAAGTAGCGAGAGCACCCTTCCATGACCGTGACACCCCAGAGTTGCCCTAGGACTTTTCCAAAGGTCTTCTGGGGGGAGGGACTCTGTGCGAGTACGGGCTGCCCTCTTGGAGGCCCGGTCCCCACATTCAGGGAGAGCAGCAGGCTCCTCATGGGATGAACACTCATGACGTGCGGGCATCTGTGCTTCTATTTCTAGAAGAGATACGAAGTTTCCTGAAGGTAGTTTTTATTTTTTTTATTATTATTTTTTGAGACAGAGTCTCGCTCTGTTGCCCAGGCTGGAATGCAGTGGTGTGATCTTGGCTCACTGCAAGCTCCGCCTCTCGGGTTCATGCCATTCTCCTGCCCCAGCCTCTGGAGTATCTGCGACTACAAGCGCCCGCCACCACCCCCGGCTAATTTTTTTGTATTTTTAGTAGAGATGGGGTTTCACCATGTTAGCCAGGATGGTCTCGATCTCCTGACCTCATGATCCGCCCACCTTGGCTTCCCAAAGTGCTGAGATTACAGGCGTGAGCCACCGTGCCCAGCATGTAGTTTTTAAATAAATACTCAGATGATTTTTCTTCATAGGTAGCTTTCTCTCCTGACTTGTGTCTGGTGGGGGAGTGCTTTGTTTTGGTGGCAAATGGTTTTCTTGCCACCTAGCATGACCAAAGTGTTTCTCAGACCAGCAGTTATAGGACAACCTGCAGTCCTCGGGGAGCCGAGTAGAATGTGGGTGAAACAGGCCACCCTTGGATTTGAAGGGGCCGCTGGCCGGAAAGTTTGGGCTGTCTTTTCTGCTTCACAAGTAGTTTGCAGGGCCTCGTCCAGGGCTCCCATGACTGTTAAAAAAGCATCTGGTAGTTTAAGATGTTGTCAGTGATTGGGACCCAATTTTCCTTTTGTAAACCTAACCATTTCCCAGATAACAGAGTTAACACCTCCAGGGAGCAATGGTGCCGCATGTTTGTTTCTGCTTTCCTGGTAACAACAGTGTAAGAACTTACCACGTATGGGCCCTTCTGTGCTTTCTCAGGGTGATTTCACTTCTCTCTACCACAGCTCTACGCAGGACCTAGGGCTTCCCCTTTTCAGAAGAAGCTTGGAGAGGACGTGTCCTTGTTCAGGGTCCCACAGCCTAGAAGTAGCCACGTCAGTGTCCAGACTGCATGGGGCTCCATGGCGCGTGCCCTGCTGGCCTTGTGCTTGAACTGTAGTTACCGTGAGCACCTCCTGGGTCAAAAGCATGTGTGTGAGCAACTCAGCACCATGCCTTCTTATCGCTCTCCTTCCATTTTCGGAGATACCCTGCCTGTGACCAGTATTTGATGTTCATCTACAGATAAACTGTCTTCCATCACACAGGATTAGAATCTCGGTGTCGAGTCCCGTGCTAATAATCGTTAGTGAATTAGCATATTGTGGGAGTATGTGCTGAGTCTTCTGTACTCTATTGTAGGGACCAGCCCCACAGGGTCGGTGGGTTTTTCTCCTCGTGTGCGGAGATGAGAGATTGTAAAAATAAAGACGCAAGACAAAGAGATAAAAGAAAAGACAGCGGGCCCGGGGAACCACTACCACCAAGACGCAGAGACCGGTAGTGGCCCCGAATGCCTGGCTGCGCTGTTATTTATTGGATACAAAGCAAAAGGGGCAGGGTAAAGAGTGTGAGTCATCTCCAATGATTGATAAGGTCATGTGTGTCATGTGTCCACCAGACATGGGGCCCTTCCCTGTTACGTAGCCGAGGCGGAGAGAGAGAGGACAGCTTATGTCATTATTTCTTCTATGTTCTTTTCAGAAAGATCAAAGACTTTAATACTTTCACTAATTTTGCTACTGCTATCTAGAGGGCGGAGCCAGGTGTACGGGATGGAACATGAGAGCAGACCAGGAGTGTGACCGCTGAAGCACAGCATCACAGGGAGACAGTCAGGCCTCCGGATAACTGCGGGCGGGCCTGACTGATGTCAGGCCCTCCACAAGAGTTGGAGGCGTAGAGTCTTCTCTAAACTCTCCGGGGAAAGGGAGACTCCCTTTCCCGGTCTGCTAAGTAGCGGGTGTTTTTCCTTGACACTGACACTACCGCTAGACCAAGGTCCGCTTGGCAAGGGGCATCTTCCCAGACGCTGGCATCACCGCTAGACCAAGGAGCCCTCTGGTGGCCCTGTCCGGGCATGACAGAAGGCTCACATTCTTGTCTTCTGGTCACTTCTCACTATGTCCCCTCAGCTCCTATCTCTGTATGGCCTGGTTTTTCCTAGGTTATGATTGTAGAGCAAGGATTATTATAATATTGGAATAAAGAGTAATTGCTACAAACTGATGATTAATGATATTCATATATAATCATATCTATGATCTAGATCTAGCATAACTCTTGTTGTTTTATATATTTTGTTACACTGGAACAGCTCGTGCCCTCGGTCTCTTGCCTCGGCACCTGGGTGGCTTGCCGCCCACACTCGATGTTTTGTTGAGCTCATCCTTGTCTCCCTGAAGCTGTCAGCAGAGTGGTTGTTTACCTTTTTTGGGTCATAGAGCCTTTGAGAATTTGTTGAAGGGTCATCTCCTCAGAAAATAAAAAGTTATTTTGCCCATAACTTTCAAGGGCTCATCTGTTACTGATTACTCATGGATACCGGCTTAAGAACCCTTGTGTAGATGAAATGTTTGTGAAGCATGTAAAGTTTGCTTATATTTGTTTTGTAATCTATAGCCAGTTGCCTTGCCTGTGTTTTTTGTTTTGTTTTGTTTTTTGTTGAGACAGGGTCTCCCTCTGTCGCCCAGGCTGGAGTGGCTCAAGCGATCCTCCCACCTCAGCCTCCCGAGTAGCTAAGACTACAGGCATATGCTACCATGCCCAGTTAATTTTTGTATTTTTTGTAGAGACAGAGTCTCACTGTGTTGCCCAGGCTGTCTTGACTCCTGGCCTCGAGTGACTCACCTGACTCAGCCTCCCAAAATGCTGGGATTCCAGGCGAGAGCCACTGCACACAGCCATGTGTTTGTCTTAATGGCCTTGTATCGGAACTCTTGGTGACAGAGGCTAATGAGCAGCCACTGGTGGGAGAGTAGGGGCGGCGCTCACCCTGCCCCCTGACCCAGGGGTGGGCTCACCCTACACCCTGACCCCACGCAGTGTTCTGCTGCCCACTTGGGTGTCTGTGACGCCTTCGATCTCATATGTGTTATATGTCTCCTGGTGAGCCCCTGGGGCAGCTGGAGCTGCAGTGGAACTTCACCTAGCTCAAACGTGTAGGGAACGTGTAGAAGTCCTACCAGAAGCGTCTCTGTCGGTAGCCACGCTTGGGCAAGAAAAGGAGATGTCACGGGTACCAGAGTGAAAAAGTAACGCAGAGCCGGCCAAGTGAATGGAGCTGCGGCTGAGCACCGCGGGCTCTGAGAACCAGTGTGGGCCTCTCCGGTAGAAGCTGGGATGTTACTGTGTGTGCCGGTAGCTGGCACAGTGTCAATGGCTTGGGCCTGCACAGAGCTCCCTGTGTAGACCCCACAGGCCTCACGTCTGGGACCAGAAAGCTCTGTCCCCAAGCCGAGGCGAGCAGCAGAGCATTCCCTGCTGGCCCAGACCCATGTGTGGAGGGAGGTGCAGGGGAAAGGGAACCTGGGTCTCAGGCCCCATTCATGCTGCCCACGGGGCTGGCTCCCGGAGCTGCGGAGGCCGCCTGGAAGCTGGAGGCAGGTGAATCCCAGGCCCACCCAGAGGACCCTCTGAGAGGCTGCTGGGGTGTCGGGGAGGGGCCCTAATCCCAGGCCCATGCAGAGGACCCTCTGAGAGGCTGCTGGAGTTCAGGGAGGGGCCCTAATCCCAGTCCCGTCCAGAGGACCCTCTGAGAGGCTGCTGGGGTGTTGGGCAGGGGCCCTAATCCCAGGCCCATGCAGAGGACCCTCTGAGAGGCTGCTGGGCTGTTGGGGGAGGGGCCCTAGGCCAGGCAGGCCAGGTGATAACTTGGTTTGTCAAAGCCTGACATTGGCCAGTCTTGAGTGTTTAAAAAAATGTTTTTTATTTCTACAGTTTGAATTTTATGAATAGCTGTCTTCTTACCTATAGGAGAACATATTGTGATGTTCGTGCCTCAGAGCTAAAACTATGAGTGAATTTCGGATTCACCATGACGTCAATGAACTGCTTAGCCTGCTGCGTGTCCACGGAGGAGATGGGGCTGAGGTCTACATTGACCTGCTTCAAAAGAACAGGACCCCGTACGTCACTACCACTGTCTCTGCTCACAGTGCCAAGGTGAGCACTGCCCTTGGTGTAGCGCTGTGCAGGGTGAGCACTGTTCCTGGGTCAGGGTGGTGCAGGGTGAGCCCACCCCTGGGTCAGGGTGCAGGGTGAGCGCCGTTCCTGGGTCAGGGTGGTACAGGGTGAGCACCATTCCTGGGTGAGGGTGCAGGGTGAGCCCACCCCTGGGTCAGGGTGCAGGATGAACACTGTTCCTGGATCAGGATGGTGCAGGGTGAACCCACCCCTCAGTCCATGTGCAGGATGAGCGTCGTCCCTGGGTCAGGGTGCATGATGAGCACCGCCCCTGGGTCAGGGTGCAGGGTGAGCGCCACCTCTGGTGCAGGGGGCAGGGTGAGCGCCACCTCTGGTGCAGGGTGCAGGGTGAGCGCCACCTCTGGTGCAGGGTGCAGGGTGAGCGCCACCTCTGGTGCAGGGCTGTGCGGGGTGCAGGGTGAGCGCCACCCCGGGGTCAGGATGGTGCAGGGTGAGCACTGCCCCTGGTGCAGGGCTGTGTACCGTGCAAGATGCAGGGTGAGTGCCCGTTCCTGGGTGGCCTCAATGGTACCGGCAACGATGGCAGACAGCACTTGGTCTGTGTGTGTGTTCAGCTCTGATTCTCCTGACTCCCCCCAGCAGCTCCTGTGATTCACCCCACTGTGCAGATGAGTAAATGGAGGCCTATGGAGAAAGCTGGGCCTAGAACCCTCCCTCTTCCCCACTCTGTCCCCTGCAGCCATGAGGTGGGAGAGTCCTGACATGTGCATTCCTGTGGATAAAAAGGGAGGGACTGGGCCAGGCGCGGTGGCTCACACCTGTAATCCCAGCACTTTGGGAGGCTGAGGCAGGTGGATCACAAGGTCAGGAGATCAAGACCACCCTGGCTAACACGGTGAAACCCCGTCTCTACTAAAAATACAAAAAATTAGCTGGGTGTGGTGGCGGGCACCTGTAATCCCAGCTACTCGGGGGGCTGAGGCAGGAGAGTGGCGTGAACCCGGGAGGTGGAGCTTGCAGTGAGCCGAGATATCGTGCCACTGCATTCCAGCCTGGGCGTCAGAGTGAGACTCTGTCTCAAAAAAAAAAAAAAAAAAAAAAAAAAAAAAGGGAGGGACTGGTATTAACCATGTTGAAATGCCTTTAAGGTATTATTTCTTTATTCAGATAATATGTAATTCAGAAGTATAGATTTTCAGTAAAAATGATTTTGAATTTGAAGTCTATTTTAAAAAATACATTATGAAGCTTCAGTTATTTAAACAGGTTAACAATGGCACAAGGATAATTAGGCAAATTAGCCGAGTGGAATAGAGACTTGGGGACACCCATGTTTAGTTCATTCTGAAGGAAGCATTGTAAATCACTGAGTAAAACATAACCCCTGCTGGGCACGGTCGCTCACACCTGTAATCCCAGCCCTTTGGGAGGCCGAGGCGGGTGGATCACCTAAGGTTGGGAGTTCGAGACCAGCCTGGCCAACATGGAGAAACCCCATCGCTACTAAAAATACAAAAATTAGGGCGTGGTGGTGCGTGCCAGTAATGCAGCTACTCAGGAGGCTGAGGCAGGAGAATTACTTGAACCAGGGAGGTGGAGGTTGCGGTGAGCCTAGATCACGCCATTGCACTCCAGCCTGGGCAACAAGAGCGAAACTCCGTCCAAAAGAAAAAGCATAACCCCTAGGGTTGCACATAATAACAAATTCCAGAGGGAACATAGTGAGGTGTATACAATGAACGCATAAACTACTGCGGGGAATACAGTGAGATGCAGACAATGAACGCATAAACTACTGGGGGGAAAAGGTAAGTCGCTACTCTCCAGTACAAACCTGAAGAAGCATAAAAGGGAACACAGTGAGATGCATACAATGAACGCATAAACTACTGGGGGGAAATGCAAGTTGCTACTCTCCAGTACAAACCTGAAGCAGCATAAAAGGGAATACAGTGAAATGTATACAATGAACGCATAAACTACTGGGGGGAAGTGTAAGTCGCTACTCTCCAGTACAAACCTGAAGAAGCATAAAAGGGCGGGCGCAGGGGCTCACACCTGTAACGCCAGCACTTTGGGACGAGGCAGGTGGATGGCTTGAGCCTGGGAGTTTGAGAGCAGTCTGGGCAACATGGTGAAATCCTGTCTCTAGAAAAAATTAAAATAATACGAAGAAGCACAAAAGGAAAGGAACCATAATGGGAAATACGGATAAGGTTTGTTTTGTTTTGTTTTGAGACAGAGTCTTACTCTGTCACCCAGGCTGGAATGCATGTGGCACGATCTTGTCTTACTGCAGTCTCAACCTCCCAGGCTGATGTGATCCTCCCATCTCAGCTTCCCAAGTAGTGACCACAGGCAAGTGCCACCACGCCTCGCTAATTTTTGAATCTTTTTGTAGAAATGGGGTTTTGTTATTTTGGCCAGGCTGGTCTTGAACTCCTGGACTCAAGCAGTCTACCAGCCTCGGCCTCCCAAAGTGCTGGGATTACAGTCATGAGCCACTGCCTAGCTCAAAACATGGATAAGTTTAACACAATATGGAGATGAGTTTTGTTAGTTTATTTCAGAGGGATAATTATTTAACCTACCCAATTTAATTCCATTGGCTTATTGTGTTCAATTTTCGTAAAGGTTTTTTTTTACAGTGCTTTATTAATTACCGTCATTAAATCACTCATGTTTGTGCTTTTGAGGTTAAAATTGCAGAGTTTTCTCGTACTCCAGAAGACTTTCTAAAGAAATATGATGAACTGAAATCTAAAAATACAAGGAACCTTGACCCGCTGGTGTACCTGTTGTCAAAGCTCACGGAAGACAAAGAGGTAGGTGCCCATGCCACGTGCCACACTGCGCCCGTACGGCCCATGTTGGGAGTGGGGTCGCGTCTCCTGCTCACTCCACGCCATCTTCCTGTCAGCTCTTCCTCGCTCACACCAGTAACGCTTCTAGGCCATGTAGGAAATTTTTGGTGAATCAGAATGAAAGATAACCCATGTTGGGTGTAAACATGAGAAGCAGCCTCTGGGGCACTTTGAGCTTCCCGCATGTGTCACGCTCAGTTCCTGCCTGTCGCACGCGTCGCTTTGCTATTAATGGGTGCCTGTCAGGGTTGGGGAGCCGTCCTGGTGGTGTCGTCCCTACTCTCCCCCTATGGCCAAAGAGGTGCTGGCCCAGTGTGAACACACAGTTTTACATGTTTTCAGACTCTGCAGTACTTACAACAGAATGCAAAAGAAAGAGCTGAGCTTGCAGCCGCTGCTGTGGGCAGCAGTACCACCAGCATCAACGTCCCTGCCGCGGCCTCCAAGATCTCCATGCAGGAGCTTGAGGAACTGAGGAAGCAGCTTGGCAGCGTGGCCACAGGCTCCACGCTGCAGCAGGTACTGCGTCCATGGCTGTCCACAGGCTCCATGCTGCAGCAGGTCCTGTGTCCGTGGCGTCCACAGGCACCCACACTCAGTGCTGTGCCGGGCCCCTGCTGGAAGGACATGTCTCTCTGTCATTTATTGAAAATGAATCCCTTAGAGAGGCCAAGGCTTAATGCTTGATCATGACCTAGCTCTATATGTTTAGTTTTTTTTTTAACCAAGAATTCTGGACCACAAGAATCAATAGCAGCAAGGTTCTGACCCACGTGGGAGTTGTGCTGCCAGGTGGCCACGTGACTCTGAGCCTACCCAATCCTGACTCCCCATTTCCCTCCTCCAATTTTTGACAATTTTGAGGGAATGCTTTCAGATCATTATATTTTCAAGATTCTCGAAAATACAGTAATTTTTATTATTCCTTCTGTATTTGCTACTTGCTCTTGGTTTTGATTTTATGCCCTACCCTGGTCTTTTGACGTAAGTCATCTCCCAGTCTCTCTCATTAGAGCTGCCACGTTCCTGCCTTTGTGACCTTTAAACTCCCTTTGGAGCTGTGTCCCTGAGGCGTCCTAGCCTCCTGGGTGCGTGTTGAGTGCAGCGGCTCCCAAGGACCCAGCCGGTTCTTGCTGGGCACGTTCTGTGCTGGACATGGTGCTAGGCCTCTGTCCACGTCTCCCTCAGCCGTGGCAGAAGACTGGGTCTTACTGCCACGTGCAGAGACAGTTTGCATCTGCCCGTGTCCCTGACCAGCCCTGAGTGGGAGTCAGTGCTTCCGAAAGCTGGGCCAGCCCAGGCCGACCCCATCAGCCTCTGGCGGCCACTGGCGCAGGAGGGCAGGCTCTCTGACCACATGTCAGGAGCCATCCTGTCACGCTGGGGCCCTTCTCCGGCAGGGTAAGGATGCATGTCTGTTGCTGAAGCCTGTCTTCACCCATCAAGTGGTGTTCAGACCTAGTCACTGCCAGAAAGAAGCAATTCAGCTTGTTCACAGGGCGCCCTCCTTTGAAACAGCGGCTCTGTGCCTAGGTGCACCCTCTCCCGTGGTTCCCACTGCTGGTGCTCATGTTTTCCCAGGGGGGCCCTTGCAGGACCTGCACTCCTGAGAAGAGGGGCTAGGGCTCCCCATCTGCCCTGTTGTCCCCAGCCCCTCACGTTGTGGCAGGCAGGGATGTCGAGGCGCATTTCATTTCTATGTGGTTGACCCTTTGTGGGTGTTGAATTGAGTAATCATCTTTGCCGTAGATGCTAGCTTCTATGCATGTCTTTAGTTGAGTGTTTGCGCTAAAGTGTATCTTTCTGGTTTTGTTTTTTAAAATGTCCTTGCTAGTCTCTGGAACTTAAAAGAAAGATGCTTCGAGACAAGCAGAACAAAAAAAATTCAGGCCAGCACCTCCCCATCTTCCCAGCATGGGTGTATGAGAGACCTGCCCTGATCGGGGATTTCCTGATTGGTGCTGGCATCAGCACAGACACCGCTTTGCCGATAGGTACGTGATGCGTTGATTTCCGGGCTCTGCCGATAGGTACGTGATGCGTTGATTTCCGGGCTCTGCCGATAGGTATGTCATGTGTTTATTTCTGGCCTCTGGGCAGGACACTTTGCAGGCCCAGCCCTCCCCCGGGCCTGCCTTTCCTCAGGTTGTGAGGCTCAATGCTGACTGGCTGCCGCCTCCATATTCCCATCCCAGGATGGCAGCAGAGAACGGCTCACCCGGGTCCTTGAGGGTTCTTCTCCTGTCCCTTCTGCCAGAGCTGTGGGGCAGCCTGCAGCAGGCCCCTCCCCAGCCGGCATCCTGGTGCCCTGGTGCAGACCTGCAGGCATCAGAATTGTGTGCAGCACTTATTTCTGAACAGCGATTCATGACTCCCATAGATTCTGTTACAGCAGTATTCTCAGAGGCCTCTTAAGTAGTGTTCGTGTAAACAAGATGCGGGTGAGACCACACAGTCATTTCAAGACGTTGTTATTGGGGACCTGGGATGTGTTCATCTGTCACAATTCATGGGTACATTTTTATTTTTATTTATTTTTAGTTCTTTTGAGATGGAATCTCGCTCTGTCGCCCAGGCTGAAGTGCAGTGGCGTGATCTCGGCACACTGCAACCTCCACCTCCCAGGTTGAAGCGATTCTCCTGCCTCAGCCTCCCAAGTAGCTGGGACTGCAGGCGCCACCACGCCTGGCTAATTTTTATATTTTTAGTAGAGACGGGGTTTTGCCGTGTTGGCCAGACTGGTCTCGAACTCCTGACCTCTGGTGATCTGCCCACCTTGGCCTCACAAAGTGCTGGGATTACAGGCATGAGCCACCACGCCTAGTCAAGTACATTTTTAGATTGAAAAATGAGATTTCACAAACTAAGGACAGAGCATACCTGCTTATCTTGCCCCATCCCCGTTAGTCCAAACTCAAGAGGCAGCATGGAGCGTGGTCTGCTTCCCCACTACTCACGGCTCTGCAATGTGGGCACCAAGGGGCCAACCCTTGCCTTTGCCGGAAACCCTGGAGAACGGTGACGTGAAATCCACCTGTTTTCCTCATCCCCAAGCAAACAGAACCCTGCTGTAAGTTAATGAAAAGTATAGAAAAACCCTGCTGTAAGTTATGAGAAGTATAGAAAACCATGCTGTAAGTTAATGAAAAGTATGGAAAACAGTCTACTTCGGCCAGGCATGGTGGCTCACACCTGTAATCCCAGCACTTAGGGAGGTGAGGTGCGTGGATTCCTTGAGCCCAGGAATTCGAGACCAGCCTGGGCGACAGGACGAGACTAGTCTCTACAAAAAATGTGAAAATTAGCCGAGTGTGGTAGCGTGCACCTGTAGTCCCAGCTACTCAGGAGGCTGAGGTGGGAGGATCACTTGAGCCTGAGAGGTCGAGGCTGCAGTGAGCTGTGATCGTGCCACTGCACTCCAGCCTGGGCAACAGAGCGAGACCCTGTTTCAAAAAAAAAAAAACAAAGCAGTCTGCTTTGTGCAGTGTTTTCAGTAATAATCCAACTGTGAAAACCCAACTGTGAAGACTTAGGGAGAGAGAGCTGCTCCCTTAGCGGGTACTCAGCAGGCAGCCGGGGAGTGGTGGGCACCTGAGAGCTCCTGATGGTACCCAGGCAGACTTCGGAGAAGGAAGCGCGGGGCCCTGCTGCCTGGGATCCCAGCAGTGGAGCCGGCTTTTTGGAGCAGGAGGCACTGAGGGGGTGTTCAGGCTTTCCCCCCATGTTTCCCCATTCAGGGAAGGGGTTGTACAAAAGAGGAACGCACTGTCCAGTAACGCTGCGGCGCCGTGGGCAGCTCTGAGCGTGGCGGTGATTGGCAGCAAGTGTGTGAGACTTGGCTGTGAACCCTGCAGCCAGCTCTCAGGTCAGGGTGCAGGTGCCCTCAGCACACTCAGCATCCCAGGAAAGGGGCGGCCTCGCCCCACCTCCCTCCCACGGCCACATACCACAGGTCCCAGGGGTGCCTCCGGTATTGAGGCTGCCTTGCCTCCCTTTGTCCGCACTGTCCCTGTCCCCTTGTGCCACCTGTGCAGACTTGAGAATGGAGCTCACTGTGGTGTTCATGCCGGGGCCTGTCTAGCTCCTCACCCCACGATTTGACCAGTGCCACACCACGGGACCTTGTGTGACCTCGGGCCTGCGTCCTCTGGAAAACAGCTGTGGAGTGGTGTGATGAGGACAGGTGCCTTGGAAAGCATCAGGACCTTGTGAGCACGAGGCAGCTGCCAGCACTCCACGTTCCCGCCATGCTCTCCTCACCGTGTGGGCATCCACCTGGCCAGCGCCGCCTCCGCAGTGCCCCTCCCTCTGGTCGCTCCCGCGCAGCATGCGAAGGTGTTATCTGCCCGCGTCCTGCCTTTTCCCCACACCGGCACGGAGGAGCCACGTGTTCGGTGGTCGTTCGGACGTGGTGATTTGCAGGTGACATCGCAGGTGTTGAGATGACACTGAGGATGTTGAATATTGGGGAGGTGAAGCAACTGACTCTTTTTTTGCTTGAGACAGGGTCTCACTTCGTTGCCTAGGCTGGAGTGCAGTGGCACAATCTCAGCTCACTGCAGCCTCGACCTCCCAAGCTCAGGTGATTCTCCCACCTCAGCCTCCCGAGTAGCTGGGACTGCAGGTGTGCACCATCACACGCAGCTAATTTCTGTATTTTCAGTAGAGACGGGGATTCGCCGTGTTGCCCAGGCTGGTCTTGAACTCCTGGAGTCAAGCGATCTGTCCACCTTGGCCTCCTAAAGTGATGGGATTACAGGTGTGAGCCACCATACCCGGCCTAAAGCAACCCTTGAGGTCCCTCCACAGCCAGGCGGCTGGATCCACACTAACCCCCACCCCACGGCACCTCCACCCCACCGTGAGGCTTCTCCCCACAAGGGCATTGGCCGAGGCTTCGTGGCTGTGGATGAATGAGGCCAACATGGTGGAAAGTAAGTGATGCAGAGTCAGAGGCAGTTCCTGGAAGATGCACTCGCTGTTCCCAAAACGCCAAGCCACACCCACTCCTTTAGGGATGGTAGACATTGGGGTCTCGGTTTTATTGGTCATCCTGAGAAGGCCACTGGAGTAATAGAAAGAAATGGAATTTGAAGTTGAAAAGTGTAGATCTGCCAGCCTGGGCAACACGGCAAGACCCCACCTTTACAAAAAATTTAAAAATTAGCCAGGAATGGTGGCACGTGCCAGTGGTCCCAGCTCCGAGGGAGACTAAGGATACAGGATCGCTTGAGCCTGGGTGCTCAAGGCTGCAGTGAGCTGAGATTGCACCACTGCCCTCCAGACTGGGTGACAGAGTGAGATTTGTCTCAAAAATAAAAAAAGGAAAAAAAAAAAACAAGGACAGTGTGGATCTGCATCAGGATTGAGGCTTTCGCTGAAGGGCTTGCGTTGGTGACGGATTGTAGTCTTGAGGCCTGCAGTCACAGGACACTTCCCAGCAGATGTGTGAGGCTGACAGAGTGATTTTGTAAACCGAAAGCCTGTTGTACGGAGCCTTCCTGAGCTGCCAGGGCCTGGTTTGGGTATGGTCTGGCTGGCACGGGGCCCTGTCAGGCCCTCGTGGGGACAGTTTCAACATCCTGCTTTCGTCTGGTGCTCCTCCCGGCCCCCCAGGCATGGCCCGCCTGAGGCTGTGGACTGAGAACTTGGTCCTGGGACCTGAGGGGTTTGGTGGGTGGCGGCCCGTGGCCGTCCTCGTGAGGAAGCTTAGCTGTGTGTCCTGCAGCCGTCTCATCCTCTCTGGATAGAAATTATCAAGAGTTTCTTAACGTTTAAGTGATAGCTTTTTAAAGACAAGGTTTTTTGTCCCAGAGTAACTCAGACTTACCAAGTTGTACTTACCAATGTTGAAAGTGCAGCTTCTGCTGGAGTCGCCTTTTCAACTCCTAACTTCACCTTTTCAAATGTCAGCCATGTATCTGAGCATTGCGGAGCCGAGTGTGGTGAGATCTTGACACCAGCCACCACGCCTCCCAGGCCGGCCCCGTCCTGCGGCGGTTGGAACTCAGCCTGTGGCTCCCCAGTGGGGTCAGTCAAAGCCAAGTGCAGTGGCTGACCTTTTATACCCATAAACAAAGATGAGCAAGAGTGAGACTGACCCGCAGATGAGGGCACGTGGCTGTGGGGGCATGGGAGTGGGGGCTGCAGAGCCACAGCGCTGTCTGTGCCCGCAGGCACGTTGCCCCTGGCCTCGCAGGAGTCGGCCGTGGTGGAGGACCTGCTGTACGTGCTGGTGGGCGTGGACGGGAGGTACGTCAGTGCTCAGCCCCTGGCTGGGAGGCAGAGCCGGACCTTCCTCGTGGACCCCAACCTGGACCTGTCCATCAGGGAGCTGGTGCACAGGATCCTCCCAGTGGCCGCCAGCTACTCCGCTGTGACCAGGTGGGCACCGGGCGCGGTCCCTGGGAGCCTGCGCTGTTGTGGGGGAGGGGTTAGGTCCCATCCTGATGACCATGGGGACGTCTGCATCGCTTCTAAAGAGAGCGCCCGCCTTGGTGACAACTCCGTGCCCAACTCAGTTTTGGAGGGTCTGTGAGTCACCATCCAGGGTCCTGACTCATCTCCTCCTGGGGCAAAAGTTCCCCTCTGGGATGTGGGGTTCAAGTGAGTCATTTGCTTCCTGTTTGGGATGAGACTCAGAATATCGGACATTGTATGTGCCTGCAGCTTGCCTTTTTGAGGAAGTCTGACAGCTTTTCTTCCAGGTTCATTGAAGAGAAGTCTTCCTTCGAGTACGGGCAGGTGAACCACGCCCTGGCGGCCGCCATGCGCACCCTGGTGAAGGAGCACCTGATTCTGGTGTCACAGCTGGAGCAGCTGCACAGGCAGGGCCTCCTTTCGCTGCAGAAGCTCTGGTTCTACATCCAGCCAGCCATGCGCACCATGGACATCCTGGCCTCCCTCGGTGCGTGCCCGCCCGGGGGGCATGGGGCAGTGGTGGGTGGCAGGTGTTGAACATGGCACCCAGTGTGAGGAGAGACTCTGCAGGGGCCGTGGAGCAGCTGCCCAGGGCAGGGGCGTGTGGCCAAAGCTCATGTTGCTCCATGTGCTATTAACTTGCAAGAGGAAAGCCCTGGAAGCTCTTACTGGTCAGCTGAAATCAGCAACTACAACCTTACAGTTAATACGTATCCCAAAGAAGCAGCACCGTCCCAGGAAGAAGGTTGGAGAAGCATGAGGGGCCCCAGCAGTGTTGTTGGCAGAGGCTGGGCGTGCGCTTCCTTCTCAGCAGTGAGCCCTCCTTTCTCCCCACAGCCACCTCGGTGGACAAAGGCGAATGTCTTGGGGGGTCCACGCTGAGCCTGCTCCACGACAGGAGCTTCAGCTACACAGGGGACAGCCAGGCGCAGGAGCTATGCCTGTACCTAACCAAGGCGGCCAGTGCTCCCTACTTCGAGGTTCTGGAGAAGTGGATCTACAGGGGCATCATCCACGACCCATACAGGTAGGGCTCCCCGGGACACGGGGACACGGAGGGACACGGGGACACGGAGGGACATGGGGGACACGGAGTGTGCATGCTGCCCTCTCCCGTACAGGTAGGGCTCCCCGGGACACGGGGACACGGGGGACACGGAGGGACACGGGGGACACGGAGTGTGCATGCTGCCCTCTCCCGTACAGGTAGGGCTCCCCGGGACACGGGGACATGGGGGACACGGAGGGACACGGGGGACACGGAGTGTGCATGCTGCCCTCTCCCGTACAGGTAGGGCTCCCCGGGACACGGGGACATGGGGGACACGGAGGGACACGGGGGACACGGAGTGTGCATGCTGCCCTCTCCCGTACAGGTAGGGCTCCCCGGGACACGGGGACATGGGGGACATGGGGGACACGGAGGGACACGGAGGGACACGGAGGGACACGGGGGACACGGAGGGACATGGGGGACACGGAGGGACACGGAGGGACACAGAGGGACATGGGGGACACGGAGGGTGCGTGCTGCCCTCTCCCGTACAGGTAGGGCTCCCCGGGACACGGGGACACGGAGGGACACGGAGGGACATGGGGGACACGGAGGGACATGGGGGACACGGACGGTGCATGCTGCCCTCTCCCGTACAGGTAGGGCTCCCCGGGACACAGGGACACGGAGGGACATGGGGGACACGGAGGGACATGGGGGACACGGAGGGCGCGTGCTGCCCTCTCCCGTACAGGTAGGGCTCCCCGGGACACGGGGACACGGAGGGACACGGGGACACGGAGGGACATGGGGGACACGGACGGTGCATGCTGCCCTCTCCCGTACAGGTAGGGCTCCCCGGGACACGGGGACACGGAGGGACACGGGGACACGGAGGGACATGGGGGACACGGACGGTGCATGCTGCCCTCTCCCGTACAGGTAGGGCTCCCCGGGACACGGGGACACGGAGGGACACGGGGACACGGAGGGACATGGGGGACACGGACGGTGCATGCTGCCCTCTCCCGTACAGGTAGGGCTCCCCGGGACACGGGGACACGGAGGGACACGGGGACACGGAGGGACATGGGGGACACGGACGGTGCATGCTGCCCTCTCCCGTACAGGTAGGGCTCCCCGGGACACGGGGACACGGAGGGACACGGGGACACGGAGGGACATGGGGGACACGGACGGTGCATGCTGCCCTCTCCCGTACAGGTAGGGCTCCCCGGGACACAGGGACACGGAGGGACATGGGGGACACGGAGGGACATGGGGGACACGGAGGGCGCGTGCTGCCCTCTCTGGGGGCTCTGGCCTTCCTTTGCTTGTGGTCTCAGGAAAGCACACCCCGGGCAGATGTCCGCCTGCTGCCCATGGGGCCCAGGGCAGGAATGGCCCAGCTGCTTATGGCCTTATTCTTTTGTGTGCAGGACATTAAATTGCCTCCAATTAGGTCCTTCAACCTCTTTGGTGCTTGGATTTCCTGATCTGGTGGGGTCTGTCGGCTTCTCTTCAGTGCGATATATTTAAATGGATAAAAATATGTTAGTTCCCAAAGAATTGTATTATGTCTATTACGTCAAGATACCGTTGTTGAAATATTTTCAAAAAATACATTAGTGATGTGGAAATGTTATTTCTTTACTAATGGACCAAATAAAATCTGGTATAATGGGCACCTTTAAAGAAAGCACCTTCACACTTGAAGTGCGTAAATGATGTTTGAAGTTGTTCAGATGATGACGTGGAGATGTCTGGTTTCTGTCAATGTTGGCCCCGCCTACCCCACACGAGCATCATTTTGGGTGTCAGGGCCCCACGCACCCCACACGAGCATCATTTTGTTGCCTGGGCTCATCATGGAAGGAAATGCTAAATTCCAAAAAGAGGTGGGTGCAGATAAAGACAAATCAGTTTCCCACCTATCTCTGCGGACCGTACATTCTCCCTGAGCCCAGGTTAAATACTCCGTTCCAGAGCGAGGTTTGTAGGTTTGTTGGTTTTCTTTTTTTTTTTTTTCTTTTTTTTTTTGAGGCAGAGTCTCGCTCCATTGCCAGGCTGGAGTGCAGTGGCATGATCTCGGCTCGCTGCAACCCCCACCTCCCAGGTTCAAGCGATTCCCCTGCCTTAACCTCCCAAGTAGCTGGGACTACAGGTGCACACCACCACGCCCAGCTGATTTTTTGTATTTTAGTAGAGACGGGGTTTCACTGTGTTGGCCAGGATGGTCTTGATCTCTTGACTTCGTGATCTGCCCACCTCAGCCTCCCAAAGTGCTGGGGTTACAGGCGTGAGCCACTGTGCCCGGCCCCTAGGTTCGTTTTAGCCGAGAAGTGTTGGGGTTACAGGCGTGAGCCACCGTGCCCGGCCCCTAGGTTCGTTTTAGCCCACAGTTGAGAAGTAACTGGTAGATTAGGCTCGGCCCTTGTGGAACGTTACTTGGAAGTGTGCTGGCCTCTGTTAATGTCCCTGCGCGCTGCCGGCCTGGAGAAGTGTCGCCTGCCTCAGGCGCCCTTGCTTTGCCTGTGACCGAAGCGCTCCCTGTGGTTTTAGTGAGTTTATGGTCGAGGAGCACGAGCTGCGGAAGGAGAGGATCCAGGAGGATTACAACGACAAGTACTGGGACCAGCGGTACACCATCGTCCAGCAGCAGATCCCGTCCTTCCTGCAGAAAATGGCGGACAAGATCCTCAGCACAGGTGCGGCGCAGCGGGCGGGGACTTGGGGTGCGCAGCACAGCTCTGCCTGGAGAGTCTCCTGCAGCCCAGGCCCTCCCACCGGGAGCCTGTGCCTCACCCTGTGGTTGCCCTGAGCCCTGGTGTCCGTGAATGCGGGGCTGAGGTCAGGACTGGCCCGTGGGCTGGGCTGCGGCGCTGAGTTAGGCCTTGAGATGGTCTCTGTTGCCAGGTTCCCTCAGGTTTCCATCTCCGGGACTCTGTCCCTGACCCTGCGAGGCTCTCTCACAGGTGCCTTCTCTATTTCTGTTTCTGATTTCTAAAACTCCGCTAGCATGTCAGGAAAAACCAGCAAAGACACACGCCTGGCGGCCGGCAGTGTTTCCTATCTCTGACCACACAGGTTAGGGCCTGACCTGGACCCAGGGCAGTGGCGCGGGGACTTGGACTCGGCACATCGGGGCCGTCACGAAAGGGTTGGGAAGCGATTAGCCATCCGGTTCTCATAATGCCTGTTCGAAATTATTTCTGTGCCCTTGGTTAGAAAATTCCAGATGTGCAGAGCCACGGCAAAGCCCTGCCACCACCAGCTCAGTCTGTAGCCGCTGACAGTGATTTACCGGGAAGGAGCAAGGGTGTGGAGCCGCCTCATGCAGCCCAGTTTCCATTCCACTGCCTTCTGTGTAGACAAAGACAGCTGGGGCCTCAGACTGACCGTGTGGAGAGCCCATTCAATGTCCATTCCACTGCCTCCTGTGTAGACAAAGACAGCTGGGGCCTGAGATCGACCATGTGGAGAATAAAATTTTGAATTTCTGTGTTTTCAGGAAAATATCTAAATGTGGTCAGAGAGTGTGGCCATGACGTCACCTGCCCGGTGGCTAAAGAGATCATCTACACGTTAAAAGAGCGGGCGTATGTGGAGCAGATCGAGAAGGCGTTTAACTACGCCAGCAAGGTGCTGCTGGACTTCCTGATGGAGGAGAAGGAGCTGGTGGCTCACCTCAGGTGATTCCGTGCCCTGTCCCTGTGCGGGCACTCACCTCCCTCTGAAACCGGAACCTGTGGGACGTGGGGCTGAGATCGCTGGGTTTCTTCTGGCAGCTCCGCCTTGTCTTTTTGAAAGTGGGCACTGCTGGATGGTCTCTAGCTCAAGGACCTGGCACTCACAGTGGGTGGTGTAGGCCCCCGGTCACCTTGTCCAGGGGCCCCAGCTCCCCTCCTTGCCCAGGGCCCACCAGCCCCTTCTCAGCTCCTCCTGCCACAGCTTGCGTGGTGGTTGCACAGCCCCTGCCTGAGAGCCAAGCGCTTAGCCTGTTGTAGTGTGTTTTAGGGTGATGGCTATGGCGAGCATCTGTGGGTGGGCACGTGCTCACGCCTGCTCCCTGGCCGTGGCGGGCACCTGCGGGTGGGCACGTGCTCACGCCTGCTCCCTGGCTGTGGCGGGCACCTGCGGGTGGGCACGTGCTCACGCCTGCTCCCTGGCTGTGGCGGGCACCTGCGGGTGGGCACCTGCTCACGCCTGCTCCCTGGCGCAGGTCCATCAAGCGCTACTTCCTCATGGACCAGGGCGACTTCTTCGTGCACTTCATGGACCTCGCGGAGGAGGAGCTCCGGAAGCCGGTGGAGGACATCACGCCCCCTCGCCTGGAAGCGCTCCTGGAGCTGGCGCTGCGCATGAGCACGGCCAACACTGACCCCTTCAAGGACGACCTCAAGGTGGGTGGGGGTGCCGGGGGCTGTCCCCTGTGGCAGAGGCCTCGGAGGGGCTGGGAGGAGAGCACAGCAGAGGCCAGCCCTGTCCCCCACTCCCCGTCCCGGTGAGGCGACCGCAGGGTCTGTTTCCTTCACTTGGCTACCGGGGCCGGCTTGCCGGGATCGGGGGTCTTTGTGCCTGTGCTCTGGAGGGGCGCGGGTCTCGGGTTTTCCTGCAGTGCCCTCGTCCGGGCCTGGCTTTCAGGTCATGCTGGCCTTGTGGAATTGTTTTCACGTGTCCCTCCATCTGTCTTTTGAAAGGGTTTCAGGTCTTTTGAAAGGGTTTCAGGAGTGGTGTTAATTCTTTTTGTTTTTGCCTTTTTGTTGTCGTTGTTTTTTGTTTTTTTTTTTGAGACGGAGTTTTGCTCTTGTCACCCAGGCTGGAGTGCAGTGGCATGATCTCAGCTCACTGCAGCCTCCACCTCCTGGGTTCAAGTGATGCTCTACCTCAGCCTCCCGAGTAGCTGGGATTACAGGTGCGCGCCACCACGCCCAGCTAATTTTTGTATTTTTAGTAGAGATGGGGTTTCACCATGTTTCCCAGGCTGGTCTTGAACTCTTGACCTCAGGTGATCCACCCACCTTGGCCTCCCAAAGTGCTGGGATTACAGGCATGAGCCACCGTGCCCAGCCGTTTTTTAAAATATATATATGTTTTATCTGTTTTTTACTATTTTTAATAGAGACGGGGGTCTGTGTTGCCCAGGCTGGTTGAACCCCTGGGCTCAAGCGATCCTTCACCTGCGCCTCCCCAGGAGGGTGTTGATTCTTTGGCTGTTTGGCAGGGTTTGCCTGGGAGCTCTTGGGCCCTGGGTTTGTCTTTGTTGGAGACTTTTGAGGGGGACTTGGCCCCTTGCTGGCCACAGGTCTGCTCAGTCCCTTTCCTCTTGGTCGGCTGTCTGTCTCGCATCTTGTCTGGTGCACAGTTCATGGGTTTCTAGTATCTGCTTTTTATTTCTGTAAGATTAGTAGTTATATCCCTTCTTTTTCTGATTTTAGTAATTTGAATCTTCTTTCGTCTTAGCTGATGTAGCTAGAAATTTGTCGATTTCATTATCTTTTCAAAGAACCAACTCTTGGGTTTGTTGACTGTATTTTTCTGTTTTCTCTCTTCTGTCATCTTTGTTACTCCTGTCTGCTGCTTAGGGGTTCAGTGTGGTCTTCTTTTTTCTAGTTTCTTAATTTGAAAAGTTAGTTTACAGCTGTAAACATCCCTCCGAGTGCAGCCTTCGCTGATCCCCTAGCGTCATAATTTCTGTTTGTCTGGAGGTGTTTCTGATTCCCTCTGATTTCTTGTTGGAGCCGTGGGTGGTTTATGTTTAACTTCCACATGTTTGTGAAGTTTCTGGTTTTCCTTCTGTTGCTTGTTTCTAACTTTATCTCCTTGTTAGAGAACAGACTTTTTGTGATTTCAGTTTTGTGAAATGTATTGATTTGTGTAGTGGCCCCACATCCATCCTGGAGAGTGTTCCGTGCGCGCGGGAGGAGGATGTGCCCTCGGTTCCGTGCGCGCGGGAGGAGGACGCGCCCTCGGTGCTGTTGGGGTGGTGTTCTGCAGGTGGGTTGAGGCCGTGTCTTTCCTCACTGATCGTCTGTCCGGCGGTTCTCTCCGTGGTTAGAAGTAGGGCACCGAGTCTCCCTGTCACTGAAGAACTGCTTTTCTCCTTGTCATTCTGTCTATTCTTGATTCAGATATTTTGGGGTCTCTTGTTAGGAGCAGGAATATTTTCGTAGGAAAAATTCCTGGTAGTGAAATTGTTGGGTCACAATACATGGCCCTTGTATGACTAGGCTGACCTTGCTGGAGTTGATGGAGTCCAGTCTCAGGACGCTGCTGTCTGCACACCTGCGAAAGCTCCCACCTTGGCTATTTGATGGACAAGTGATGTCAGGGGCTCATTTCTGCGTTTGTGATGGTCACGATTTCGTCTGTCCGCTGCTTGTTTCTTCTTGCTTTATCCCCTGCCCTTCATTTCCTGTCCTGTCGTTGTGCGATGGTTTTGTAGGAACTCTGTTGCGGGTGGTTGGAACTTAGCAAATACTCGAGTGATTAACGTGAGGACAGTATTACTTGCTTATAATAACTATTATGTCCCTCGTCAAATATGCTTCATTTTTCAACCTGGGCCTGGTGCTTATCATGGTACAAAGGTTTTCGTCCTAAGGAATCACGTTTCTTTCACCGTCCTTAGCGGTTTTTCCCTTATACCACCCACAGCAGCAGTGGGTATTTACAAAGTAATTCATCTGAATTTTTGTTGTTTTGTTCTGATGGGAAGTGGTTCAGTTTTGAATTTGATTTATCAGTAGATGTTTGGGTTTTTGAAAAGCCTCTGATATTTAGAATCGGAATGTAGGGAACCTTACGTCAGCGCTGGGTCTGTGAGCGAGGATGGCGATCGGGATGCGACTTCGGGTCTTTTCCTTAAAACTGGATGCTTTGTTTCATTTCCTTCCCTCCAAGATCGACCTGATGCCCCATGACCTCATCACTCAGCTCTTGCGCGTCCTGGCCATCGAGACCAAGCAGGAGAAGGCGATGGCGCACGCCGACCCCACGGAGCTGGCGCTGAGCGGCCTGGAGGCCTTCTCTTTCGACTACATCGTCAAGTGGCCCCTTTCGCTCATCATCAACAGGTGCGGGTCGGCTGCTCGGGCACCTGCCAGATCTTCACTCAGGTTTGGCAGAAGCGAGAACTGTGCCACGCGGTGGCCACCTCGTCCCACAGAGGACCCAAGGCGGCTCTCCCCGGCCTTCAGTGTCCGAGAGATTCACGGGCTGTCCGGGGGCCACGGTGCGGACTGTGGAGTACAGACGCCGTGTCCACGACGCCGCCGGTCACGGAGGCCCACCTGAGGTGCCGCCACGTCTCTTGCAGGAAAGCCCTCACTCGCTACCAGATGCTCTTCAGGCACATGTTCTACTGCAAGCACGTGGAGCGGCAGCTCTGCAGCGTCTGGATCAGCAACAAAACCGCCAAGCAGCACTCGCTGCACTCCGCCCAGTGGTGCGTTCTTCCTCTGCCCCCGCATGCCCTCCTGAAGCAGCGCTCGCTGCACTCTGCCCAGTGGTGCAGCGCCCCCCTTGTGCCCTCCTGGTAGACAGCTTTCTAGGCTTCTGGAAGTGTCATCTGGAAGCGCACGTTGGTGGCTTTAGATCCATAATGCTTCATTGCTTCATTTTCCTGTCTTGGGGCTGCACGGCGCTGCCGTCCACCCCACAGGGGATGCTGGCTCTGTCCCTCAGCCCTCTCTGGAGCCTTGTGGTGACTGCACGGGCATGGAGACTGCCCAGGTCGGTGTGCAGGACACTAGCTCCTCCCGAGAGCGGACAGCCACATCTTGCTGGGACCAGAGGTGCTTTGCAGCCGGTCTGTGCCTCTAGGGTGTTGAAAAAAGGGGTCGATGGCAGAGCTTCATAAGAATTTGTCCAGTCGGGTGCAGTGGCTCATGCCTGTAATCTCAGCACTTTGGGAAGCTGAGGAGGGAGGATTGTTTGAGCCCACAAGTTCGAGACCCGCCTGGACAATGTAACAAGAGCTCATCTCTTAAAAAAAAAGAAAATTATTTTAATTAGCCGGGAATGCCTGTAGTTCCAGCAACTCAGGAGGCTGAGGTGGGAGGGTTGCTTGAGTCCAGGAGGTCAAGGCTGCAGTGAGCCAAGATCGTGCCACTGCACTGCAGTCTGAGCGACAGCAAGACCCTGTCTCTCGAAGAAAAAAAGAAATTAGAAGAAAAAGAACTCATCTTGATGATGAAGCACAAATATGCATCTGTTGTGTGGCACTTTCCTGGCGTGGGCTCCGAGGGGTCCGTCCACCAAGGAGCCCGCGTCCCAGTCTCCACCGTCCAGCTGGCTGGGGGTGTCCCTGCAGGGCACAGGTTGGTAGACGGTGACAGCTTGTGCTGGGCAGACGCAGGAGCAGCGGCCGTGAGTGTCTGGTGTGCTGGGAGGGGCGCTTGCTCTGCAGAGGAAATAGCCACGTCCAGAGAACGTCCTCCATGGCTGTCCTCCGTCCTCCGTGTCACTTGGTGGGCGCTGTCGGGGCCGCGTCCTCCATGGCTGTCCTCCGTCCTCCGTGTCACTCAGGTTTGCTGGGGCTTTCACTCTGCGGCAGCGAATGCTCAACTTCGTCCAGAATATTCAATACTACATGATGTTTGAAGTGATGGAACCGACCTGGCACATCCTGGAGAAAAACCTGAAATCCGTGAGTTTTAGCTCCACAGATAATAACGTTTGAAAGCCACTTTCCTTTCACAGGGAGACAGGAAGTGCAGGAGAGGCAGGGCGAGGGGAGAGGCAGGGAGTGCAGGAGAGGCAGGGAATGCAGGGAGACGCAGGGAGTGCAGGAGAGGCAGGGAGTGCGGGAGAGGCAGGGCGTGCGGGAGAGGCAGGGAATGCGGGAGAGGCAGGGAGTGCAGGGAGACACGGAGTGCAGGAGAGGCAGGGCAAGGGGAGAGGAAGGGATCCCCCAGGGCGGGGCTGCACCCACACTGCTGGCCACACACGGGACCCCTTGCTGCCTGCCGTCCTAGGGGGACTCTGAGCCGTCTTTGCCCCGAGGTTGTCTCTCCCACATTGCGCATCTGAGGCTGAGGGGCCTGAAGGCAGAATCTGTTGGTACCAAATTCCAGAAGCTGCCGCAGCCTCCCTTCCTGTCTTCTGCCTTAAGAAATGAAACCCCTTCGGGGTGTGCCCATCATTTTTTTAGTGGTGTTTGGAAGTTTTCCCCTAAAAGCCCAAGGCCCATTTAAGAGGTAGAAGTGCGTAAACAGGAATGCACAAAGCCAGAACTGAGCACGTGCGCATGCAGGGCCCGTCTGTCAGCCACGTCTTTCTGAGAAGGGGCTTGGCCTGTTCCCCGCAGGCCTCCAACATTGACGACGTCCTTGGCCACCACACAGGCTTCCTGGACACCTGCCTGAAGGACTGCATGCTCACCAACCCCGAGCTGCTGAAGGTCTTCTCCAAGCTCATGTCTGTGTGCGTCATGTTCACCAACTGCATGCAGGTGCGTGGGTGTGGGTAGCACCATCGGGTGGGCAGGCGCGGGTGGGCAGACCATGTCCCGACCGTGGCCGCACGCAGCCTGCTCACGTTTTCCTGCCCTTGTGTTCGTGGAGGAGCCGCTGGGATCTGAGTGTTTCCAGAACTCCTGGTCTTCCTGGCCGGGTGATTCCCTCCTGGAGCCCCTGCCCTGGCAGCGTGGGCAGGGCTGTGTTCCTCCCGAACCATCCCTCAGCCTCTGTGGTGCTGGTCTCTGTCCGGGGCCTTTGCTTATGGCCCTTGCATGCTCTTTTCCTCAGCACTTGAGCTATTTGATTCCGTTAAGGACCTGCAGGCACTAGTCACAAGCAGCTGCCGACTGGCGATGGTGCAGAACCTGCGTGTCTAGTGGCAGAAGCAGGGGTCTGAGAATGAGGCTCTCCAGGCAGTGCCATGGGGAGGGTCCGGAGGAGGGCGAGTGGGGAGGTGGAGGAGGGCATGGCCACTTCAGGGTCCCAAATAGGGAAACACCAAAATAACTGTTCTCAGGAAAATCAGCTGGTCACCGTGGAAGGTAGACCTGGGAATTCTGTCGGCACAGATAAGTCATTTCCCCTGCAGCCTCAGAGATGCTTGTGTACCCCCAGCCGCAGGCTACAACAGAGGTGCGGAGGGTGACGTGCCTGCAGGACTTGTTTTTTCTGCAAAGCATTGTGGTTGTAACTAACAGAAGCATTTCCTTGCGACTCTCCCCCCCTAGAAATTTACACAGAGCATGAAATTAGATGGCGAGCTGGGCGGGCAGACGCTGGAGCACAGCACCGTCCTGGGGCTGCCCGCAGGGGCCGAGGAGCGGGCCCGGAAGGAGCTCGCCAGGAAGGTGCGTGGCCTCCAGGTTTGGCCAGAGAGAGACGCTTCCTCCCGGCTGGGCGGCAGCCTGGGCATCCTGACGCAGGGAGAACAAACCTCCCCCCTTTTACTTCCATCTCCCCTCAGATTGAAGAAAAGACTTAAAATTAGCTTCCAAGCACAAGCACAAGAGCCTCTCACAATCTTCTCAGCTCTCTGGTCCCCACTTCAGCCAGTCGGGCTCGAGGGAACCCCCACAGATCTTCAGAGCGAGCGCTGTGCAGGGCGCCTGGGCGAGGGCAGGGGCCACACCCGCTGTCCCTGCTGAGCTCGGTCCTGAGTTAGAACCGTCAGGCTCTCAGCAGGCACGGACAGGCTGCATGTCCTCGGAGGCATGGCCCTGCGGCGCCGGCTCCGGGGTGGCATGGTGGGGTGGGCAGTCCCGTGTTCACACGCTGGAGCTGGAGCTGGCAGAGAGGAGTTGGGTTTGGAAGCGTGGGGGCCGGAGGTGAGGGACACTGAGAGGCGCCCCGACCTCCTTGCTGAGAAAGCTGCTGGGAAAGCTCGTTCATCTCACCCCAAAGGAGAGTGACCACCTCATCCCACGAGGCCTGGAGTGTTTCTCTGAGTGCTGGGTTCTCAGGAATGTTTTTTGATGTCTTTTTTACCTTGAATCTCCTGAAAACATCATGGAACCCATGTTTTCTATTTAAGAAAAGGGGAAGGGAAAGGACACCGGCCTGCTGGGAACAGTGTGGAGCCAAGAAGGCCCACGGTGGGGGTGGGCATGGCTCACGCACCCCGGCTTTCTTTCCAGCACCTGGCTGAGCACGCAGACACTGTGCAGCTGGTGTCCGGCTTCGAGGCCACCATCAACAAGTTTGACAAGAACTTCTCAGCCCACCTGCTGGACCTCCTGGCCCGGCTGAGCATCTATAGCACCAGTGACTGTGAGCACGGCATGGCCAGCGTCATCTCCAGGTGGGTGGGCGCCACCCCGGCTCAGCCCTTCCTCAGCTCAGTCCAGCGCCTGCCCCTGCCCAGCACCGCCCTGGCTCAGCCCTTCCTCAGCTCAGTCCAGCACCTGCCCCTGCCCAACACCGCCCTGGCCCAGTGCTGTCCCTGCTCAGCCGTCCCCCAGCTCAGCCCAGCACCTGCCCCTGCCCAGCACTGCCCTGGCCCAGTGCTGCCCCGGCTCAGCCTTCCCCCAGCTCAGCCCAGCACCTGCCCCTGCCCAGCACCGCCCTGGCTCAGCCCTTCCTCAGCTCAGTCCAGCACCTGCCCCTGCCCAACACCGCCCTGGCCCAGTGCTGTCCCGGCTCAGCCTTCCCCCAGCTCAGCCCAGCGCCTGCCCCTGCCCAGCACCGCCCTGGCCCAGTGCTGCCCCGGCTCAGCCTTCCCCCAGCTCAGCCCAGCGCCTGCCCCGGCTCAGCCCTTCCTCAGCTCAGCCCAGCATCTGCCCCAGCCCAGCGCCACCCCAGCTCAGCACCTGTCCCTGCATCCAGGCCCCATCTCCCCTGCACCCTCCCCTGGTCCACCTGGTGTAGCCTCCTTCAGAAGGTGGGGCAGGTCTGTGTCCTGGTGCTAGTGCTGGTCATATGCCACTCCCTGAAGTCAGGCTAGCCCAGCTCTCCCTGGGGTGTGACATTCTGTGCAACTGGGCTGCCCCATTGGCACCCTGCGGCTGTGTGTGTCCTGTGGGGCTGATCAGGCCTGGGTCAGCTTCCCTCATGCTGCACTAACACCTAGCCTGGGGGAAAGGGCCAGGTGGCCAAACTGCCAGCCTGGAAGGGGTGGTGCCCTTGGGGGTGCTGTCCTTGGGAAGGTGCCTATTTGTGCTTTTGGACCACCCTGTGCCCTGTGCCCCCCACAAATGTTCTGATTTTCTGAGCAGGGATTTCTGAGGCCACCCTGCATTGAGAACCACTGCTTGGTTCTCCAAGCCCCTGACACCTCAGGCCCCATTGCTAGGCCCTGTTGGGGTGATGGGAGCCCCAACTTTCTGGGGCCAGGAGAGAAGAAACCTGTGTTTGTGCCTTTGAGCAGGACTGAACAGGACTGAAAACCTTCCTGTGGAAACATTAGTTAGGAGCGTGCCTCACCCTCACCCCTGCAGGGCCTCTTATGGTCTCTGTAGCTGAACACTTCCCCATGGTAGGAGCAGGGCTGCTCAGGACGGACCCGCAGAAGGAGTGTGTGCCCCAGCTCCACTGTCCTTCCTCACCCCTGCTGCCCAGCACGCACCCGCAGAAGGGGTGTGCACCCTAGCTGCACCGTCCTTCCACACCCCTGCTGCCCAGCATGCACCCGCAGAAGGGGTGTGCACCCCAGCTCCACTGTCCTTCCTCACAGGCTTGACTTCAATGGTTTCTACACGGAGCGCCTGGAGCGCCTGTCTGCAGAGAGGAGCCAGAAGGCCACCCCCCAAGTGCCTGTCCTGCGGGGGCCCCCGGCTCCTGCACCCAGGGTCGCAGTCACCGCACAGTGAGCCCTGGCTGTGACAGGAAGGAAGGGTGTGGGGTCAGCAGGGACTGGTGCAAATGGGTCCAGAATTTTCAAATCGAATGCTCTGTGTTCTGTCTTTGCAGTTTAAATATAAAGCAGGAATGATTGACTCAGCTCACTTTGTTTCTCAAGGCGCTGGGTTTCGTTTTATAGAAGCTGCCCAGGCAGGGTGGATGTCTCCCTGGATTTGCTAATCTGTTTGCTTTTTGAAATTACACTATCACCTTTTTGGGTGTTTTTGGCCTCAAAGTGGAAATACATGGTGTTTAAGCCAGGAGCAAGCAAAGATGCATGTGGGGTAAGATCCAGGCCTGGTGTCCACATCTTTCCGGGTGAGCTGGGGCCGGGCTTCCTGAGGTCTGTCGGAACCGGGACAAGCCTCTGGAAACGGTCAGGGAGTTGTGGAAACCCACCGGGCATCGGGTGTCGGGTTTGCTTTGGCCCCAGAGGCAGCCCCGTTCCTTCTCCTGAGGACTCACCCGCCTCCACGACCCTCCTCCTGCTGCTGCTCCAACTGGTCCAGGGCAGGAGGCCACAGACAGGGCCCTCAGGCACCCTGGGAGCCCACACCTCCCCCTCCGTGGGAGTGGGTCGAGGGGCAGGCTCTGCTGCTGGCTGGAAACCCCACCCCGCCCTATCCGGTACCGCCTTGTTACGTAGAACTTACTCAGCAGACTGACACCCAATCCCCCTCGGGCGATCATCTGCCCTGTCTTCCCACCTCCAGGGCTACAGTGGGCAGCACCGCCATCCCCAGTGTGACAGGGCCCTGGGAGCCTCAGGGCTGCCCGGCCAGGTTGGTCTGCTCTGGTTACATTCTGGCCAAGCTGCCCCTTCCTGCTGACCTGCATGTGTATTGTTGTCACCTTCAGCTCTCAGCACCTCGGCCCCCTTGGGCAGTGAGGAAGGGCCCTGGAGGCGAGGTTGGGAGAAAGGATAGCTAGAACAGGATCCTGCGGGGAACAAGGGTTGTGGGCAGCTCTCACCCGGGGCTGCCTCACTGAGAGCACCGCCGAGTGGGGGTGGGGGTGTCCAACTCTCCAGCCACAAACCGCTTCCTCCTTGTCTGCAGGCTGTGCAGGTCTGGCCTGTGAGTAAACACATTTATCAGCAACCCAAGCTGTCAGTCTCAGTGTTGTGCAAATGCCGGACTGGTGAGCAGAGGAGCCTGCTAGCTTTCCTGCCTGGCCCCGAGGCCCAGAAACCCCTGATCTTGTGTCCTGGGGTCTGGGAAGCCCTGGGCCTTGAGAAGTGGGGTTTGCAGGTGGTGATAGGAGGAGGGGAGGGAAGCCTCCAGGGCTGTGGGGTTCAGGCTCCCAGACCCCCCGGCACCTGCTGAAGAGGAGAGCTGTGTTCTGTGGGATTGGGTGGAACTTCCTCAGCGCGGGAGGAGCCTGTTCTGGCCCAAGCTGGTCCTGTCTTTTTAGGAATAAATCCCTGGTAGCTCAGCGTCGGCAGGGGCCTTGCTGTGCCTCTGATGTGGCCAGCGTGCCGCCTTTGCACTTTGCTGTTGAGTAACTTGCACCATGAGGTCAAGGAAGGGAAGTGTGATTGCCAGCTGGCCATTGTTCTATAATAACAGGGTCACCTGCATGAGCTCAGGCACAGGCCAGTATCCCCAGCCCTACCTGGGAGCCTCTCGGCAGCCTGGGGGACCTCGTCCTGTGCCACACAGGCAAGCGGACACACCCCCAGGCAGCAGAAGTCACCTGCGGCCCAGTGCCAGCCCTTGCTTTCTTGCTTTTCATGCCATTCACATTAGGGTAAGAATGGCTTTGAGACAAAATGTGACAGCATCACTCACGCCAGCTTAGATCCTCCGGGTTCCCTGTCCTCCCAGGATAACGTCCGAGGCCCCGGCCTCTTCTTGCCACTGCCCCTTGACCTCTGTCCTCTGCCCCTAGGCCCGTGCAGTTCCCTGACTCGCCCTGCCCTGGTGCCCTCTCTCCAGGCAGGACTCCCTCCAGCCCCTTGCTGGCCCTGCCCTGCCTCTCCCCAGGGAGGCCCTGAGGCCCCCCCCCCCCATGTGATCTGTCAGCAGCGCCCTGTGTGGTCATCTGAGCTGCCTTTCCTGCCACCACCACTGTTCCCACTCCAGGAGGGCGGCCTGGCTGTGAAAGCCCCAGGGAGGGGTCCTGGGTGGACCGTCTGGGGAGCTGTGGTGTCAGCCCAAACCTGCACCCTCGAGGCTGAGCCCACCACGGGGAATGTGGTCACCAAGGGCAAGCACGCTTGGCCGCAGGCCTGGAGACGCCGGAGCCAGGCCACGGTGGGCTGCTGCAGGCTTTGGTCCACGTCGGCCAGCGTCAGCTGCTGTCTGGGGATCTTAGGCTAGGGACGGCCCCTGCACCTGCCATCACCTGGGCTGGGACCCCCACCTAGGGCTCCCCCTCCCCACTTGGACGCCTGCGGGCCCATGCCTATCCCACTCCGGTGAGGCCTCAGCCTGGTGGAGGGGGCGCAGGCTTGGGGGGGAGGGTGGCAGAGCTTCCCACAGGGCTGAACCTATGCCCACAAAGCCATGACTTGCCCCTGCCTGAGGCTTTCTGTTCCCCAGGAAATCAGAGACCCCCTCTCCTGAAACCGCCAGGCGGCCCTCACAAGTCCCTTCCCCTCCAGGACCTGCCTGGCGCCACCTCCTTCCAGCCGCCGGGTCCTTCGAGAGGCCCCCTCTCGGGGCTCTGGCCGGACTTGGGACAGGCTGTGCCTGAGTTTCCTCACCTGTGCAAGGGAGGATGCTGGATTGTGGGGAGAGGGGAAACGGACCCCGCCCCCAGGTGCCGCGCGCCCCGCCCCTCCCACCGGCCGAGGGGCCCATTGGCTGCGGGGCGCCGGGGCGGGGCGCGCGGAAAAGAGCCTCGGGCCAGGAGCGCAGGAACCAGACCGTGTCCCGCGGGGCTGTCACCTCCGCCTCTGCTCCCCGACCCGGCCATGCGCGGCCTCGGGCTCTGGCTGCTGGGCGCGATGATGCTGCCTGGTGAGTGGTTCCAGGGAACCGTCCCGGGCGCAGCGCGGGGCAGGGTGGCTCTCCCCGCAGGACGCGACGCGGACCCCGAGCCCCTGGCCTGCTCGCACCCCGCACCCTGGCCCGGCTTCGGGCTGGTCCCTGGGAGCGGGCCATCAGGTGCACAGTGGTCTCTGGGTGGAGAGCCCCGGGCCGGGGAGGCCGGGGAGGTCGGAGGGAACCTTCAAAGGTGAACTGTGAGAGGGAAGTCCCGCCTCTGAGCTTGTTAGTGGGGTCGGGGCCGGGCCAAGCAGGACGCTTCACCTGCTGCGCGAGGCGCCCTGGGTTCCTGGGATTCACCTGTGGGGCTACCCACCCCCACTATTTAGCCGAGGAGGGAAGGGAGGGCAGACAAGCTGAGGCCTGGAGTGCAGGGGTGTGGGCTGAGGGGACCCGTCTCCTGCCTGGGGGAGGACATGGGGCTGCTGACCCTGGATCCCACCCCTGCTCCTGGAGTGACTTGGGCTGGGGTGTGCTGAGGAGCTTCAGGCTGGAGGCCGGGTTGCTTCCCGCCAGTTTCCTGGGCAGATAGGGGCTGGCTGCTCCCCTGCTGCCTCTCCAGGTTGGAGATGTGGTCATGGAGACACGTCCACTATTGTGTTTTAATGGGAGCAAAGGGTCCTGGGGTTGGTGGTCTCCGAAACCCTGCCCATTGCATGCTGGGACCCTGCCCTCTGCTCTCGGATACCAGGGAGTTTCCAGTTCTTGGGAGGTGAACAGCCTCCGGGAGGCACTTCCTGCTCCCCAGTTAGATGCGATCAGATGATCAGAAGAATGGAGGAGGAGAATGGAAACGGGCAGGTCGGCGGCCCGAGTCCTCCTCCCTGGGGGGAAGGTTCATCCTTGCCCTCGGGCCCCTCCAGAGATCTGAGACAGCCTGGAGACCTGTGGAGTCACTGGCACCCGCTGGCACCCACAGCGTCTCTGAGCACTGTGTGTGGGTGCTGCAGGACACAGGCCCACCGGCCATGCCTGGGGGCGCTCCTGGGGTCTTTTAGGCACAGAACCCTCACTTGAGTCTTTGTCCCAGAGCTATCTGGTGAGTTCCCCAGGGGAGGGTCAAGCCCAGCAAGAGACAGAATCTGAGGGCCCAGGAGGCCTCTGGGAAGGAAACCTGCCCCCCGGCCCCTCATGCCTGCTGACCCTCCCTCCTGCAGCGATTGCCCCCAGCCGGCCCTGGGCCCTCATGGAGCAGTATGAGGTCGTGTTGCCGTGGCGTCTGCCAGGCCCCCGAGTCCGCCGAGCTCTGCCCTCCCACTTGGTGAGTCTAAGCTGGCCTGGGGAGGGTCCCTGGCTGGCCCCTGAGCCTATTTTTGTGAAAGGAGCTTTAGCTTACAGAAAGTGGTGAGAGGCCAGTGGGTGTCTGGGGCTGCCCTGTACAGCTCTAGCCCCCTGGGGCCCATCTCCGTTCCTCCCTCCAGCACTGCCTGAGGGCTCCCAGCCTCCTCGTTCCTTCAGGAGCTCTATGGACCCCTGGAAGGGAGCAGGGGCAGGTTGTGCTGGCCCCGGGCCCCTCCCCAGTTTCACTTGGCGAGGCTGATAAGCCAAATTCCTCTTTGAGAAGTGACGCTGGCTCACCGCAGAGTTGACACACCTTCCTGTGTTGGGGGGGGGGCCTGGCGGGGGTTTCCCAGGGCTAGAAACTGAGAATGCCCCCCTCCCCGACTGGGGCTGCCCGAGGGTGATTCCTGAAGCCTGAGTGGGTGGGTGTGCACACATGTGCACGGCATATGCATGTGTGCACCTGTTTCCAGGGAGGGCAGTTCCGGCCCCAGCCCTGTCCTTACCTCAGCATCCGGGGAACCTACTACCGACCTGCCCGCTGCCCTGGGCTCATCCAGCCGGTGGCACAGCTAAGGCTGTCCCAGAGCTCTGCAGGCCGAGCCCCAGCCTGCACATGGGGGCTGGAGATGCAGTGGTCCAGCAGGAGGCTCTGCAGGCACCACCAGGTCCGGCAGCTGCTGGAAGGGATGGGTCCTGGAGGCAGGCAGCTGTCGCTGGAGGGGCCTGTGCGTGCTATCCCCGCCACCCACCTCCTTTGCTGCCTGGCTGAGGCTATGCCTCCCCCACCCTATGCTTTCTCGGGGAAGGGGCATTGTCGTTACCCATGCGTGGTCAGATGGGGAAACTGAGGCCTGGGAGGACCGAGGAGCACCGTGTCCTTCCTGTCTACCCAAGTGCTGGGCTCCGCCGGTCGCCTTCAGCACAGCCCCGTTCCCTACCCTCCACCCTCCACCCCCCGCCCCCCACCCTCTGCCCTCCGCCCCCCGCCTCCACCCTCCACCCTCCACTCTCCACCCTCCACCTTCCACCCCCCACCCCCTGCCCCCTACCCTCCACCCTCCACCCTCTACCCTGCCTGAGGCTGTGGACCCTCCAGGATGGAGCCTTGACCTGGGGCTGGAGGCCGGCACCCCTTCCCCCCCAGCTGAGCTTCTCTGGCCCCCAGGATTGAGGTGGGCACAGCCCGGGCAGGCTGCTCACCTGGGACCCTTCCCTCCTCGCTCAGGGCCTGCACCCAGAGAGGGTGAGCTACGTCCTTGGGGCCACAGGGCACAACTTCACCCTCCACCTGCGGAAGAACAGGTGAGTGGGTCTCGGGTCGGCCCCCCTGCCCGGGCCTGGCTCCAGCACACTGGTGTCCCCGGCGTCCAGCCTCTGGGCCAGCCTCTCTGCACCGAGGGGGCCGAGGCAGTCACAGCACTTCTTTTCCAGGGACCTGCTGGGCTCCGGCTACACAGAGACCTATACGGCTGCCAATGGCTCCGAGGTGACGGAGCAGCCTCGCGGGCAGGTATGGGTCGGGCGGAGCAGCTGGGCGGGCAGGTAGGGGCTGGGCGGCCCTCCCCGAGCCTGTGGGGCCATGGGGGCACAGCCTGTGGACCCCTCTCCTGCTTCCCCCGCAGGACCACTGCTTCTACCAGGGCCACGTAGAGGGGTACCCGGACTCAGCCGCCAGCCTCAGCACCTGTGCCGGCCTCAGGTGGGTGTGGCGGACGAACGCCAGGGCTCCCGCAGGTGGAGAGGAAGGCCTAAGCCTGTGGTGGGGGTGGGGAAGGGAGGCAGGGAGGGTGCCTCCTCCTCCCACTCAGGCCTTTGCTGTCTTGCATGGGGGTCTGCTCAGGGGACGCCAAGCCCAAGAGGCTCACCCTCCTGTACCCTGGGGCCTGAAGTCACCTGCGGGGGGCTGCTGGTGGCAGGGTAGGGGGAGCTGTAGGCAACAAACTGGAGCCTCTGGTCCTTCGGGGCAGGACCAGGCCACTCTGAAGCCCACAGCACACCCGGCTCCCACTCCCCTCAGGGGTTTCTTCCAGGTGGGGTCAGACCTGCACCTGATCGAGCCCCTGGATGAAGGTGGCGAGGGCGGACGGCACGCCGTGTACCAGGCTGAGCACCTGCTGCAGACGGCCGGGACCTGCGGGGTCAGCGACGACAGCCTGGGCAGCCTCCTGGGACCCCGGACGGCAGCCGTCTTCAGGCCTCGGCCCGGGGTGAGCACCCTTGTCTCCTGTGTTTGGCTGGCCCTGCCGGTGTCCACTTGCCTGGCCTGTGAGTCCTCCTGGCTCCCCATGTGCTGGGTGCTGCCCATTGTCTGCAGCCTGGAGCAGGCCTGGCCACGCTCCCCCAGCACTGGACAGGGGCTGGACAGTGGCCCCGGGTCCCTGAGGGAGGGTCCAGGCCCCGGCGCTGGGAAGGCTGACTGGCTTCTTGTGGCTGTTCCCCAGGACTCTCTGCCATCCCGAGAGACCCGCTACGTGGAGCTGTATGTGGTCGTGGACAATGCAGAGGTGTGTTGGGGGCAGGGAAGGTGGGAGAGCAGCCGGCGGCGGGGGCATGGGGGGTGTGTGGGCTCCAGCCTGAGGGTCTCGTGTCCCCAGTTCCAGATGCTGGGGAGCGAAGCAGCCGTGCGTCATCGGGTGCTGGAGGTGGTGAATCACGTGGACAAGGTGGGCAGCGGTCCTGGCTGCAGAGGTGCCAGAGCCCCTGGCGGGAGGTGGGGGGGGTGTTGCCACAGGGTTCATTCCACCTGCTCCAGCTCTGCCCCGCACCTGTGCCTGGCCCCACCTCGCCGTGGGACAGGTGCATCCTCCGCCACCCACCCTCCCTGCTGTACCTTCCGCCACCCTGCCTGACCCCCAGGACTCCACCACCTCTCCAGCTATATCAGAAACTCAACTTCCGTGTGGTCCTGGTGGGCCTGGAGATTTGGAATAGTCAGGACAGGTTCCACGTCAGCCCCGACCCCAGTGTCACACTGGAGAACCTCCTGACCTGGCAGGCACGGCAACGGACACGGCGGCACCTGCATGACAACGTACAGCTCATCACGTGAGCTGGCGGAGCGGGCAGGGTGGGGAGGGCTGGGGAGGGAGGGCGGGCAGGGTGGGGTGGAAGGGAGAGCAGGGCTGGGGTGGGAGGGAAGTGGGGAGGGAGCCGTGTCCAGGGCATCTGTGTCACTCCCACTTCCAGGGGTGTCGACTTCACCGGGACTACCGTGGGGTTTGCCAGGGTGTCCGCCATGTGCTCCCACAGCTCAGGGGCTGTGAACCAGGTGAGGGGGCTCCTGCCCGGGTTTGCCAGGCCGAGGCCAGAGCTGGATAGGGGAGGGGACGCCTCGGTCCAGGTCTCTGGAGCAGGCCACCTCCCCTCAGGCCAGGTTTAATGCCTGATTTTATGTTTTAAGGTGGTGTTGGCGGGAAGCTGTGCCAAGTCCTGGGCCCTGGTGGGGTGAGGGTGGCAGGCGTGGGGAGTTGGCCACATGGTTCCTGAGAGCACAGACCCTCCTGCAGGACCACAGCAAGAACCCCGTGGGCGTGGCCTGTACCATGGCCCATGAGATGGGCCACAACCTGGGCATGGACCATGATGAGAACGTCCAGGGCTGCCGCTGCCAGGAACGCTTCGAGGCCGGCCGCTGCATCATGGCGGGCAGCATTGGGTGAGGCGGCCAGGCCCTGCAGAGCCAGGGTATGCTGGAGGTACGAGGTGGGTGGGGAAGGGGCCAGGCCGCCTCCCCCAATGCTGCCCCGCCTCCCCAGCTCCAGTTTCCCCAGGATGTTCAGTGACTGCAGCCAGGCCTACCTGGAGAGCTTTTTGGAGCGGCCGCAGTCGGTGTGCCTCGCCAACGCCCCTGACCTCAGCCACCTGGTGGGCGGCCCCGTGTGTGGGAACCTGTTTGTGGAGCGTGGGGAGCAGTGCGACTGCGGCCCCCCCGAGGTGCGTCCATGCCCCATACCTGCTCCCGTCAGCACTGGGTGCCACAACCTCTGTCCCTTCAGGCCAGGGTGACCACTGCACATCCACACGTGGAACTTGGGGCTCTGTGGGTGTCCAGAGCGGTCACAGGGAGGGAGTGGCTGCAGGGCACCCCAGTGGTCAGGGGAGGCGGCCAGGTCCGCCCTGGAGCCCAGCCCGGCCCCAGTGCAGCCTGCCAAGGCCTTTGCCGTCGCCCCAGGACTGCCGGAACCGCTGCTGCAACTCTACCACCTGCCAGCTGGCTGAGGGGGCCCAGTGTGCGCACGGTACCTGCTGCCAGGAGTGCAAGGTGAGTGCAGCCTCCCACCAGTGACCCCCAGAGCCCATGGCTGGCAGGTGGGAAGGGACCCTGGGGCACCAGGGACCAGGCAGCTTGCGTGGACCTGTCCCCATGGTGAGCTGTTCTCTGCTGGGCCAGGTGAAGCCGGCTGGTGAGCTGTGCCGTCCCAAGAAGGACATGTGTGACCTCGAGGAGTTCTGTGACGGCCGGCACCCTGAGTGCCCGGAAGACGCCTTCCAGGAGAACGGCACGCCCTGCTCCGGGGGCTACTGCTACAACGGGGCCTGTCCCACACTGGCCCAGCAGTGCCAGGCCTTCTGGGGGCCAGGTGAAGTGGGCACAGAGCTGGCCTGGCAGGGTGGCTGCAGGCCTTGCCAGGGCTAACCCGCTTCTGGTCCCACAGGTGGGCAGGCTGCCGAGGAGTCCTGCTTCTCCTATGACATCCTACCAGGCTGCAAGGCCAGCCGGTACAGGTGAGCTGAGACCGCCCTGGGCCCAGGACATGTGCTGTTCCCACAGCGGGGTCAGCCCCAGAAGGGCCTCTGCAAAGGGTCCTGCTCCCATGAGGGTCTGCTCTGGACCCATGGACCCCAGGCTCAAGCGCACCGTGTTGTGGGAGGGAGGTGGGTCACTGTGGCTCCTGGGCTCCCCAGCATGCTCCCAGGCAAGCTGGCCCACGACCTGCCGTCCATCCACAGGGCTGACATGTGTGGCGTTCTGCAGTGCAAGGGTGGGCAGCAGCCCCTGGGGCGTGCCATCTGCATCGTGGATGTGTGCCACGCGCTCACCACAGAGGATGGCACTGCGTATGAACCAGTGCCCGAGGGCACCCGGTGTGGACCAGAGAAGGTGAGCCCCTGGCTCAGAGGCCGCGCCACCCCCCAGGCATCCCGGGCATGTGCCCCACGTGGGTGCAGATGCGTTTCTGAGCTTGGCAGCTGCTCGAGGCCATGGGAACAGAGTTCTCTCCGCGCTTCTAGTAGAGACTGAAAGGTTTCCGGGGGTGGGGAGAGACATGGTTCTCAGTTCATCTGATGGCCGTCGCCGGCGGCCACGTGCCCCAGGAGGGCCACTTCCCAGGGGCTTTGGGGGTAGGCAGCCGGCAGATGGGCTGAAGCACAGCCACCTTGGACGTGGTGACCACAGCCCACCCCCAGCTTACCATGCAGTTTCAAGGGACGCTGGCGGGGCAGAGGTCCAGAGCGGCTGCCTGAGAGACGCCTCCTACCCCCAGGTTTGCTGGAAAGGACGTTGCCAGGACTTACACGTTTACAGATCCAGCAACTGCTCTGCCCAGTGCCACAACCATGGGGTATGTGTGGCCTCTCGGGACAGGGCCCCTGCACAGAGGCTGCCGCTCTGAGGGAGCCGGTGCTGGGGACAGCTCTGGACACGGGAGCCTGAGGCTGGGGGAGCCTGGCGTGTCCTGTCCATGGGGGTCTCTGTGGAGCCCCTGTCGGCTGAGGCCCGGCCTGGGTGGCCTCCGTGGATGGAACCTGCATGGTCACCGGGCAGCGGGCAGGGGCTACATGGAGAGGCCTCGCCGTCGGCGCATGTGGGCAGGGACCGAGGGGCCCTCGGGGGTGGGGCTGGCCCGGGGCCCTCATGCTGGAGGCACGGCCCCCACGGCCCCTTGGGGTCCACAACAGGGTTGGCCCTGAGCCCAGCCGTCCCCGCAGGTGTGCAACCACAAGCAGGAGTGCCACTGCCACGCGGGCTGGGCCCCGCCCCACTGCGCGAAGCTGCTGACTGAGGTGCACGCAGGTAGGCCTCCCTGGCCAGCGCAGGTGGGGCTGGGGTCCAAGCTCAGAGGGCCCGAACAGAGCCCAGGCAGAAGCCGCGGGCCCGGGAAGCTGGTGGTGTTCACGGTGCCAGTTTGCTGCCACAGGCATCGACACACAGGTATAGGCAGAGCCTGTCTGTCCCCAGGCTGATGTGAGGAGGGGAGAGCCCTGTCCCAGAGGGAGGCAGTGGCCGAGGGCAGGGCACGGCCGTGAGCTGAGACTCCAGTGTCCTCAGCCTGTGTCTTCCAGCCCCTCCTCGGCCCGGGGCCCTGAGGCCACCCAGCATTTCCTCCCCGGCGGCCACTGAGCATGTGGTCGTCCAGAGCATCAGGCCTCAAAGGCACAGCCGTGCCCACAGCACTGTGGCCCAGGGCCACCCTGCCAAGCTCTCCAACCTGTCACTGGCAAGCTGGGAGTGCCAGTGTAAGGTACCAGGTCCTCCCTGAGGGGTCCACAGGGCACAGCCTGGGGGTGCTGAGAAAGACCGTGTCTCTGGGAACCTCCCTGGCTCCTGCCTGAGGTCGCGGCCTGCCTGCCTGATGTGGGGCCGTGTGTCCCACAGCGTCCGGGAGCCTCCCCGTCTTCGTGGTGGTGGTTCTGGTGCTCCTGGCAGTTGTGCTGGTCACCCTGGCAGGCATCATCGTCTACCGCAAAGCCCGGAGCCGCATCCTGAGCAGGTGAGGGTGGTGGGGGCTGTGACGGAGGGTGGCGAGTGCTTCCCGTGCTCAGCTGCCAGAGGAAGGAGTGCCCAGCACGGGCCCATGGTGGACGGCACGGACACCCAGGCTCCTCTGTGCCCCGACGTCATGACGCCCCCCGGCTTGGGCTGAGTTTGAAGGGCCTTCCTGGCTCCACTCGGCCAGTGCCACTCTGGACTCCACCTTCCCCTGAGGCTGGGGCGGGGCATGGTTTTGGTGGCCGGTTGGGCTTGGGGCAAATCCAGAGAGGCCCGGTGGGGTCCCCCATACCCTGACCCAGCCCCGTGAGCACCCTGCCAGTTTCCTGCTGAGCCCTGCTCTAGGGACCTGGACCCCCACACAGCAGGAGACCCCCACGCAGCAGGACACACTGGCCCCACAGCCTCCAAGCATCTCCCGCCCACCTGACTGGGGCCCCCAGGACATGGAGGGGGTGTCCCTGCCTCTTCAGGGTCCGCCCCACCTCCTGGGCCTGTCTGTCTCTCATGGCCACAACCTCTCGCCCTGAAGCCTCTCGGGTCGGCTGGAGCTGGGAGGGAGAGACTCGGGGTGTGGTGCTGGGGCCCCATGGCCGGACACTGACCATGCGCCCTGTGCTTCCTCCCCAGGAACGTGGCTCCCAAGACCACAATGGGGCGCTCCAACCCCCTGTTCCACCAGGCTGCCAGCCGCGTGCCGGCCAAGGGCGGGGCTCCAGCCCCATCCAGGGGCCCCCAAGAGCTGGTCCCCACCACCCACCCGGGCCAGCCCGCCCGACACCCGGCCTCCTCGGTGGCTCTGAAGAGGCCGCCCCCTGCTGTAAGCACCACCCCTGGCGGGTTCATGAGGCCGAAAGCAGTGCCCAGGCCCCATCCTGCGACCCCAAGTGCAGCCCGAGGCCAGCAGAGCCCTTTCATTAAATTCACGCACAGGCCAGCGGTGGCCCCGAGGCCCAGAGCAGCTGCTGTGGTCGCCCTGCTGGGAACACTGAGGCTTTGGGAGTGGGCACTTCCCAGACCCCTTTGAGCCATGATAGAATCTGAGCTTGAACTTAAACTTGGGGGCTCCCAGCCCAGGGAAGCTTCCTGGCCTCCACAGAGCCCATCTGAGGACAGTGTCGAGACACAAATGCTCTCCGGCCCCCAGCTCGGGATCACACGGCTGAGGGGAGGAATGGGGCGGGGCCTCTCATCTGGGGTGGGGCCCTGTGGGCCGCGCAGACGCCTCCAGCACACACAAGAGGCAGGAACCTCGGATCCTGGAGCTGGGGGTGCTGGAGGGGCACGGGGGTCCCAGCTCTGACCCAGGCTCTCGGCCCTGTCTCCTCCAGCCTCCGGTCACTGTGTCCAGCCCACCCTTCCCAGTTCCTGTCTACACCCGGCAGGCACCAAAGCAGGTGAGCAGTGGTGATTGGGCGGCCAAGCCTTCTGAGGGTGTCCAGGCCTTCCTGATGGGATTGGGGTCTGTGCACTGCACCGGGGGCCAGGGATCCCCAGGTGGCCCCTGCTGTACACAGAAGGCTGGTTAGCCCGACCTCGTGAGGACATCAGACAGAAAGGCAGGTCAGCGAGGCCACAGGAAGGCAGGAGCTCAGTCCTGCCCTGCGTTGGAGCTGGTTTGGGGGTCCTGGCTCCTTCTCCTTCCACTCAGACCTGCTCCGCCCACCAAGCCCCTCCCAGAGCTGAAGCTCTGGCAGAGAAGAGGACTCCCTGGGGCCCTGCAGGACAGATGGGTGGGTGGGCTCAGGGCAGGGACACGTTCCGCGCTTCCCTTGGGTTTGGGGGCTTTGGGGGTTTTGGAAAGATCTCTCAAAACCCGAATCACTGGAGCCCTGGCATGCTGAGGGTTAACTCCCAGGCCTCCGTGTCCCCCCAGGGTTGGGGTCCTGTCCCTGCGCCCTGGCTCCCACCTCTGGGCTAACCTTGGAGCCCTTTTTGGACCCCGTGGGGGCAGCTCATTGGCCTCAGCCCTGGGAAACCGCTCTGGCAGTGGGTGGAGAAGGACCCTTGAGCTCCCTTCCTGGGGCCACTGACTCAGCTAGGGCAGCAGAAAGGGCCAGGCTTTCTCTCTGGGGCCTGGCACGGGGCCCCAGTGGTACCATCGAGGTCCACTTGGCATTGCGGGACATTGTGAGCAGCCTCTGTCCTCAGAGAGGGCAGGACGGTGGCGGGCAGGCTGGGGCTGGGGAGGTGCCTGTGTGAAGAGGTCCCACGGTGCATCTCCGGGGACCCCCTCCACAGAGGTTCGTGGTCAGCCCTAGGACTGGGCTGTGCATGGAAGACCTGGGGCAGGAGAGCCCCTGCCCTCTGGGTTGAGGCTTTTTTTTTGTTAACATTTAATTTTGAACAAATTTTAGACTTACAGAAAAGTTGCAAAAATAGCCTAGAGAATCCTGCATGCCCTTCGCCTGGCCTGCTCCCGAATGGCCACAGTGTGGGCGCGCAGCCGAGGCTCCACGTCACCAATGCGACCCAGTCAGTACCGCCTGCTCCCTCTGGACGCCCTTCTCCAGCCATGGTCCCCCCAGGCACTCAGCCCCCGGCCCCTCTGCCTTTCCTCAGCTTGCCCTTTGGAAGTGTGGCCAGCAGTGTTTTCAGAGTCCCTCAGCCTGGGTTTGTCCCGTCTTTCCTTGTGTGGATGAGGGCCCTGCACTGTTGGCGGGGGCAGCACTGGACACACCCTTCCCCAGGCACAGCCCAGGCCTGGCCCACATGCAGCTTCGGTCACGGGGGATGTTGACACAGCGCCTAGTTGGAGCAGCGTCCACAGATTTTTCCTTAGAAAGCTCCTGTCTTCTTTTTATAGTGAGCAGATGCCTCAGGGAGATACCTTGAGACTCTTTGAACCTTAAGCTTGGACCCACTAGTTTTGGCATCCATTGGTGAATATTGGCTGCAATAGTTGTTCTGTGCTGTTTGCCTAATAGTGATTTTCTCTCTTTTTTTTTTTTGAGATGGAGTCTCGTTCTGTCGCCCAGGCTGGAGTGCAGTGGCGCGATCTCAGCTCACTGCAATCTCCGCCTCTCAGGTTCATGCCATTCTCCTGCCTCAGCCTCCCAATGTATCTGAGACTACAGGTGCCCGCGACCATGCCTGGCTAAATTTTTGTATTTTTTTTTTCAGTAGAGACGGGGTTTCACTGTGTTAGCCAAGATGGTCTTGATCTCTTGACCTCGTAATCTGCCTGCCTTGGCCTCCCAAAGTGCTGGGATTACAGACGTGAGCCACCATGCCCGGCCCTAATAGTGATTTTCTATTTCTCTCTTTCCTTTTTAACTTTTTATTTGAACTAACTTCAGACTTGTACGTGAGTTGCAGAAATAGTCCTAGAAGGGGTCTGGACAGGCAAAATGGGGGCCTGAAGGGGGCAGAGAGATTTCTGGCCAAGGAAGTTATGGTTACCAGGCATAGCAGTATATGGGGCAGAGGCTGCAGCAGGAGCCGGGCGTGGTGGTAGATGGGGCAGAGGCTGCAGCAGGAGCCGGGCGTGGCGGTAGATGGGGCAGAGGCTGCAGCAGGAGCTGGGCGTGGAGGTAGATGGGGCAGAGGCTGCAGCAGGAGCTGGGCGTGGAGGTAGATGGGGCAGAGGCTGCAGCAGGAGCTGGGCATGGAGGTAGATGGGGCAGAGGCTGCAGCAGGAACAGGCGTGGAGGTAGATGGGGCAGAGGCTGCAGCAGGAGCTGGGCGTGGAGGTAGATGGGGCAGAGGCTGCAGCAGGAGCCGGGCGTGGAGGTAGATGGGGCAGAGGCTGCAGCAGGAACAGGCGTGGAGGTAGATGGGGCAGAGGCTGCAGCAGGAGCTGCGCGTGGAGGTAGATGGGGCAGAGGCTGCAGCAGGAGCTGGGCATGGAGGTAGATGGGGCAGAGGCTGCAGCAGGAACAGGCGTGGAGGTAGATGGGGCAGAGGCTGCAGCAGGAGCCGGGCGTGGAGGTAGGTGGGGCAGAGGCTGCAGCAGGAACCAGGCATGGAGGTAGATGCGGCAGAGGCTGCAGCAAGAGCCGGGCGTGGAGGTAGATGGGGCAGAGGCTGCAGCAGGAACAGGCGTGGCAGTAGATGGGGCTGAGGCTGCAGCAGGAACAGGCGTGGCAGTAGATGGGGCAGAGGCTGCAGCAGAACTGTGCAGGAGGGAAGTCACTCACTCTTCACTCTCACGGGCTTCCCCTGGCTGCTCAGTAGGGTCCTTTGGAAGCTGCTGAAAACTGCAAATGCTTAGCCCACCCAGGCTCCGTGTGACACAGCCAGGAGTGAGCTCCACAGCTCTGTGTGGTGGACATCCAGCCTCCCTACCCTGGGAAAGCTGAAATGCAAAGAAACACGTGTTTTAGTAGCTAATTATTGGCCTTTGAGCTTCCAAAACCCCACATTCCGGCAATCTGTAGAGCTCTTCAGGCCAGGCGCATTGGCTCATGCCTGTAATCCCAGCACTTTGGGAGGCTGGGGCGGGAGGATCACTTGAGCCCAGGAGTTCAAGACCAGCCTGGGCAACATAGGGAGACCCCGTCTCTACAAAAAATAAAAAATTAGCTGGGTATGGTGGCTTGTGCCTGTCGTCCCAGCTACTCAGGAGGCTGAGGCGGGAGGATCGCTTGAACCCAGGAAGAGGAAGCTGCAGTGAGCCAACATCACGCCACTGCACTCCAGTCTGGGTGACAGAGGGAGACCCTGACTCAAAAAAAAAAAAAAAAAAAAAGGAAAGGAAAAAAGCTCTTGGAGGGTAATATGGGGGTTGGTTAGGGGATGTGGATGGTGTACTGGGCAGGTGGGCCCAGGATGGCGTTCTGCCACTGATGGGCTTTATTCCTGGGCAGTGGCAGCCAGGAGGGCTTTTCTGTAGCGAGCTCAGTGGGGGCGGAGCCTGCAGGCTCCCTGGGGGGCAGAGCGAGGTCTGTGGGGAGCTTCGTTCCAGGTCCAGAGAAGGTGATGTCCAGGCTAGAGCCGGGAGTGCCTGGGGGACCCATGTCAGCTGTGTCTGTTTCCTCCCAGGTCATCAAGCCAACGTTCGCACCCCCAGTGCCCCCAGTCAAACCCGGGGCTGGTGCGGCCAACCCTGGTCCAGCTGAGGTGAGGCCCCAGCACACACCAGGCAGAGTCCACTGTGCAATGGACGGCACGGCCTCCCCACGGGGCTGACGGTGGCACTGCCCTGGAGGGTGGGGTTTTTTTCTGATTATCTGTGGATAAACTTGGGTGACTGAAAGAAAAGGGAAAGGCATTGGCAGTGGCTGTACTGTGGTATCTGTGCTGTGATCAGGGGACTTCTCAGCAGATGCCGACCCCGGCTGTCAGTGGTGCCTGACCTTCCCCCAGCAACTGCAGGGAAGAAAGTCTGTCCTCTGTGAGCTGTATATATTGTGACTGCCACACCTGCCATTGTGTGCATGGGCCATGTTGTTGGTGGATGAACCAAGAATCCACATTTTAAGAGATGTTAAAGGACGTAAAATTTCGTTGTACCCTTTATATACCTTTTATAGCAGGTAGTTTTTCAACATCAATTATCTTTTCCTCCTCCCAGGGTGCTGTTGGCCCAAAGGTTGCCCTGAAGCCCCCCATCCAGAGGAAGCAAGGAGCCGGAGCTCCCACAGCACCCTAGGGGGGCACCTGCGCCTGTGTGGAAATTTGGAGAAGTTGCGGCAGAGAAGCCATGCGTTCCAGCATTCCACGGTCCAGCTAGTGCCGCTCAGCCCTAGACCCTGACTTTGCAGGCTCAGCTGCTGTTCTAACCTCAGGAATGCATCTACCTGAGAGGCTCCTGCTGTCCACGCCCTCAGCCAATTCCTTCTCCCCGCCTTGGCCACGTGTAGCCCCAGCTGTCTGCAGGCACCAGGCTGGGATGAGCTGTGTGCTTGCGGGTGCGTGTGTGTGTACGTGTCTCCAGGTGGCCGCTGGTCTCCCGCTGTGTTCAGGAGGCCACATATACAGCCCCTCCCAGCCACACCTGCCCCTGCTCTGGGGCCTGCTGAGCCGGCTGCCCTGGGCACCCGGTTCCAGGCAGCACAGACGTGGGGCATCCCCAGAAAGACTCCATCCCAGGACCAGGTTCCCCTGCGTGCTCTTCGAGAGGGTGTCAGTGAGCAGACTGCACCCCAAGCTCCCGACTCCAGGTCCCCTGATCTTGGGGCCTGTTTCCCATGGGATTCAAGAGGGACAGCCCCAGCTTTGTGTGTGTTTAAGCTTAGGAATCGCCTTTATGGAAAGGGCTATGTGGGAGAGTCAGCTATCTTGTCTGGTTTTCTTGAGACCTCAGATGTGTGTTCAGCAGGGCTGAAAGCTTTTATTCTTTAATAATGAGAAATGTATATTTTACTAATAAATTATTGACCGAGTTCTGTAGATTCTTGTTAGATCAGCGGGGAAGGATGGAGGGCTTCAGTTCACGAGATACAAGGGTCGGCGCTTGGTAAAATGCAGACTGCGAATAGATGAGGTCAAGCCACCTTCTTTTCTCCCTGGATTTCTCAGGCCCTCCCCAGCGTAACTAAGCAGTCCCGCCCCTCCCGCGGGCAGACGATCCGATCCAGGAACCCACGCCCAAGAAGACTTCGCCGCGATGCACGGAGGAGCCCGCGCTACCCCTGCCCCGCCCCGTCTCCGGGCAATGGCCCGGCCCCGCCCCCGCCCCGTCTCCCGGCAACGGCCCCGCCCGCGCCCCGCCCATTCCGTCTCGTCTCCCGGCAACGGCCCCGCCCGCGCCCCGCCCATTCCGTCTCGTCTCCCGGCAACGGCCCCCGCCCGCGCCCCGCCCATTCCGTCTCGTCTCCTGGCAACGGCCCCGCCTCTTCCGGCCCCATGCCCTTGTCCGGGCCACTGCCCCGCACCCCCCCCGCCATGCTGGGCTCGACCCCGGCCCCGCGCGGCCTCCACGCCTGGCTGGACGCGCTCCCGCTCAGCCACCCACGCGCCGCCTGGCCCGGGACCTCAGCTATGGCGGTGGGCGCGCGTCCGCGAAGTCGTGGAGTCCGAGGGGCCCCCGCGGCAGGGGCCTGCGCCCTCGGCCCAGGAGAAGCGGCGAATGGCCCGCGGCGCCCCTCCCGGTTGCTCGCTGACCCCCCCGCCCAAGAGTCTGGGGCTGCGAACCCCGCTTCGCCTTTGCTGCATCCGACTCAGCCTTTCAGATCTGTAGGATCCGGGACTCCAGTGTCCGACTACAGGGCGGGGCTCACGGCCCACACGCGCCGCAGTACCCCGCCCGATGCGCACGTTCCCTCTGGGCACCCCCTGGGAGCGTCCCCGTGGTGCCAGGCTGGCGCGCTGGCCTCTGAGGAGGTGGCTTCTGCTCTAGGCACCTGAGCAGCAAGTCTGAGTGGGCGCCCACGGGGCGGAGGCTGTTAGACGCATCTGGTGCTGCACCGAGGAGGCCTGACGTCCCCTGTGGCCAAGCCCCCACACCCATGGGTGCTGCCTCCGGGTGGCTCCTCCGAGGCAGAGCCCTGAGCTGATAGCGCCCATTCGTCTCGCAGGCCTGCCACGCCCCCAGCTCCCTTCAGCACGAAGAATGAGAGCGTTCTGGAGGGGACAGGCCACTGCACTTGCAGAGGGTGGGTTCCTGTCTCTCAAGCCCATACCTCCCTTCCTCCCGATCTCCCCAGCCTCCGCCGCCCACCCCATTTCCTCGACAGTTGGATTCAAGGCTGGTGTCTACCTTGTAGTGGGGACCCAGCCGCCGGGCGCCAGAGCACCCAGACCCCGGAGTCCAGCAGCTACTGGAGGACAAGGAGCAGGCGCTGTCCTTTCCGCAGGAGACAGTCAGGGTGCAGGCGACCTGGCACCCTTGTTGCCGGGACACCCTGTGGCTGAAGGACTGGGAAACAGGGCCTGTGCGGAGCCTTGCAGAGAGGGCATGGCCTTCATTTTCTCCAGCCCTCCCCAAAATGCAGACATTTGCTGAGTACCTGTGGGCACCAGCTCTTATCACCTGGCGGTGCTGGCTGGCAAGTCTGCCTGGCTGCCCTCCAGCCAGAGCCGAGCCCCTTCTCCCATCCCCAAATGCACAGAAGACAGCCAGAGAGCCAGGGTCCTGGGCAGCACCTGCCCAGCCCAAGACTCCACATGAGCACTTAGATATGCAGTGCACACCTGGCTCTCTGCACACACCTGGTTCTCAACAGACACCTGGCTCTCCATGCACACCTGCTCTCAGTGCACACGCGGCTCTGCAGTGTACACCTGACTCTCTGCACACCTGACTCAGTGCACACCCGGCTCTGCAGCGCACACCTGACTCTCTCTGCACACCTGGTTCTCAGTGCACACCCGGCTCTGCAGCGCACACCTGACTCTCTCTGCACACCTGGTTCTCAGTGCACACCCGGCTCTGCAGCGCACACCTGACTCTGCACACTTGGTTCTCAGTGCACACCTGGCTCTCTCTGCAGACCTGATTCTCCGTGCACACCTGGTTCTCAGTGCACACCTGGCTCTCTCTGCAGACCTGATTCTCCGTGCACACCTGGCTCTCTCTGCACACCTGGTTCTCAGCGCACACCTGCTCTCAGTGCACACGCGGCTCTGCAGTGTACACCTGGCTCTCCGTGCACACCTGGTTCTCAGCGCATACCCAGCTCTGTGGTGTAAACCAGGCTTGACAGGCTCTGTGGACCCATGCCTGGCTCTGCAGGTGCACACCTGGCTCTTTCACCAGGGGTCTCCAGTTTTCCTGCGTGCAGGAAGCCCCTTGCCATACCTGCCTCCCCCAGCTCCAGCCATCAGGACCCTTAAGGGATGCTGGATGGGAGCCCGGACTCCACACAGACGTTCACTCCAGGCCTGCTGGGCAGTGCACGGCCACATCCGGAAGAATCCCTCTCACCCCAGGCACCTGCCTCGGGCACAGTGGCCACAGGAGAGGCCTGCTGACCGCCTCCTAAACCTTCCTATACTGGAAGCACAGACTCAGCCAGTCTCCAGCAGCAAACAACGTGACCCACTGTGGAAAAGCTGAGCTGCCTCAAAGGACGTTTCCCAGGTGAAGCCCAGGAATGACGGCCACATATGGGCAGAGCTGGGTGGCAAGGGGCAGGCCTGTGCTCAGTAGACTCAGCCGGACCAGGGCCCCCATGTGGACCCAACGCCACTCGCCGGTCATCCCAACAGTGTCTCTCGCTCAGAGACAAACTCCAAAGGCCAGGGGGTCTCTGCTGACTCTTCCAGGGCATCCATCTGACCCCATGCTGTGCAACAACTAAGCCAGGGCCCTCCGTGGAGTCGCCTTAAACTGCAGCTTGAGCTGCTTTCCCTCTGGGTGTCATGATGCAGCTGTGATTCTTGCTGCCACACGTGGATCATGGAGGCCGTGACTGGGAAGCCAGCAGCTTCACTTCCTGCCACCACTCCCTCTCTGCCAGGCTGCGGTCAATCTGAAGCCACAAAATGACGTCACTTTCCTGCTTTCTCCAGAAAACAGCTCATCCAGATCTGGGCACCCGCTCAGGAACCGCGATGTCGACATCATCTCCAAGAGCCCCTTCAACCCCGAGGCCCCTTGGGCACAGCCTGCACACCTGCCCCACACACTCTGTCCTGTGTCCCGGGCCCCTGTCTTGAGGTTCTGCCCTCCCCGGTGCCCCTGGGCCGAGGGCTTAGTCCCCTGCGGGGTCTCAGGAAGGAACTTCAGGGCCACAAACCTCAGGAGGGTTCCAAAGCCGCCTCAGGAGGCAAGGCGAAGGCAGCTGAAAGCAGCCGCTTCCTCCCTGAGCCAGAAGGCAAGGCCCCCTCCCCCTGCACGGCCAGCTGCTGCACCGCCCTGCAGGGGCACTGAGGCACAGCCCTCTCCACCCAGTGTCCCTGCAGTGCATAGGCTGAGAGGGCGGCTTCCCAAAGACTGGCCTGGTCAGGTGTGGTCAGCTACCCGGGGCCGCCTGTTCCCAGAGCCCCTCTCGAAGCCAGGCCAGGGCTGCCTCTAGGAAGGGGCCATTCCCAGGGGAGCAGCCCCTCAGTGCCACAGTGGGCTGGGGAGGGCCACGGCGGGTGCCAGCCCCCAGGGTCCGCCGCTTCCCCGCTGTCAGGGGGACTCGGTCCTGGCTCAGGAGTCCGGGTCATGCTGGGTCATGCACGTGGCAGGCTGCAAGCGGTGCTCCTGGAATCAGGAGACTCAGGTTTTCTGGAGTCACTGCAGTGACCCCTCAGAGACAGGGCTCCCACAGCACAGATTTCAGCAGGTCCTGCAGCTGGGGCTGGGCAGGAAGTGCTGGGGAAGGGCCTGGCCGAGAAGCCCGAGCCAACCCAGGCCTAGGCAGCTTCTGTCAGGAGCTGTGGCAGTGCCAGACCCTGCCCTGCCACCCCGGGTGGTGACAGCACAGGCCACCGCTCAGCTCCAGGTGCCCCCACAGGCTCATGCACACACAAACAGGGCTGCCTGCCACCTGCGAGGAACCTGCTCTCTCCAGGGACTCAGAAACAGGCGCCAGGCCAGAGACACACCACAGCCAGAAAGGCAGGTATCAGGAGCCAGCGGGTGCTTGGTGCCTGGAGGCCACACCCCAGACACCCACAGGCAGGGCCGGCTCACCCGCCGGAAGACAGGCCCAGGAGGCCCTCTGCAGGGTCCCCAGGATGACCAGGGCCCTGGTGGCATGAGGCTGGTGGAGGGTGTTGAAGCCAGGAACCCTCTCGATGGAGTATGGACCCCATCCTGGCTGGAGGAGAGGTTGTCAGGGCGGGGCTGGCCCTTGGGAGGCACCACAACCCCTGTGCAGGGTACCCCAACCGGGGAGAAGCCACCAGGCCACGCTGGAGTGGGAGCCAGGACCTCAGCGCCAGGTCCCCACCGCGTCTGCCGTGCCCACCCCTAGAGGGTGCTGAATCCTGGCCCCTCCCAGCTCTGGGTGTGTGGTGGGGAGGAGCTGCTTCTCTCCGTCCTCACCCGGCCTTGCCCTCGGCCAGCAAAGACCGCAGAGGAGAGTGAGACCCTTGGGAGCTCCCTGGGCTCAGGGGTTCTGAGTGCCTGTGCTGGGACCTTGGACGGCCAAGACACCGCTTGACTTCCACCTTCTGTCCTCTGGCGCCCGCCTGCACCTGGTCCTCTGCCTGCCCACGCGGCCAGCTAGAAAGCGCGCGCCCTCCAGTGGGAAGGAGAGCAAGGAGTAAAACGTCCCGCCAGGGAGTGGGGAGTGTCAGGAAATTAGGAGGAAGTGTCGGGGCTGCGGCTTGCCGGGATGTAGGAGCACAGGCCCTGGGGCAGAGGAGGGGCGGGGGGAGCCGTGAGAGGCCCGGAGGGAGCAGGGGAGGTGGAGAGGAGCTTTCCCCAGTGGAGCTGGCAGGAAGAGTCCCAGGTGCAAGGAGCGCATTTTAGAATTCCAGGACTCGGGAGGAAACCTGCAGGATGAGGGCTCCCCTTGGGGGCGGCCTGCATTTCTCAGCGGGAAGGTGGGTGTGGGTGCCCCTCACATCACCTGGCGTTTATTTTTGCATGTGTGAAATATAACAACAATTTCCTAGGGGAAAACACCCTAGGGTGCACAAAAGTTGTAAAAATGGGAACATATGGTCCGAAACTCACTGCTGAATAATGTGCTGTCATGAAATTTACTTCAAAAACCCCCTCACGGAGTACAATCTTGGGTAGATGAAGGAGAAAAAAAGTAAAAATGAATTTAAAAATCTCTTAAAGCTTCTGTTTTTTGTTTTTTATTTTTGAGACAGATCTGGCTCTGCTGCCCAGGCCGGAGAACAGCTCACTGCAGCTGGAGCCGTTCTCCCACCTCAGCCTCCGGCACGTGCCACCACGCCCAGCTAATTCTTTTCTTTTCCTTTTTTTTTTTTTTTTTTTTTGAGACAGGGGTCTCACTCTGTTGCCCAGACTAGAGTGTAGTGGCACAATCTCAGCTCACTGCAACCTCCACCTCCTGGGTTGAAACGATTCTCCTGCCTCAGCCTCCCAAGTAGCTGAGATTACAGGCGCCCGCCACCACGCCCGGCTAATTTTTGTATTTTAGTAGAGACGGGGTTTCACCATATTGGCCAGGCTGCTCTCAAACTCCTGACCTCAGGTGATCCGCCCGCCTCTACCTCCCAAACTGTTGGGATTACAGGCGTCAGCCACTGCGCCTTGCGTAATTCTTTTCATTTTTTGTAGCAATGGGGGTCTCACTGTGTTGCCCAGGCTGGTCTTGAACTCCTGGGCTCAAGTGATCCTCCTGCCTCTGCTTCCCACAGTGCTGGGATTACAGGTGTGAGCCACTGCGCCTGGCCAGCTTCTTTAGATCAAGCTGTAAATAACTTCAAATAGTAAATTAGTAGAGCAGACACGACTGACTAAAATTATTAGCAATGAAAGCACAAAGGAGTAAGCAGGGGAGGCCACCCTGAGCACGTCTGGACGGCTCGCGTGGGGAGTCCACGCTCAGAGCACCCCACAGGTGTGCAGGAACCGGCATGATCCACAGTGATCGCCTTTGGTGGCAAAACTTATTTCTTTTCTGCAGTACTCACAATTCTCCATCATAACAATGTGTCGTTTTACAAGCAGGAATAAATGAAAACAATGGCTGTTCAAAGCTTGCTGGAGAGAGGCGGCGGCAAAGCTCTGCTGCTCCCCGTGTTTCTGGAATCTGTTGACAATTGTATCTGCGCTTCTCACAGATTCTGAGAAGGACACGTATGTTTAACAAATATATATAACTTCCTCAGAGAGCCACTGAAGGCCAGGTGCGGTGGCTCATGCCTGTAAACCCAGCACTTTGAGAGGCCGAGGTGGGCGGATCACCTGAGCTCAGGAGTTCACGACCAGCCTGGGCAACACAGCCAAATCCCGTCTCTACAAAAAATACAAAACTTGGCCCGGCATGGTGCCCGTAGTCCCCTCTACTTGGGAGGCTGAGGTGGGAGGATCGCTTGGGCCTGGGAGGTGGAGGCTGCAGTGAGTCGAGATTGCACCCCTGTACTCCAGCCTGGGCCACAGAGTGAGACCCTGAAATAAAGAAAAGCTGTGGACGTGGCTGAATCGTGTGCACCGCTGACCCCCAGCATGTGGGCCTCACCCACCATCCACGCGACGCCCTCGCCAGGAAAAACAGAGCCATGTGACCGGGGAGGGTTGATGGGGGTGTCCAGAGGCCAGAGTGCCCTGGCAGGGTGGCCCCCACCCCATCTGTCCCTGGAGGTCTTTGTCTCCTTCTGTGCTGAACTCCACCCTCCAACAGCTCCCCGTGGCTGCCCAAGCAGGGGTGGCGGGGTGTCAAGGAGGGTGGGCGGCGGGACCGCGGGGCAGAGGGGCTGTGCATCCTGGGTAATCCCACCCTCGCCCTGGGTGGCCACCAAGCGGTGCCGGCAGCTGGACCTGGGTGCGGAGTGTGGAGCCGAGTTCACCTGCCTTTTTGTGGCTCCCAGAGGAACACGCAGAGACCCAACTGAGGCCAGCCTAACTGGGGCTGCTGAGGGTCAGCCCCGGCATCGGCTCGGGGCACCAAGGACCCAAGGAGACTGAGCAGGGACTGCAGCCGCTCAGCGGGGGTTGGAGGTGGCAGAGCCCTCCTCAGCCTGGGGGAGCTCAGCCCTGTCCTCAGTGAGAAAGACCCCCAGCCCCTGGCAGCGGACGGCAGTGACCACACAAGGGCTTGAGACCTGGGACTGGGACCTGGGCCGAGTGTGGGGTCCAGACCCAGGTGGTGGAGAAAGGGGTAGGCTCTGCAAGTGTGTGTGTGTGCATGTAGTGTGCTTTGTATGAGTGTGGGGTGTGTGTGTGTAGTACTAAACACATCATGTGACGTGTATATGTGTGTGGTGTGTGTCTACATGTGGTGTGGTGTGTGGGGTATGTATATATGTGGTGTGTACATGTGTGGTGTGTACAGGTGGGATGTGTATATATATGTGGTGTGCACATGTGTGGTGTGTGGGGTGTGTATTTGTGGTGTGTATGTGTGTGGTGTGTAGGTGTGTGGTGTGTGGGGTGTGTATATATATGTGTAGTGTGTACATGTGTGGTGTGTGTGTTGGGTGGCACGTGTGCACATGAGACACGGGGTCCAGCCCGGTGGCCCCAGCTCCTGGCCAGGCAATCCCAGGGGACAAAGGCTCCTGGACAAAATGGCTTTGGCCCCTTCCGCCCGCCGTGGCCTTGGAGGGCAGAGGAAAGTTCTCATGGCCCAGCGAGTGCTCCTGATATGTGGGTGTGCACAGGAGAAGAGAAAGAAAATATCAAGAAGCCGTGATTATCTCCTCTGAGGGAGTCACAGACACGCAGCCTTGAAACGCCAGCCCTGAGCTTAGGGCAGGGCTCTCCCAGGGCCGGGGATTAACTCTTTGCTTCCCTCTCCCTCCGGGGCTGGGGGCTGCCTATGGTGGCTCAGCTGAGCCCCTGGCCCACCAGCCCCTTGAGACCATCCCAGACCCTGCCAGGAGCCAGGCGGTGATCAGCCTCTGGGCACAGGCCCAGCCCTCCATCTCCCCTACAGCCGGCCTGGAGCACAGATTCCAGGGCCTGGCTCCCAAGGGGACATCCCATGGGGTCCCAGAGCCTCAGGAGCCTCAGGGCCCGGTCACTCAGCTGCACTGCCCTCCACACATGATCTGGGGCAGCCCCAGCACGCCTCAGGTCCTCAGTCTGACCTGGATCCCGGGAGCCCCCTGAAGACAGACGAACCGACCTGGGTCCTGGTCACTGCTCCAAGCTCATGCCCTCTCCATAAACTCGGTGTGGGGCCACCAGACGTAGCAAGTAAAAATTCAGGACACACAATTAATTCAAATTTCAGTGAAACAATGAAAACTTACAGTGTGAATGCATCCTAAATATTTCATGGGACATATTTATCCTAAGAAATGGTCCGTGTTCTTCCGAGACGCACATCTGACCCTGGGCCCCGTGTTATTCTGACCAGGGCATCCCAGGGTCAGCCGACCACCGCAGAGCGGGCACCCCCACGGCTCCGCCGCACAGCCCCAAGTTTTATTTCTATTTTATTTATTTTTTGCGGAATAAACAGTCTCAAGTGCACAAGCCCAGGGCTCTGGCAAATGCGTCCAGTGCGTAACTACCTCATCCTCAGGCCACGGAACATTCTACCGGGGGGGCCCTGTCACCCCACGTGGTTTGGCCTGCTCTGGGGAGGCCCGAGACCCTGTGTGTCTGCTTCTTTCTTGTACAGTCATCATGATTTTTTATCCATTTCTGTGTGGATGAAGGAGACTTGGGGACTTGGAGTGGTTCCTGTTTGAAGACCTTCTCCTTCTCCTTCTCCTTCTCTTCTTCTTCTTTTTTTTTTTATATGGAGTTTCACTCTTGTTACCCAGACTGGAGTGCAATGGCGCAATCCCGGCTCACCGCAACCTCTGTCTCCCGGTTTCAAGCGATTCTCCTGCCCCAGCCTCCCGAGTAGCTGGGATTACAGGTGCCCACTACCACGCCTGGCTAATTTTGTATTTTTAGTAGAGACGGGGTTTCTCCATGTTGGTCAGGCTGTCAGGCTGGTCTCGAACTCCCGACCTCAGGTGATCTGCCTGCCTCAGACTCCCAAAGTGCTGGGATTACAGGCGTGAGCCACCATGCCCAGCCTTCTTTTTTTTTTTTTGAGACAGGGCCTCGCTCTGTCACCCAGGCTGGAGTGCCTTGGACCATCACAGCTCACTGCAGCCTCGAACTCCTGGGTCAGATGATCCTCCCGCCTCAGAGTCTCGCATAGTTGGGACCACAGGTGCATCCACCACACACAACTAGTTTATTTTTTAATTTTTTGTAGAGACAAGGTCTCACCATGTTTCCCAGGCTGGTCTCAAACTCCTGGGCTCAATCAATCCTCCTGCCTCAGGCTCCCAAAGTGTTGGGATTACAGGCGTGAGCCACCCACCGCACCCGTCCCAGAATGTTCTTATTGAAGTCTTTCTGGGGACGGATGATTTCATTCCTCTTTGTAAATGCTTAGGAGTGGAATTGCCAGGTCACACGGTGGACACAGGTTTCATTTGTAAGACTCTGTCCATCTCCGAGGGAACTCTATTTCCAGCACCTCCTTTGACAGGTGGGGAAACTGAGTCCAGGAGCGGTCAGCTTTGCTCTAGGCCTCGGCTGCTTCTCTGGGGTAGCCATTGACATCGCCCGGCCTGCAACTCAGGGGTCGGTGGGACCAGCACATAACCTGAGGGAAGTGCTGACTCCCGGGACACTGGACCTATGGGGTGGGGGCTGCAGGGCAGGGTCAGGAGCAGAGTGGGACAGGGTGCAGGGCAGGACAGGGTGCAGAGAGGGATGGGGTACAGGGCAGGACGGGGTGCAGGGCAGGACGGGGTGCAGGGAGAGCTGGGGTGCAGGGAGGGATAGGGTGCAGGGCGGGCCGGGGTGCAGGGTGGGCTGGGGTGCAGGGTGGGGCGGGGTGCAGGGCGGGCTGGGGTGCAGGGAGGGATGGGGTGCAGGGCGGGCCGGGGTGCAGAGCGGGGCACGGTGGGGTGCAGGGTGGGATAGGGCAAGATGAGGTGTGGGGCAGGACGGGCTGCTGGGCAGGGTTGGGCCCAGCCTCAGGGTGTGGCCAGTGTAGACTGAGGTCTCCACATGCGATGCAGGAGGAGCAGGCCACCCTCTTTGGGAACTTCAGCAGGGAGAGTCCACCAAGGGTTAACAGTGGGCTGCCTTTGGCCAGAGACAGCTGCAGGGACACCCCCGCCACCCGCCTCCACCGGGCCCCACAAGGAATGGAATGGAGGGAGTGGAGCCGCCTGAAGGCCACCCGTTATCACCGCCAGCTCCGTGCCAAGCACGTCTGCCAGACCCACAGAGATCCTTTCTGTTTCTGGTGGAGGGAGGGAGGGTGGCCGGTGTGTTTGGTGTGGAGGGGCTGCTATTGGGGTCTGAGGCACCCAGGGAGTGTCTGGACCCACAGCAGGGCCCCTGCCCAGGTGGTCATCCTGACCCCTGCTGATGGGGGAAGGACCAGGACACAGTCCCCGGCTGGTGCTGGCTGGACTGCTGAGGCCTTCTCGGGGTTGGCGGTGCAGCAGGAGGCCCCGGGATGGTGGGAAGGATGCCCGGGTGGGGCTCCTCTGCTTTCAGGCCCTTCCACCCCTACTCTGCAAATCTCCGGCAGGAGGTCCCCAGGATGGGTGGGAGCCAGGCTGTGCGGCCTCCAGTGGGTGAGGTGGGTCCCTGTCCTCCTGCTCACAGGCTGGGTTTCATTCAAAGCACTGGGGAGCCACAGGGAGCTCGGGACGGGGGCAGGTGTGTGGGGTGTGCCTGTCGGGAAGCCTGGGGTCCACCTGCGGGTGGTCCCTCGGCCCTCAGGGGCTGGGGTTTGCTCTGAGTCCCTCCCGTCACCTCACAGAATCCCCTGAGGGGTCTCAGGACCTCCAGGGCTCGTAGCCAGGATGGCCAGGCGACACTGACACCTGGTCCCTCGGCTGCCGCCCCTCTGACCAGTTCCACCCGGCAGCCCGAGCCCAAGACAGCACAAGACAGAGAGACAGAGACAGCGGGGAAGCAGGGAGACAGAGACAGAGAGACACACACAGAGAGACAGAGACAGCAGGGAGGCTCTGGGCTATTCTAGGGCATCGCCCAGTCCCTCACTTGGTTTCCCTAACTTTTTTCTGGATTATAAACCCACACCTGCTGATCAGGAAGACTTTCATCATCCACACGGGTTTAAAGGGGCTTCCAGGGACCGGAGGGTCGGGCTGCGCACAGGTGTGAGGACGGCCACCCTCTGCCCACTGCCTGGCCCACAGCCTTCTGTGGCTCCTTGAGGCCTAGGGGGAAACAGAGGGGGGTCTGGGCCCCCACCCAGTTGTCACCCCAGCTCCCAGGCTCCAGCCGATGGGGCCAGCAGGAAGACGGGCCCTGGGCTCCTCCACCTGCAGAGGCAGCAGAGGGTGGCCGTCCCCACACCTGTGCGCAGCCCGACCCTCCGGTCCCTGGAAGCCCCTTTAAACCCGTGTGGATGATGAAAGTCTTCCTGATCAGCAGGTGTGGGTTTATAATCCAGAAAAAAGTTAGGGAAACCAAGTGAGGGACTGGGCGATGCCCTAGAATAGCCCAGAGCCTCCCTGCTGTCTCTGTCTCTCTGTGTGTGTCTCTCTGTCTCTGTCTCCCTGCTTCCCCGCTGTCTCTGTCTCTCTGTATGTGTCTCTCTGTGTGTGTCTGTCTGTCTCCCTGCTCTTTCTCTCTGTATGTGTCTCTCTGTCTCTGCCTCTCTGTCTCCCCACTGTCTCTGTGTCTCTGTCTCTATCTCCCTACTCTCTGTCTCCCCACTGTCTCTGTCTCTTTGTTTGTCTCTTTGTCTCTGTGTCTTTGTCTCTCGGTCTCTGTCTCCCCACTGTGTCTCTCTATCTCTGTCCGTGTCTCTCTCTCTTTGTCTCTCTGTGTCTGTCTCTCTCTCTGTCTCCCCACTGTCTCTGTCTCTTGGTCTCTGTTTCCCCACTGTCTCTGTCTCTGTCCCTCTATGTCTGTGTCTCTCTCTGTGTCTGCTGATCTCTCTCTCTCTGTCTCTGTCTGTGTCTCTCTCTGTGTCTGCCTCTCTCTCTCTCTCTGACTCTGTCTGTGTCTCTCTCTGTGTCTGTTGGTCTCTCTGTCTCTGTCTCTCTGGCCCTCTGCCTGTCTCCTCCTTCCCTCTTGCAGAACCGAGGTCAGGAGCCCAAGGTCAGGGTTTGCATTATGTGTTTCCCAGAAGCCTCGCCGGGCAGCTGTAAACGGGGAGAAACGGGGAGAAACAACGGGGAGAAACAGGGAGGGCTGATGCTGGGCGGAGGCCCAGGATGGGGGGCTCTGCAGGGGCCTTTTGAGCCCAGGCCCCCGAAGTGTGATGCTGGGGCTCTCTGTGTAGGTTCTAGGTGTCTGGAGGAGTGGGGCCCCTCCCCTGCTAGCCCCCCAAGGACTCTTCCTCGGATCCTCGGACCTCATGGAGGTGGGGGACCATGGGCGTGTGTGAGTGAGGGTAAGCATAAGTGTGTGAATTGTGCATGCGTGTGCGGATGTGAGCGTGCCTGCAGGAGTGAGTGTGGGTGAGCCTGAGTGTGTGAATTGTGCATGCACGTGTGTGTGGATGTGAGCATGCCTGCAGGAGTGTGCGTGAGCCTGAGTGTGAGCATGCGTGTGTCTGAGCTCCACGTTCCCTCCTCCCCCAGAAGGCAACCCTCAGCCTGCCAGCAGGTGGATGGAGCCCAGCAGCCCCCCGTGCCCACTCTGGGCCTCGTTGTGGGGGACCAGCCCTGAGCAGGGCCTGTCCCCAGCCCCATGTCCCCACCAGGAGGGCTTGTGACCGACTGATGTGCTCCCCCCCACCCCTCTGTGGCCATCGCTGGTCGTGACAATCACCTGCTTGGCCTGGCGTGCAGATCAACGGTTTGCACAAGGTGGGGGCAGAGGCTGCTCCCATGGGGGGTCTGCAGAGTGGCCTGGCAGGTGGCTGGGTCATCATCCATCGTCCATCATCCCCATGGTCCCTATGGCTCCTCCTGCCCAGCAGGGCCCACTCGTCCTTCCCCAGACGGGGCTCCTGGCCGCCTCGGGGGCCATCAGGAGGGCGCTGGACAGTCTTGCAGCCCCACCTGGCCCCTCATGCCCCCCACGCCCCTCCCCACTCAGGGGACAGGAGACTCTCGCGTACAACAGTCAAGGCCCGCTGCACCTGGGGGGTGTGTGGGTCCATTGTGTGCGTGTCTGTGTGTGTCTCTGTGTACATCTGTGTCTCTGTGTGTCTACATGTCTGAGTGTGTCTCTGTCTACATGTCTGTGTCTCTGTGTGTGTCTATGTGTGTCTGTGTGTGTCTCTGTGTGTGTCTATGTGAGTCTATATGTGTCTACGTGTGTCTATGGGGGTCTCTGTGTGTCCCTGCCGCATGTGGGTGCTGCGTCGGGTCAGTCCTGAGACTCTGGCCCTACAGATCACAGGTGCTGGGGCCAGGCGCCCGCACGGGCCTGCCTAGCGACGTTGAGTCTCCCCGAGGACATGGTCACTGAAGAGGCCTCTGAGGCCTCAGCCTTGTTCCTTCACCAGCCTCCACTTGCCTACGTCCTGGGGAGAGACCGCTGGCTGGGGTTCAGAAGCCCTGTCCCTGGCCACCTGTGGAAGCCCTGTGCCCTGGCCTCCTCTGGGCCTCTTCCTTGTGTCCTGAGCCTGGGACACAGGGACAGCCCCAGACCTGCAGGAGTTCTGCTGCCTGCCTGGGCCCTTCGGCCGGGGGCTCCCTGGCCCTAGGAGAGGGTGTCTGCCTGCCTGTGTGGTCTCGCTCTGTGTGGGCAGCTGTGGGTCTGGCCAGCTGTCCCTGAGGGGCCCTCTCCCTCCGACCCTGCACTCTTGCCCCCAAGGCTGCAGAGCGTGGCCCCTCTCCACGTGCTCGCGGGCTCTGTGGCCCGGGGAAGGCTCTGGGCCTCACTGGACCAGTGTCCGCCTGATGCCGTGAATCCTCAGGGAGCCCCAGCTGTGGAGGCCGCCCCAGGCCAAGCAGGGCCACCTACCCTGGGGGTGGGGTCTGGTTCCCAGTGGCCAGGACAGTGTTGGACACGCTGGCTGGGGGTTCTGAGAGTCCCTGTGAGCCAGGAGGCTGCGGGTGCAGCCCAAGGTGCTGCTTATTGCTGAGCTGGGCAGGCCCAGGAAGGAGAGTCGGCCCCTTCCCTGGACAAGCGATTCTTGCTCACGTGTGCTTTCCGGGCCCCTGACGCAAGCAGAAGCGCGTGGGGAGATAAGGGTTGGAGGAGGCGGGGGGACAGGCTGGCCCCATCCCAGCTCCCGGGCCAGCAGCCCCCGGCCCACAGCCCTCGCCGCCCGCCCGCCCGGCGGGCCCTGGCTCAGCACTCTTCTCACAGCAGGTCTTTGTGCCCCAATCTGGCAGGTGCGGGGGTGCGACGGGGTCCTTGGCACAGAGCAGCCCTCTGGTTGCATGTGACAGCGGCGGCCAAGGTCTCCCCTGCGCATAAATGTGGAGCTCGCTCGGCAGCAGCAGAACTCCCGGCTCAGAGAGTTCTCCACCGCTCCTCCCAGGCTCACGAGGCTCACGGGCTACCCAGCGCCAGCGGCCCAGGAGGCTGGACCACAGGTAAGACGAGGCCCAAGGCCTGCCTCTGGGAACTCGGCCCTGGCTTGGCTCTGCCCTCCTCACTCCCACAGGATCTCCGTGCCCACCAGGCCTCAGTCCCGACTTCTCCCTGCTGCCCGGCACGGGACCCTCCCCCAGGACAGCCACCTCCCAGTGCTGAAGAGCCGGCCCGCCTCAGAGCCGCCCGCCGTTCCTTTTTCCTATGCATATACTTCTTTGAGGATCTGGCCTAAAGAGGTATAGGGCATGGGAAAACGGGGCGGTCGGGTCCTCCCCAGCGGCACCTGCACCAGTGCACCTGCACCTGCTCCAGCAGCACCTGCCTCCTGACTTGGGACTCCACCTGCTTCCTTTCTCCTCGGCCGGGAGCCCCGGGGCTTTGACCCCCACATCCTTGGGGCAGAAAGGGGCCAAATATTCTAAAACAAGGGAAACGTGGATGTGTGCTTTTGTGTGGGTTCTGGAAGTGTCTGGGGAGGACGTGGTCCAGGCCTCTGCCCTGGGTTGATCTCTGCAGCCCCTGAGCTGGGACCCAGGATGCAGAGAGGAGGGCTGGAGCTGGGCGGTGCTCTGTGACCAGTCTGACCGGAGTTGGGGGTGGACCCATTACAGGAGGTGGCGGGAGGGACAACCTGGGCTCTGGGGCCGCCTGGTGGTCGGGGGAAGTGGGGCGGGGTGCCTGGGATCTGGGCTCTGGCTGGGAGGATCCACAACTCATTCTTTGGACATTTTCTTTGCAGACTACGAAGCTGCACCGTGTGGGGCCCACTTTTTATACAAGCGGGTGGCGGTGGATCCAGGCGCAGACGGGAGTGAGGCGTGGCGGAGACGCGTGCACGCTGGGTCTGTGCACTTTTGCTGCTGCTGCTTTTTTTTTTTTTTTTTTTTTTTGAGATGGAGTCTCGTTCTGTCACCCAGGCTGGAGTGCAGTGGCGCGATCTCGGCTCACTACAACCTCTGTCTCCCGGGTTTAAGCGACTTTCCTGTCTCAGCCTCCCAAGTAGCTGAAACGACAGGCGCCTGCCACCATACCCGGCTAATTTTTTTATTTTTAGTAGAGATAGGGTTTCACCTTGTTAGGCTGGTCTTGAACTCCTGACCTCATGATCCACCTCACTCGGCCTCCCAAAGTGCTGGGATTACAGGCGTGAGCCACAGCGCCCGGCTGGCTGTTGCTTCTTAACACCTTTATTACTTTTGTAATCATGGGTATGAGTTGATTTTCTGGTCAGAAATTTCAGTAGAGCTAATTTCATTTAAATGTGTGAGATGTGGTAAAGTTTTGACAATAAATACAAATTTTGACAAAGCAGCTCTGTCGTGCTGGTCTCCTCTCGTTCACGGTGGTTGGACGTCACATTAGTCACGTGTGGACTTGGGGGAACTTAGTTAAAAATGCATAAACACGGGGGGATGAAACGGCTCCTGGGGCCTCGGTTGGGGGCCTGGGCTGGGCACCGGTCTGGGGCCACCCTTCTGATGACCAGAGCCTGGGACCGGCCGGCAGTGTTGGGAGAGCCCAGAGGGACGGCTTGTGAGGGTGGGGGGCACTGGTCTGTCCTGGGCGGGGGCCCCGCAGCTTCCAGGCCTCCACAATGGCCAGGGTGGGACTGCGGTCTTGACTTCCCACTGAAGAAAAATGGACAGGGGGTCCCTCATCAGCCCTGTTTAAAGAATGACAGTCGGCTGCTGTCTTAAAAGGAGGCCTGAACGGGAGTCGGGGAGGCCCCACCCTTCAGCCAGAGTCCTCGTCAGCCGGCAGGGCCACGCCCAGGTCTTTGAAGGCCACAGCCTTTATCACCAATGAGCCCAGCAAATGGAGCAATGAGCTGGCTGAGAGGCCCCCAGGCCGGTTATCAGGGGCTGCCTCCCCAGGCTGCGCCTCCTCTCCAAGCCTAGCACTAATCTCATCTGATAGTCACCTCCCACCTCCCTCACAGCCCGCAGCTGGGGTGTCCGAGGGGAAAGATCAGGCAGCAGGCAGAGGGGTGGGGTGCTTCCGGCCGGGGGGCCGCAGGCCACATGTGGAAGGGCAGCCACGCCCCCCACCCCAACGAGCTCGGCTGCTCCCCCTGCCCCCTAGGGAACGGTGGAGGTCGGCCCTGCTGGGGAGTCTCTTGCAGGCCTTCGAGTCACTCTCCACAGGACACCTGAACATAGGGCTTTAAAGCTGCACAGATAAAGCAGGTATTACCTCGCTGTGCTGTGCGGACATGCAGCAGCAGCTGTTACTCCAGACAGTGTCGGCAGAATGGGGATGCAGGCACGGCTGGATCCAGGGAGCCAAAGGCTCTGCCTCACTCTGCGCTCGTACCCCGCCTGGCTCCGTCCCTCCGCCTCACTCTGCGCTCGTACCCTGCCCAGCTCTGTCCCTGCAAGGCTGCGGTGTAATTAACAGCACCTGCTGGGCTGTGAAAGGAGAGGCCCCACTCTCCAGTATGGTGCCCATTTCCCCAGAAGAGCTGTGGTTCTGAGGGCTATGCCCTCCCTGGGATCTGGGCTGGGTGAGCTGGGCCGTGTGCCCTCACCTGTACTGCAGGGTGGGCGGCTTGCTGGGCAGGGAGAGGGATGAATTCCCCCAGGAAGATGGGCAGGGCTCCTGCCAAGACCCCACCAAGGTGGCTGTCCAGGCTTGCCAAGACATGCCCACGTATCAGGTCCAGCCACTGAGACCCTGCTGAGGGCATTGGAAGGAGCACAGGGGCCAGGACGGGGCTGGAAGGCGTCCCAGAAACGGAGGCCTCCTGGCCACAGCCCCCCGGTCCTGAGGCCGTTGTCCTGTGAATGGTAGGTGGGGGCTGAGGGGCACCATGGGGGAGTGGCTCACTGTGGCTTCTGTGGACAGCCAGGCTGGGAATGAGGGTCCTCCTGGCCTGGGAACAAGAGGAAGCCCTCTGAGACCCTGCCTTGGGGAGTACTCAGGAGCCCCAGGAGTCCCCTGAGAAGCTGACCGCCACTCTGGGGCATGAACGGAACCTTTCTGAGGTGGGGGTGGCAGAGCCTCCCAGCCAGGCTGCAGAGGCAATGGGGGGAGGGCCAGCGCTTCTGGTACTTACCTTTTTTTTTTTTTTTTTGAGTTGGTGTCTTGCTCTGTTGCACAGGCTGGAATGCACTGGCACGATCTTGGCCCACTGCACCCTCCGCCTCCCAGGTTCACGTCATTCTCCTGCTTCAGCCTCCAGAGTAGCTGGGACTACAGGTGCCCGCCACCGTGCCCGGCTAATTTTTGTATTTTTAGTAGAGATGGTTTTCACCATCTTGGCCAGGCTGGTCTCGAACTCCTTACCTCATGATCTACCTGACTCGGCCTCCCAAAGTGCTGGGATTAAAGGTGTGAGCCACCGCGCCCGGCCCAGGTGATTTTTCTTTGACTGGGGGCTGTGCAGGGCCCCACCAAACACCCCTAAAGGAGGCCAAGGCCTGCTTTTGTTCAGTGAGCCCACTTTGCTCCAGAGGTCCTGGCGTGGCCTAGGAGGCCCTGAGCACTCTGCCACTTCCTCACGGCCTGGAAGCCGACAAGTCTGGGCTCAGAATGGGAGTGAGTGCTGGGCCTCGGAAGAGACGCTGGGGCCGGCTAGGGGCCGAGTCCAAGCAGCCTCTTCCCTGCAGTTTCCTGGATAGTCTCAGGTGCAGAATTGAAAAGAGAAGTGCACGAGCCCCGTGGACTCCCCACGGAGAGGGGAGTGGATATTCTGCCATATTTACGTCATGCTATGTCTTGAACCCTTTGAATGTCAGTTTCAGATCTGAGGCCCTGAGCGCTGCCTCTGGAGACAGGGTGTTCTCCACACCCGAGGACACGGACCACTCCCCAGCACCGTCCCGAGCCCCTCGGAATCATCCCCACCAGCTGTGCAGGGCTGTGCTTTCCCACACTTCTTTGTCAGGGCTCATGTGTGCACCTGCGGCTGCGTCTCCCCAGCCTCTGCATCAAGGGCACCCCGCCCTCTCTCACAGAGGCTTCTGCAGGAGCCCAGCTGATCACCCTGGGAGCCCCCGAGGGCACCCCACCTTCTCTCACAGAGGCTTCTGCAGGAGCCCAGCTGGGCGCCCTGGGAGCCCCCGAGGGTTCCTGTCCACTGGAAGTTAGATGTGCAGGTTCCCAGAGATTCTTGGCAGGACTATTTCATAGCGACTGCACCTCCCACCTGATCCCGTGGGGAAGGAGCCGGCATAGCCCTCGGCCCCATGCAGCTGGGCAGCTCAGAGGGAAAGGAGGGTGAGCAGGAAGCCCGGCGGCATCGCAGGCCCAGGGCCCATCGGCAGCCTGAGTCCCCGGCGTCCACACCCGGCCCCACAGCCTCCCTGCCCTGACAGCCACTCCGGTTACAGAGAGGACAAGGCAGAGTTGACAGAGTGTGTCCGGGGCTTGGGAGAGACACACAACATATGCAGAGTACACACGTTCACTACACACGACCCACACACAGCACACACGCTCACTACACACCCACACAGCACACACGTTCACTACACACACAGCACAGACATGACACACACGTGGTGCACACAACACATACACAGCACACACATTACACATGCACACAGGACATGCACACGACACACACGGCACAGCACACATTACACATGCACAGCATACAAGATACAGTAACATGCGTGCATACACTACACATGCACAAACACATATACACCCCACATCCAGAGCACAACACGGAATTCTCACATCCATGACATGTACGCACTCACACCACACACATCACACGTGACACACCCACTCACACGCCACGTGCAGCACGGGTGACACACCCACACGTGACTCAGCTTCGGCAGGAATCACCGTGGAGCTCAGGAGTTCTGGCATCTAAAGACTGTTGTTTCCGGATGCATCTTGGCTGGACCCCAAGACTTTCTGTCTCGCAGAGAGCTGGACCCTGAGGGGCCCTGTCCTACGCCCTGACCCCTGCCATCCGGCGCGTCCAGGCTGCACCCCTCGTGCCCAGCTGTGCTGAGACCTCCTCACAGCTGCAGCTTCTGACCGCCTTCCTCTGCCCGGGATGTGTAGGTGTCTCTGCCCCGCCGCCCTGCGCCCCCAGTCAGGTCAGGACCCCCAGTGCTTGTAAGATGTCCACATGGGGATGTTGAGTGGGGTGGGGCCAAGAGCACCTGGGGCACTGTGCTTGTGGGGGCAGCTGGGGGCATCCAGGAGCAGAGGACTTGCCAAACTCTGGGACTGACGTCCAGCTGTCAGCCAGAGGACCCCAGAAGAGAGTGGGAAACAGGCTGCGGGGATGTGAGGAAGGTCCCCAGGGGAGAGCGGAAACAGGCTGTGGGGATGTGAGGAAGGCCCCCAGGGGAGAGCGGAAACAGGCTGAGGCCAGCGGAGTGGTCACTGCATCCCGGCCAGCTGTGACGCAGCAGGTGGGTGGAGTAGGGCTTGGGGGCATCTTGGTCTTCAAGGTCCACCCAGATACCAGCAGCCCATGAGGCCTGGGCCAACTCACTCTGCAGCCCCGGATGGGGGACAGGGAGAGAAGTTTGGAAGTCGTGGGTGGCAGAGCCTTCCCTGGGCCTGAGGGCCTTGTGGATCCCCCAGAACTCAGGGTCTAGGTCCCTGCTGGACACTTGGAGCCCGCCCCACTCCTCAGCCTCCGGGACTTTGCCCTTTTCCAGAGCTCCTCATCTGCAGGATGGAGCCAGGGCCCTAAGGAGGCCCAGGTGTGCCTCCGAACAGGCACAGCTCAGCCCCAAGGGGCTGCCCACCTTGTAGGGCCCAGTGTGCTGGCAGGACCTCGAGACACCACCAGGCCAGGGCCCTTACTCACCGGGAGAGTTCAGGACCAAGACGGTGTGGTTTGTGGCCTGGGGCCACACAGGGGACCAGAAAGCAATCTCCACGGGCGGTGAGGGGCACTTGTACTTTTATCACGGACAACGTGCCCCCATCCACATCCACAAATCAGTGCTGTCCAGGCCAAACCCAGTAGTCCCTGTCCAGCTGCTGCCCTCCGAGGGCCTCGCCCAGGCTTCTGTCACATTGTCACTCGCCAGGACGATGTACAGCAGCTGTTCCCCTCTTACCTGACGTTTAAAAGCACATGCCAGTTGTAAACACTTACAACAAGGGAGAAACGAGCAAGGGGAAAGTGAAACTCGCTGGGGACGCAGCCGCAGGACCACGCTTCTGTTCCTGTTGGGGTGCCCGGGTGGGTTTCACAGGTCGCCTCCAGTTCTGCAGGCTGAACCCGTCTGCCTGGGCACCCCGCACTGCCTGCCTCCTGGGCACTCTGGGGCGACATGGAAGGAATTGCACTTGTCTCAGGTTTCATGCACGCAGTCAGGAGTCTGCACCAAGAACGGTCCATCAACGCGGGAGTCCTCCCCGGGAGGGGCTTCCGTGCCTCCCATTCTGGGCACTTCCAGACCTTCTGCAAGAAGTGCTGTCCTTGAGTCATTGTTTTGTCCCGAGGCTGCTGCGAGCAGGGGGACAGGTGAGCACGTGTTGGAGGGTGGGGACCTGCGGGACAGCTTCAGTCCAGGCACAGCCGCAGGTCCCGGCTGCCCTGCTTTCCCTGGCCCAAGAAGAGCAGCCCTCAGCAAGCTGTGGGTACAGTCCCGGCTCACGCACAGCCTAGAGCGCACTGCAGGGCCCCAGCATCCTCGCCTTCATGTTCACCTTTGTTCCCTCCTGCTTTCCAGCTTTGGAGTTCTTGTTAAGAGGGACTTGAACCACAACGCTATAAACACACCTGCATTCCCTGTTTTCTTTTGTACACACAAAGCTTACAACCTTTACTGTTTCCAACTGGAAAACCAGTTTTTCCAACCCCTTTTAAAAAACAAATGATCCTTTTATCGTACGCCGAAAGCCCTACCCATGACAAGCCCACTTCTGCATTTGACTCTGTTCACTGACCCTTCGTTTCCTTCCTAAACCGACTCTTTCGGTAACTTTCAGTGAAGAGGTGGCTTTAATAAATATATTCTCAGGGCCGGGTGCAGTGGCTCATGCCTGTAATCCCAGCACTTTGGGAGGCCGAGGCGGGCGGATCACAGGGTCAGGAGTTTGAGACCAGCCTGGCTAACATGGTGAAACCCCATTTCTACTAAAAATAGAAAAAATTAGCCGGGCGTGGTGGCGGGTGTCTGTAATCCCAGCTACTCGGGAGGCTGAGGCTGGAGAATCGCTTGAACCCAGGAGGCGGAGGTTGCAGTGAGCCGAGATTGCGTCATTGCACTCCAGCCTGGGTGACAGAGCAACACTCCGTCTCAAAAAAAAAAAAAAAAAAAAAAATATATATATATATACACACACATATGTATATATATATTTATATATACGTATATGTGTATTTACATATATACGTACATATATATATTTATATATATTCTCCAGTAATCTCCAGAACCTTTGTGTGGGTCAGGGTGAGAGGTGCCACCAGGATGTAAACAGAACAACTGAGTCCTCCAGGTAGGAGCCAGGTGCGATCAGCAAGACCGCGAGTGTGGGAGTCAGAGGTGCCTCCTCAAAATGCATCCCCCGTCTGTGGCATAGCACACAGGCCCCGGGGCCCCGTGGACAGGGCTGGTCCCAGCGAAGGCCGGCCTGGGGTAGGGGGGTGGGACGCCAGAGGCTGCCCGCAGCAGGAAGCTCCCGCAGATGCCAGGGCCTCTTGTGCCACTTGGCAGAGACCCCAGAAGGAGCCAGGGGGCAGCATCAGAGCCTGGGGCCCGGACAGGGGTGCCCAAGGGCACAGCAGCTGCAGGCCATTGGCAAGGCCAGAAGACGTTGAGTAGAAAGCTGGGGGCGCATGGAGAGACCCCGAGAAGGGGCTGTGCAGCTGGGGGTCCTGCATTTGCCGTTTGTGTTTCATGCGGCGATTCTGAAACCAGGTTTTTATCTGTAGGAAAAGCAAGATCAGAACAGGGGTGAGACTAGGCCACCAGCCCACCCTTGCCCACCCCTGCCCACCCCAGCCTGCCCGGCCCACCTCACCTGGACCTCTGAGAGCTGCATCTCCCTGGCCAGCCTCTTCCGCTCCAGAGGGCTCAGGTACTGGTGGTGCTGGAAGACGCCCTCCAAGGTGCGGACCTGCTCCATGGTGAAGGCTGTGCGGACACGGGGGGCCCGCAAGGTATTTGGCTCCTTACTCAACCCTGACATAGAGGGTAAGGGCATTTGGCTCAACATGCCACCCCATGGGGCAAGCTCGTGCCCACGGGTAACAGGTGAAGACAGCCATGCTGGGGGCTGGGCAGGGCAGATCTTCTCACCTGACAGTGACCAGCAGCACCCCCGCCGCCTCCCAGGTCACATGCGGAAAGGGGGCTCAGAGAGGGGGCTCAAGAGGGGAGGGAATGTTAACAGCAGCTTGGGCCTGCCCTCCGCTCAGTCCACTCAGTTCCGCCCCATCCCACACTTCCCTTCCAGAAGCCGGTTCCCAGGATGCCCTTCCCACAGCCTTCCAGGCCGGTAAGGTAAGAATCCATTATATGCAAAGGCCTGGCGACCCACCCAGGGGCACCCATCCCTGTCCCGGGCTCCGTCTCCTCAGCCAGCGGAGGCCAACTCAGTTAATCCCCAGGCCCACTGTGGTCAAGTCTGTTTCCTAATTTCTAAGTTAAGGAATGGGGGCTGGCACCAAACGGCCCCACGAGGTGGTCTGTGGAGCTGGGTCTGGGTCCCAGGAAAGGCCAACGTGGCCAATCGAGCTCGACATTAAATGCAAGTCTGACCAAAATGCTCGCTGGAGTTTCTGCGGAAGGAAGCGTATTTTACAAAATCTGTCTTAACGTTAGCCTGAAAGCACATGGTAGACCCAAAAAGCAAATGCCTTCTGGCAGGGAGGGCTGTAGGACTGGCATCAGAAAGGGGGTTGCGGGACAGGGATGGCTGGCTTTTTTGGGGTGGGGCAGGATAGCTAGCTGGGGAGAATACATTTAAATTTTCATTTCCCTTAAGTACAAAGTCACTCCATAAGGATCAGTCAAATTTTTAAAAATGAAAACTTGTAGATGATGTCAACCCCACTTTTGACCAAGTACTACCTTAAACCTAAAAGTGGTGATGATGTCACAAAGACTAAAACACAAACGCAGAGAACCTTTGTTCTCAGCAGACAACAGAGCATCTGGGCGGCCACAGAGGGAACTTCAGAGTTTCTGCAGGCATCGGGGTCACCGCCACCCCTGCAGCGAACCTGCAGGCTCTTTAAAGACAGCTGTGCTCCAGGTGACCCGGAATGGGCTTGAGCCTAGACGCTGAGCAGGCACCGGCTGTGCTGGGGGGCGGGGGCGGGGGGCTTGGCAAATCATCGAGACTTTCAGTGAGCGCCCGGAATCAGGGCAGGGAGGTGCGGACGGGGACCCCTTGGACGGTCCCTCGGCACCAGGCCGGGGTGGGGGACGAAGACACAGCTGAGGAACGGGGTGACAAAAGGAGGCAGAGGAGCCCACCGGGGGCTCAAGGAGAGGAAATCCCCGTCAAGGCTTTGGTTCCGAGGGAAGCTGCGCTCCAGTGAGGGCGCCGGCAAGGCCTCCGCCGGCCCTCATGGAAACGCCCCCGGCCCTGACCTAGTGGGCAGGGCACCGCGGGGAGTGCAGCCGCCGGGCTCCTGGCCTCTCCCCCACTCCCATCTCCACCTGGGAAGGAAGGGACCCCCCCCACCCGGACCTACCGGCCATGGTCCTCTCCGGCGCAGGCAGATTTGAGGACCCGGCGGCCTCCTTGATGCTGACGGCCTGAGGGGGCTCCCGGGCGCCGGATGTCTGGCCTGGGCCAGGGAGGCTCCCCAGGGAGAAGTCGGCAGGCCTGGGGGTGTGGGTCGGCCCTGAGCAGCTGCTCTGGGAGAGCCAGTCCACGGAGCCAAAGCTGGAGAGCTGCTGCGGGCCACGAGGTGGGGAGGAGGAGAGGCGCATGGCGGCCAGGTGGGCCGGAGGGAAGGCCAGGCGGGGCTGGCCAGGCGCAGGATCCACCTCGGGCCTCGCCAGGCGGCGGCGTTTATAAGCCCAGGAGGAGGGGGCGGGAGCCCGGTTTGCATACACGGCTAATGCCCAGATAAGCAGCGCCTAATTGCCTTCGATTCAGAGGCACAAAGGAGGCCGTTCACACCTCCCCGGCTCCTCGATGTCTGGGGGAGGGGCGGGGCTGCGGGCCCTGGTTAATGGAGAGGCGATGGTTCGGGATCGGTCACCTCCTTTCATCTCTCCCAACCCCCCACCCCGCGGGCCGAGGCTGCAGGAAGGTAGGAGGGTCCCACTCCCACTTGGGCCTGTCCTGGGAGGTGCCGGGCGACCTCTCCTCTCCAGGGGGACGCTGGCGCCTGTGCCCAGCCCGGACACCCGAGGGCGAGCAGGCTTCAGGCTGGGAGAGTCAGGGCGGACTTAGGTTGGGAGCAGGCTTCGGGGTGGGAGAGTCAGGCCGGTGCCCGCGTGCGCTGCGTCCAGGCTGTGCGGCCGCGCAGGAACCGAGGGAGGCTTTCCCGGGAAAGAGACGCGGAGGACCCGGGGAGCGGCGCGCGGGGGCGGGAATGTCGGGAGGGGCCTCTCGGGGGACTCGGCCGCCTCCAGCCCTAATCCGGCTCCTCTGGGGGACTCACTCCGGGGCCATCGCAGGAGCCTCTGCATTCGGGCGCGGGCGGCTCCCTGACTCCATCCCGAGCTGGAAGGGCCGGAGCCACTGCCTCGCACGGCGGGGTAGGAACTCCGCGTCGGCGGCGGGACTGGTGCGTCCCCGCCAAGCCAGGCTGTCCCCACTGTGGCCAGGGCGCGGGCAGAGCCGCCGGTGACTGTGGCGCCCAAACCTCACGGGGACGCCCTGAGCACGGGCCCCCGGGACGGTCATAGCCACGCGCGGCCGCTGCTCCCACGAACCTGAGTCCCGAGCTGTCTGCGTCTCCGCGTCCCCGGGTCGCCTGCGCGTCGGCGTGGGGCGCGGGGACCGACGTGACCGGGTGGGAGGCAGCCATGCCGAGGGTAGGACGGTGTCTTCCGCGCACTGGCTTGGGGTCCGCACGGCGTCTCCGGCGGCCGGAGTTAGGCGGAGGCGCAGGTCCGGCCCCCGAAGCCATGCGGGGTTTCGGCGCAGACGCGGGGTCCACGGAGCAGCCCCGACTCCCGGCCAGGTCCTGACCGCGGCTGCCTCAGCGCCCACGCCGCCCGCGGAAATCAGAAAGACCGGCGGGCCTCGCCCCACGGTTACGCCCGCCCCAGCCAGCCGAGCCTCCCGGGCTGAGCAAAGAGGTTGGAGCCCGGGAGGCGGGCGCTGGGGCGGGACCTCAGCCGGGAACCGATCGGCGGCCTACCTGGGGTCACAGGAGAGGGGTCGCGGAACGGACCGTGCCGCCGCTGACCCTGGTCTTCCTCGGACCCTGCCGGCCCAGTTAGGTCACTGGGCCCTCAAGGGGGAGGCTGGCGGGGGTGGGGCGCTGGGGGCTTTGGACGTGGCCTCGGGGGTAAAGCCAGGAGGGGTGGGGGGCCAGGAAGCCGGCCTAGACCCCCGCTGCACTTCATCTCCGGAGAGACCGGGTCACCCCCGGTAGAGGGGCTTTGAGCCACTGCACAGGACCGGCAGTGTGTCCCGGCCAGGGGCAGCGAGGGCCCAGATGCCTGTGGCCACAGGGCTGGCCCCGAGGATGCCCCATGGGGCAGGTCCCCAGCACTCCCGCAGTGGGGGCGGTGCCTCAAAGTGGAGCAAGACAGCACACCTCACACATCCCGCAAAAACATACAGAACGTTCGACAGGCAGGGAAAAGGCCCAGAAGCTTCCCTTACATAAAGAGGAACACCACGAGCATGCATTTCCGAAACGCCAGCACCCAGCCTTCCATTTCTCCATTTCTAATTTCCGGGGCCCAGGGCCCCGGTGTCTCAGCCCCCTTCTGTACGTGGTTCAGCACCCCCACCCCCAGCTCTACATAGAGCCCCTCCTGCCGGTTTCCCAGCCCCCCGCCACCACCTCCACCTGAACCGCCCCCTCCGATCCCCCCAAGCCCGAAGACAACCTCACCTTCACACGGCAGGGTCAGGCAGCCCCTCTCTCCTGCCCAGCGGCCCCACCACCGTGGCTCAGGCCTCCCCGCCTCCTGCAGCCCGGGCCCCTCCCTCCACCCTCCCTCTAGAGCCCGCCGAGGCTGCTCTAGCCCAGGCTTGGGGGTCCCCAAAGCCTCCGCCTCCAAGCCTCCGTCCACCCCCGGCTCTGGGACGCGCCCTGATGCGCTGCCATGGGTAGGAGACTTGGGCGCCCCCCTGCCTCCTTCCTCCCAGCCCCTGGGGCAGCCCAGCCCCGTGAATTGCGCCCCGCACGCCCCAGAGCGTGGTCCCCGCGGGCGTCGCCCTGTCCCCCACCCTCGGGGGCCAGGCCGGGTTGCGCTGGGCAGGAAGTCCCGCGTCACTCCCAGGCCGACAGCACCGCCCCCACGCACAGCCCGGAGTCCAGCTAGTCCCCGAAACGCGCTCCCCCCGAGTCCAGGGCCTGAGGACAGACACCGGGCCCAGCGCGTGCTGCCGGCCCCGTCGCGACTCGCCCGAGCCTCCTCCGAGCACTCTGGGACCACCTGAGGGGGAGGCCAGCTACTCAGGAGGCTGAGGCAGGAGAATCTCTTGAACCTGGGAGATGGAGGTTGCAGTGAGCCGAGATCGTGCCCCTGCACTCCAGCCTGGGCGACAGAGTGAGACTCGGCTGAAAAGGCTGCACATTGTATGATTCCATTCATATGGCCCTCTAGAAAAAGCGAAACTATAGGAACAGAAAATAGATCAATGGTTGCCAGGGCTGGGAGTCAGGGAGCAGGTGACTATAAAGGGACACAAAAAAAGTTTCTTGTTGTTATGGAAATGTTCCGTAACTCAATTGTGGTTTTGGTTGCACAACTATATGTATTTTTACAAATTCGTAGAACCGTACACTACAAATGGTGAGTTTTACTGTATGTGAATTACACGTCAATTAACCAGACTTTAAAAAAAGTTTGTAGAGATTCCCCAACCCCTCCCCAACACCCACCCCTGTGGCCTCGGCCTCCCTGACATCCCACGTGCCCCCTTCCCCGACGCCCCACGATCCCCGCTCCCCAACACCTCCACGCCCCCCTCCCCGACACCTCCATGCCCCCCTCACCGACACCCCACGCCCCCTTCCCTGACACCCCCACGCTCCCCTCCCCGACTCCCCCACACTCCCCGCTCCCCGACTCCCCCATGTTCCCCGCTCCCCGACACGTCCACTAGGAAGTGGGGCTGGTCTGGTGCATGGCCGATAAAGAAACGCTAAGCCGGCCAGGTGCGGTAGCTCACGCCTGTAATCCCAGCACTTCGGGAGGCCAAGGTGGTCGGGTCACCTGAGATTGGGAGTTCGAGACCAGCCTGACCAGCATGGTGAAACCCTGTCTCTACTAAAATACAAAATTAGCCAGGCGTGGTGATACATGCCTGTAATCCCAGCTATTCGGGAGGCTGAGACAGGAGAATCGCTTGAATCCAGGAGGCGGAGGTTGTGGTGAGCCAAGATCGCACCATTGCACTCCAGCCTGGGCAACAAGAGCCAGACTCCATCTAAAAAAAAAAAGGTAACGCTAAACCAACTGTGCTCAGACACTGGCCCCATTAAACAGCACACAGGAGGCTAATCCTGCCATGCCTACAGAGCGCCTTACTTATTTTGGAGACAGGCTTTCACTGTTGCCCAGGCCGGAGCGCCTCATGTGATCACAGCTCACTGCAGCCTCGATCTCCAGGGCCCAAGTGATCCTCCTGCCTGAGCCTCCAGTGAAGCTGGGACTGCAGGTGCGTGCCACCATGTCCAGTTAATTTTTGTGTATTTTGTAGAGATGGGATTTTATCATGTTGGCCAGGCTGGTCTCAAACTCCTGAGCTCAAGTAATTCTCCTGCCTCAGCCTCCCAAAGTGCTGGTATTACAGGCATGAGCCACCGCATCTGGCCCCTAGATTGATTTAAACAGCCAAAATACACTCTCTGCACCAGATTAGAAAGCATTAGAGGTCCGGGGCCCATGTATTCAGATTCATTATTCTGATACCGGGCTCAGGAGGATCATAGCACGTGGCCCCTGCCCCACTACCTGAGTAGGAAGGCAGATTAATTCTGCTTGGTGCCCCTAAATTGCTCCAGCCCAGAGATGGGTCCTTCCTCCAGGGCCGAGTGTCCAGTAACCCGAGTGATAGAGCGGCACAGCCCCCACCCTTAGGGTGCTGGTGTGTTTGCTGGGATGTGGCTGTCTGGACCTGGGCTTGCTGTCAGCAGTAACCTTCTGGAGCGACAGGGTCATGTAGGGTGCACCTAAGCTCTGTTTCAGACCCCACTGTGGCCTCAGCCTGTGACTCTGACCTTTGGGGGCTGTGTATGTGAGGGGGAATGTTTGCAAGCTTGGCTCATCCAACAGGCTTTTAGCAGCTTGAAGATTCTCAGGAAACACAGCAGGGTGGAGCTGATGTGAGACGGGGTCTCACCATGTTGCCCATGCTGGTTTGGAATGCCTGAGCTCAAAGTGATCTTTCCGCCCAGGCCTCCCAAAGTGTTGATATTATAGGCGTGAGCCACCTAGCCTGGCCTAGGGTGTCTATTTTTTTTTTTTTTTTTTGAGACGGAGTCTCGCTCTGTCACCCAGGCTGGAGTGCAGTGCACAACCTCCACTTCCCAGGTTCAAGCGATTCTCCTGCCTCCTCCTGCCTCAGCCTCCCGAGTAGCTGGGATTACAGGCTCACGCCACCATGCCTAATTTTTGCATTTTTAGTAGAGATGGGGTTTTACCATGTTGGTTAGGCTGGTCTCAAACTCCTGACCTCGTTTGTGATCTGCCCGCCTCTGGCCTCCCAAAGACCTGGGATTACAGGCGTGAGCCACCGCGTCTGCCTTCAGAGTGTTTTTTTGTTTTTTGAGACAGAGTCTCTGTTGCCCAGGCTGGTGTGCAGTGGCGCAATCTTGGCTCACTGCAACCTCCGCCTCCTGGGTTCAGCACTTCTCCTGCCTCAGCCTCCCGAGTAACTGGGACTACAGGCACCCGCCACCACACCCGGCTAATTTTTGTATTTTTAGTAGAGATGGGGTTTCACCATGTTGCCCAGGCTGGTCTCGAACTCCTGAGCGAGCTCAGGCAATCCACCCACCTCAGCCTCCCAAAGTGTTAGGATTACAGGCGTGAGCCACAGCGTCCGGCGCCTCAGTTTCTTAAATGAGGTGAGGCTTGGAGTCAGTTCTTGCAGGCGTGGTCTCACAGGCCTCCCCCTCAGACCTGGGCAAGCCGTTCATTTCCCCAGGAGCAGCCTTTAGCACTAGCGGGAACTATTCTTCTGGATACCCAGAAAAGCATGTGCAGGAGGGGCTGCAACCATACCACCCACAGGGAACCCCTCAGGACTGCTGGGTGCTGGGCCAGCGGGGACCCCCCCAGCCCCATTTAGCTGCATGGCCCTGGGCAAACCACTTGTCTTTCTGGATGGGCCCACTAATTTGCAGGCATTGTTATGCTAGCGGAACTCCTCCAGGCTACATTTGTATCTCCGGCTCCAGCCAATCCCTCTTCTGACTCAGGGGTCCAGGGTGGGGCCCTCTATTGCTACTTGGAAAATGCTTCCTGGGCAGGTTTGCTTCGGTTTTCTCAAAATTGCAAGGACCCTGCCCTCAGCCTCTGCCCAAGGATCACACCCCAGACGCTCAGCGCCTCCCTAGGCCCACCCAGACCAGAGCCACCTCCCTGGAGACAAAACCAGCATCCTCCCTGGAGCTCTGTGGCTTCTCTTCCCCTTTTGTTTCCCAGGACCTGGGAGAGTTCAGCCGGGTGGTCCAAGGCTGCCCGAGGCCATGGGAGGACCTTCGGAACCCCCCATGCTACTCCTGGGTCAAAGGGGGTTCTCTGCTGGGCAGTGTGGAGGCGACCACTCTAACCCCTACCCCTGCATTGAGTGAAGAGGTGGGGTCAGCCTCAGGTTCTCTCCGGACCCCCAGCGGAGCCCACCCGTTCACTTCGTTTTACTCAGTGGGGCTCCCCGGGAGGGGCAGGGAGAGTCTGGTGTGGCCTTGAGAACCGAGTGTGTGACCAGGACCCGGCAGCAGGCACCACGCCCACCACCCTCGAGCCTGGCCTCCTCGGCCTACATTTGGGTGCGCCCCACGGAGCTCTGTCTACACCTTAGGAGCGAGTGGGAGCCCCTCTCTGTGATGAGAGCGTCGCAACCCTGCCCTGACCTTTGCAGCCCCAGCACTGCAGGGCGCCACTCCCTCCCCGTCTCCAGACCCGCACTCCTACACAGCCCGGACTCTAGGAAAACAATCCTTTTATTGAACATACCCAAGAACGGGGGTGGGAAGGCAGCAGGAGGGGTCAGGGCGGAGGGGCCTCGGCCTGGAGAGGGGAGACTGGCCGCAGCCGGGACTCACTGGCACGGGTCCCTGAGGACCCCTCGCTCGGCGGCCGCGCTGCCCAGAATGAAGCCCACGGCCAGGGACACTGTCTGGTCGAAGGCGCCGCGCAGCTGCTCCACGTGCTGGTTCAAGGTCAGCAGCTGGTCGCGCAGCGGGCCCAGGATGTTCGCGATGTCGCCCAGGTGCCCCAGGGTCTGCAGCAGGGCGGTGTTCAGCGACGGGGGCGCGGCCGGAGGGGGCGCGCAGTCCTCGGGGCGGCCGGGCGGCGAGTCGGGGTCTTCGCGGGCCGGGGGTGGCGGCGGGGACCCGGGGCCGCGGACGGGCGCGCGGTCCTCGGGGATGCAGGTGGCGAGGGCGGTCGGGGCGGGAGCTGGCGGGGAGCCGGGGGCGGGGGAGGCGTCCGCAGACTTCGGTGGGGACGGGCTGAAGCGGAGCGTCCAGGTGGGGTCCGCGTCGCGGTCGCGGGCGGTGGGCAGCGGGGTGGCGTCTGGGAACGCGGAGCAGGCGGTCGGGCGGATTTTCGCGGGGCGCGCCCGCCCCTCCCCCGCAGCCCTCGGCAGCCCCCGGTTCCTCCGCAGTCCTCGGCCCCACCTGGCCCCCCAGTCCCCCGCCTACCTGGTTCGCTGGGAGCCGGCGCGTGCGCGTTGGGGACCGGGCGGCGGGCGCGCTGGGGGCGCCCGGACCCCGGGGAGCGGCGGCGAGGCCGTTTGCGCCCGTTGTCGCCCAGCAGCCCCATGAGCTTCCGGATCTGCTCGTCGAAGGGCCCGGGCGGCTGGCCGTGCGCCTCGCGAAACTTGTCTTTAAGGAACTTGTAGCGGCGGCGGCACTGCGCGGGGGTGCGGCGCACCTGCTGCTGGGCCAGCGCGGCCGACACGCGGCGGTAGGTGGGCAGGGCCTGGCGGCGGTCCAGGAGCAGCGCGCGCCACACGGCCGGTTGCAGCAGCGTCCCCAGCAGCAGCTCCGTCTCCCGGGCGCTCCAGGGCGTGCGCTGCGCCGAGCCCGGGGACACCGGCAACCCGAGTTCCCCCAGCGCGCTGGGCGAGGCGGGCCTCCGGGGCGGGGTCCCCGGGGCGTCTCCGGGTGTCCGCGGCTCGGGGTCGGGGCTGGCGGGCGAGGGCGGCGCGGGGGGCGCGAGCGGGGGCGGCCTGCGGGGCCGGAGCAGCATCCCGGGGCTGGGGCGCGGCGCGCGAGGATGGGGAGAGGGCCAGACGCCGCCCGGGCCGCCCACACGCGTTCTGAGCATCCCGCGCCGCCGTCCCTCCGTCCCAGCCGGGTCTACGCGACCCTCCCACCATCCCCGCCCCGCCCCGCGCGCCCCGCCCCGCCCGCCGGGTCCTAAGGGGTCGGTCCTGGCGCTGCGGCCGGGAAGACGCAGAGCAAAGACTGGCTTCGGTTGGAAACGGAGGGTCCTCAGGAGTTCTGTTCTTAGACCCGTTCAACGGAGGTGCCGCGATGCCTAAGCCCCGGCGGCTCCGCTCGTTTTTAGCCTGTGCCGAGCCTACCCCCGCCCCCGTCGAGGTGTGTGCGGAGCCCCTCCCGCTCCGGAAGGCGCTGGCGCCCCCTTGTCCGGCCCCCAGTGCTGCCCCCGCCCCCGCCGCCCCCGCCCGGGCTCAGCACCTGCACGCGAGGGGTCCGGAGGACCGACCCGGGTCCCAGGGGGAGTCGCCAGGCCAGGGGATGGGTCCGAGGAGAAGCCACGCCAGCCGCGGGAATGGGTGTCGGAATTCACGCGCTCGCAGAAGTAGCTTTTAAAATCTGAACTTCTTCCATCTGCAGCGCGTCTGCAGCCAGCATCCCTGGGAGGAGGAAATTCTCTTCCTATTAAATGCTCTTCCTCCTTGCCGCACGGCGCCGAGTCCTTCTGTCTCCTGGGTCTCCTCTGGGCCGTGGCAGCTTCTCGCGTCCTCGACACGGTTGAGGACGGGCCAGGTGTTTTGTTGAATGTTCCTCGACTTGGGTTTGCCTGGTGTCTTCCTGTGATCCGACTAGGGTGGTGGGTTTTAGGAAGGAAGGCGCAGGGGTGGAGTCTCGCCCCTCCTGTCTTGTGGCTCAGCACCGGTGAGGTCTGCTCCGTGCTGGGGTGCGGACTGTCTGCCACTCTTGCAGTCTTCAGGTATCGCCTTTCCATCCCTGCTCTGGTCACTGGAATCCGGCCCCTCAGCCCATCCCCAACTCATGGGGAGAGTAATTAGGCCCCACCTCCTGGAGGGGTGTCTGTATTTTCTGGGATTCTTCTGTAAGGTTTGTCTCTCTGCCTGTTGATTTATTTACTCAGTCATTTATTTCTACAGTGTGGGCTCGTGTATATTTATTTTATCCTTTAGGTCATAACCCGATGCTGTTATTATTTATTTGTTTTAAAAGTTCTGTTTGTTTTTATTATTTTTTACAAATGGGGTCTCTTTCTGTCACTCAGGCTGGAGTGCAGTGGCCTGATCACAGCTCACTGTAGCCTTGAACTCTTGGGCCCAAGTGATCCTCCAGCCTCAGCTTCCTTGGTAGCTGGGACTACATGTGTGCACCACCACACGCACCTAGTTTTTTTTTTTTTTTTTTACTTTTTGTAGGGACAGGGTCTTGCTATGTTGCCTAGGCTCGTCTTGAACTCCTGGGCTCAAGTGATCCTCCTGCCTGGGCCTCCCAATGTGCTGAGATTACAGGAGTGAGCCCCTGTGCCGGGCTTTTATTTGTATTTTTGCGCATATCGTTCCTGCTTTGGCCATTGAAAGTCTTCTCACCTCCTCCTCTCTTCCTTGTCCTTTTGAAACCCCCTCCCAGCTCCCTGGCAATACAGGATGCTCCTGCCTCATCTGGTCCTTTGCCGACCCTGGTCCTAGAATCAGCTTTTCAGACACTTCTCAAGAAATCTGTGGTTCCTGGCCAGGCACTCATACACGGGGCTCACACCTGTATTCCTAGCACTTTGGGAGGCTGAGGTGGGCAGATCTCCTGAGGCCAGGAGTTTGAGACTGACCTGGGCAATATAGTGAGACCCCCATCTCTGCAAAAAAATAAAAAATAGCCGAGTGTAGTAGCAGGTGCCTGTAGTTCCAGCTACTTGGGAGGCTGAGGCGGGAGGATGTCCTTTTGCTCAGGAGGTTAAGCCTGCAGTGTACCGTGATGACCTGACTGCACTCCTGCCTGGGTGACAGGGCAAGACTCTGTCTTAAAAAGAAAAGGGGGGCGTGCAGGCGTGGTGGCTGTAATCCCAGCACTTTGGGAGGCTGAGGCAGGCGGATCACCTGAGGTCAGGAGTCTGAGACCAGCCTGGCCAACATGGTGAAACCCCATCTCTACTAAAAATACAAAAATTAGCGAGGCGTTGGATGTGCACCTGTAATCCCAGCTTCTAGGGAGGCTGAGGCAGGAGAATTGCTTGAACCTGGGAGGTGGATCTAAAAAAAAAAAAAAGGCTGGGCGCGTGGCTCAAGCCTGTTGACACCCAGCACTTTGGGGGGCCGAGGCGGGCGGATCACGAGGTCAGGAGATTGAGACCATCCTGGCTAACACAGTGAAACCCGTCTCTACTAAAAATACAAAAAATTAGCTGGGTGTCGTGGCATGTGTCTGTAGTCCCAGCTACTCAGGAGGCTGAGGCAGGAGAATCGCTTGAACCCAAGAGGTGGAGGTTGCAGTGAGCCAAGATCGCACCACTGCATTCCAGCCTAGGTGACGGAGTGAGACTCTGTCTCAAAAAAAAAAAAAAGATTTTTAATAACTGAGGGTTGGGGGTGCTGGGGGCATCTGATGGGTGGAGATCAGAGATGATGGTGCACAGGACGCCAGCGCAGACTGTCTAGCCCACAGTGGCACTGCAGTGCACAGCACAGCCTGCCTTGAACCCGTCTGGGACAGAGCCGGGGAGTGGATGGCGGCGTGGGGGACAGAGCCGGGGAGTGGATGGCGGCGTGGGGGACAGAGCCGGGGAGTGGATGGCGGCGTGGGGGACAGAGCCGGGGAGTGGATGGCGCCGAGAAGCGAGGCTCATGAGGTTGCTGGCTGTCAGCTCTCTAAGAGAAAAGTCCTGTGCTCAGCGGAGCTGAATTTATTGGAGCCACTGCAGTGAGGGGTCCGGCCTGCATGGCGTGGGGGCGAGGACGCACACATGACCAGGACCAGGGCCCCCTGTCTCGGGCAGCTCCTGTCCAGCACAATTGGACTCCACCATCTTGTCTTCTCGGCTTCTCCTGGGCCTCCCTCCAGGCGGATAACCGCACCGTTCATCACGGGAACTTCCCGAAAGACCCATCAGCTCTTTTCCCAAAAGCATCCACAGTTTACAACCCCAAAACCATTGGAAGCCCTGGCTGTGAGCCCCTCCCTGAGTGGTGTCCACCAGTCTTACCCTGTGACAACCGTGAGAGTGTCCTTTCCCGGGCCACAAGCCCCACCTGCAGGAGCTCCCCGTCCTGGCCTCCTGCTCCACTGTGGTCAGAGTTACGGCGAGCTTGCACCGTGATGACGGGGGACCCAGCTCTGTCTTGCCCACAGGGCTGCCAGGTGGGAACTGGCTGGGTTGGGCAGAGTTTAGCGCAGATTGACCCAAGAACAGCCGTGGGTCTGTGCAAATAGCCTGTAAGAACTGATGGACAGACGCCCGTCCTGATCTTGGATGAAGACACTGCACATCCAGCATGAGGGACGTCCTTTTTGTCAATGGAGGGCGAGCCTGGATGTGCGCACACAGGAGCGTGGTTACGGGAGTCCGTTCTTTTAGGCTGTTTGCAGTCACAACCAGAAGCAAGTGTTTCCTGCCCCAGCCGGTGCGTTTGCTTGTTCCCACGGCCTGGGAGTGCTGGCGGTAGCTTTCCTCCTGGCGGGGCCTGAGTTGTGACACACGTCTGGCAGGCCCGGGCCTTTCTCTGCGGCATCAGAGGGCGTCGCTGTGGACCGGCAGATTCGTTTTCAGTCCTGGGTTGAGCACATCTCGCACCTGGAGTCCTTGTGAGCACCTGTAAGGGGCCTTCGTGCGGCCATGAAGGAAAACGTGTCGACCTGCAGAGGTCACCGTGGGGACCCGCAGAGTGACCACACAGCAGCAGCTGGTAGAAAGGACTTTATTCAGAAATTGGTGCCAGGACGGGAGGGAGCCATGCGGACAGTCGCGCTGAAGCCTGAGCCCAGTGCTGCCCCGGGGTCAGTCCTGACCGCTGGAATGTTGATTTGCACTGAGCACTGTCTGTTAGATACAAAATCTGAAAATGCGGGCGTGGGTCAGCAAAACATAATCCATATAAAAGCCTAAAAAAAAGTGAACTGCATTTCGTGGCCAGGACGCCGACTTCCTCTCATGTTACATCGAAGCGGGGCCCGGATGTCTCCGGTGAATTTATGTGGGAAAACACATCTTGACATTAAAAATGCAGCGATTTGTCACAGGTCACAGTTTTCCTAGAAATGCCACTAGCTGGCTGCTCTAAAGAATGACTAATTCTAAAACTCAAAAGCACAACCCTGGGTCTTGTGATTGGCACCGTGAGAGCCCCACGGAGCTGGGGCCGTGCCCGGGGCTCTGGTCACCCAGCTGCAGAGGCCAATGTGGAGCTGACTGCGCGGGACTCCCATGGCCCTGGCCAAGGGGCTCCACACCAGCTGCCTGGGGTCCAAGAACCTGAGCAAGGGCAAGGGGCCGTGGAGGCAGCGCACTTCCTGTCTCTGGCGAAGCGTGAGTGTGTGGCGAGCTGTGGAGGCAGGGCTGCGGGCGCACATGCATGGCTGCTGGAGGCGGTGGGCAGTGGCGGTCCCTGGGGCATGAGATGGGTGGGGGCACTCTCAGGGACCCCCGCCACAGAGCCTCTGTCTTGGAGCTGCTCTGAGTGTCCTTTCCAGGAAGCAGGGCCTTTGCCCGGGCATGACCACCTCACCAAGGGCTGTTCTAAGCTGGGGGGCCCTGGGCCCTGGGGGAGCAGGCCCAGCCCAAGGTGCCTGCTCCAGCAGCAGGCCTTGGGCACCTGGGGGTCTGGGCTGGGGAGGAGGGGCACTGGGCAGGGAAGGGGAGAGCGGTTCTGGGTCTGGGTTGTGGGGGGTGAACCCAGGCAGGGTCTCGGACCGGAGGTCTCGGAGTCCCTGGGAGCTGCAGTTGGCCACTCAGAGGTCAGCTTTGGCCCTTCGTTGCTCAGCCAACCCAGGCTGGCTCAGAAACCTGCTCAGGGAGGAGCTACTCTGAAGTTTGTTGAGTTGGCGGTGGAGGCTGTTGCTGTTTTGTGGGGGAGTCACTGAGAGCTGGGTAAGAGCCACTTATCTGTGTGTGAGAGGCGCAGACAGGCACAAAACTCCTGGGAAGCTGTCTTTCATTTTCATTTTTAAATTTAACTTTTTAATTCTAGCAGAAACACGCAAACCTCCAAGACTCTTGTGCCCGTCCTGGCTCCGTCTGCTGGGAGGAGACCAGCTCTGCCTGTCCCCATGGGGTCCCCTGAGCCTCCACCTCCTGGTCCAGCTCCCCAGGGTTCGGGGGCGGAGGGGCCTTGATAACGGCCGGGCCTGAGACGCGGCTCCCACCTCCCAGCCCGCCCCCCACAGTCGGATTCGGATCTGGAATTCCACACCAGGCCCGAGCTCGGCTACTGGAATGTAGCCTTCATCCTCCGTAGCTTGTCCTGAATCTTCCGTGAGTGCTTCTCGCTGGAGACCTGGTGGAAGTTGGCCCTGCTATCTGCGGCGAGTGTGGAAATGTCGGCACCGCTGAAGCGGGCAATCCTCTGCTTGAGGTACGACTGGAGCTTGGGGTCGGGGCTGAAGGTGTAAGGGTTCTCCTGGAACGCGTGCACCTGGCTCACCACCTTTGCGATGTTCCTTCCGTTGAGGAAAGAAGAGACGTTAGTTTGCACAGGGCAGGGGCGCGGCTTCCGTGGGGAGGGAGTCCCCCCGCGTTCTTAGGAATCATTTGGACTAAATCTTTTCACCGTGTAAATTCTGAAGGGTGGGTTGTCTGTATTTATTGGCGAGGTGGAAAGGTCACTACTCAGACCTTTCCGTCTGTCTGACTGTCCATCCATCCACATTTCAGTCCACACACGCTTATGGAAACCCTGCAGGCTCAGGCTCGTCCCTGCTGAGCGTCCCAAGAAGAGTCAAGCCCAGTCTGCCGCAGGGGCTGCAGCTGAGAGGACGAGGCAGGCAAGGGACTCTCTGCTGCCGTGCAGAGCGTTCACATTCACACCTGGGAATCGCCACGGCCGGGGCCCAGGGCCGGAAGCCTGGGACAGCTGGTTGACAGTGACCAGCACACCATAGAATATAATGGAGAAAGCTGGCCAGTCACGAGCAGGAGCCCTCAGCCAGGCCTGGGGACACTGATGCCACAGACAGACGCCCTGTCCTGATTTTGGATGGAAACACCACATGCCCAGTGTGAGGGACAAAGAAAGGGGCGTCCATTACGGCAAAGAAAGGCCAAGCCTGGATGGGCTCTCACACACACACACGCCGGGAAGAGCATGCCTGGATGGGCTCTCTCACACACACACACACACGCCGGGAAGAGCATGCCTGGATGGGCTCACACACACACACACACGCCGGGAAGAGCATGCCTGGATGGGCTCACACACACGCCGGGAAGAGCATGCCTGGATGGGCTCACACACACACATGCCGGGAAGAGCATGCCTGGATGGGCTCTCACACACACACACACGCCGGGAAGAGCATGCCTGGATGGGCTCTCACACACACACACACGCCGGGAAGAGCATGCCTGGATGGGCTCTCACACACACACACACACGCCGGGAAGAGCATGCCTGGATGGGCTCTCACACACACACATGCCGGGAAGAGCATGCCTGGATGGGCTCTCACACACACACAGACACACGCCGGGAAGAGCATGCCTGGATGGGCTCTCACACACACACACACGCCGGGAAGAGCATGCCTGGATGGGCTCTCACACACACGCACACACACGCCGGGAAGAGCATGCCTGGATGGGCTCTCACACACATGCACACACACGCCGGGAAGAGCATGCCTGGATGGGCTCTCACACACACACATGCCGGGAAGAGCATGCCTGGATGGGCTCTCACACACACACATGCCGGGAAGAGCATGCCTGGATGGGCTCTCACAGACACACACACGCCGAGAAGAGCATGCCTGGATGGGCTCTCACACACACACACACACGCCGGGAACAGCATGCCTGGATGGGCTCTCACACACACACACACACACATGCCGAGAAGAGCATGCCTGGATGGGCTCTCACACACACACACACCGGGAAGAGCATGCCTGGATGGGCTCTCACACACACACACGCCGGGAAGAGCATGCCTGGATGGGCTCTCACACACACACACGCCGGGAAGAGCATGCCTGGATGGGCTCTCACACACACACACGCCGGGAAGAGCATGCCTGGATGGGCTCTCACACACACACACGCCGGGAAGAGCATGCCTGGATGGGCTCTCACACACACACACACGCCGGGAAGAGCATGCCTGGATGGGCTCTCACACACACACACACTGGGAAGAGCATGCCTGGATGGGCTCTCACACACACACACGCCGGGAAGAGCATGCCTGGATGGGCTCTCACACACACACACACTGGGAAGAGCATGGCTGGATGGGCTCTCACACACACACACACACGCCGGGAAGAGCATGCCTGGATGGGCTCTCACACACACACACACTGGGAAGAGCATGCCTGGATGGGCTCTCACGCACACGCACACACGCCGGGAAGAGCATGCCTGGATGGGCTCTCATGCACACACACGCCGGGAAGAGCATGCCTGGATGGGCTCTCACACACACACACACACGCCGGGAAGAGCATGCCTGGATGGGCTCTCACACACACACAGACACACGCCGGGAAGAGCATGCCTGGATGGGCTCTCACACACACACACACTGGGAAGAGCATGCCTGGATGGGCTCTCACACACACACACGCCGGGAAGAGCATGCCTGGATGGGCTCACACACACACACACACACCGGGAAGAGCATGCCTGGATGGGCTCTCACACACACACACACACGCCGGGAAGAGCATGCCTGGATGGGCTCTCACACACATGGGGATGCTGAGAAGGGCAGATCTGGAGGCGCTCACATACGCACGTGGACGCTGTGGAGAGCAAGTGCCACTCTTGGCTTGTTTTCTTTCCTGATTGAGCATCACCTTAAGTTTTTTTTTTTTTTTGAGACGGAGTCTCGCTCTATCGCCCAGGCTGGAGTGCGGTGGCGCGATCTCGGCTCACTGGAAGCTCCGCCTCCCGGGTTCACGCCATTCTCCTGCCTCAGCCTCCCGAGTAGCTGGGACTACAGGCGCCCGCCACCGCGCCCGGCTAATTTTTTGTATTTTTAGTAGAGATGGGGTTTCACCATGTTGGCCAGGCTGGTCTTGAACTCCTGACCTCAAGTGATCCGCCCGCCTCGGCCTCCCAGAGTGTTAGAGTTACTGGCGTGAGCCACCGCGCCCGGCCCACCTAGGGTTACAGGCGTGAGTGGCTGCACCCAGCCCGGCCCACCTAGGGTTACAGGCGTGAGTGGCTGCACCCAGCCCGGCCTACCTAGGGTTACAGGCGTGAGTGGCTGCACCCAGCCCTGCCCACCTAGGGTTACAGGCGTGAGTGGCTGCACCCAGCCCGGCCTACCTAGGGTTACAGGCGTGAGCCGCCGCGTCTGGCCTACCTTAAGTTTTTAACTTCTCTTTTGCTGACATGGGTTTTCTGATCTCTTACGATAAGCATACATTTATGGCATATTATAATTATTGTTTTTAAATTGGTGGCTATCTAAGAAGGGGACCTTCACCTATCAGGCTGAGGATCCATGGGCACCTGGTCCGCTGAGCATTGCTCCCCAAGTGAGGCCATCTACCGTGGGGGAGGGTGGAGCCGCCGTGGCCTGGGCAGCCTCCACCTGACCGTGTGTGGACAACGGCAGGCGATGAGATGAGACGGGAGGGTGGGAGATTGTGTCTTGAGGGAGAGAGTGAGGCCGAGCTTGGGGCTGTGGGCACCTGAGGGTCATCGGACACAGGCCTGGGGCTCCAAGGAGAGGCTGGCCCCTGTGCCTTACCAGGTGGAAGAGCCTGTGTGGCCTGGGGTGTGAGCCCTGTGGGTCGTGGTGGTAGGTTTTACAGCCAGCCCCAGTCTGCGCCTCCCAGGTGGTGTGCAAGGTAGTTGGTCCCAGGTGCTGGGCAGGTGGACAGCAGGACCACAGGAACAGGCTGAGGACTGATCCTGGGTCCCACCTGGATGTCTCTAGGGAGAGGGGTTTCAAGGGGAGCAGGGACACTGTGGCACCCAGCGGTCAGGACAGGTTGCTGCCGGGCAGCCTCTGTGCTGCAGAGACCCTCAGGGTGGGGTGGAAAGTGTGCCTGGGTCCCAACACAGGGGTCCCTAGAGACCACGGGGAGTGTTTTGGGACCATGGACAGCAGAAGTGCAGGAAATGCTCCAGATTTGCAGAGAAGGAGGTGGCTGGAGGTTATCTTGGGTAGAGGGAGGTCTGAGGCTGTGAGTGCCAAGTGAGGGGCAAGGTACCCAGGCCTCTGAAAAGCAAGGACAGGAGGAGAGGTGCCACCTGAGCGTGCCCCACCTGGGCATGCGCCCATCTGAGCCCCTCCTCTGCTGGATGCGCGGCCACCTGAGCCCCTCCTGACCTGGGCGCGCGCCCGCCTGAGCCCCTCGTCTCCTGGGCGCGCGGCCGCCTGAGCCCCTCCTCACCTGGGCGCGCGGCCGCCTGAGCCCCTCCTCTCCTGGGCGCGCGCCCGCCTGAGCCCCTCCTCACCTGGGCGCGCGGCCGCCTGAGCCCCTCCTCTCCTGGGCGCGCGCCCGCCTGAGCCCCTCCTCACCTGGGCGCGTGGCCGCCTGAGCCCCTCCTCTCCTGGGCGCGCGCCCGCCTGAGCCCCTCCTCACCTGGGCGCGCGCCCGCCTGAGCCCCTCCTCACCTGGGCGCGCGGCCGCCTGAGCCCCTCCTCACCTGGGCGCGCGGCCGCCTGAGCCCCTCCTCACCTGGGCGCGCGGCCGCCTGAGCCCCTCCTCTCCTGGGCGCGCGCCCGCCTGAGCACCTCCTCACCTGGGCGCGCGGCCGCCTGAGCCCCTCCTCACCTGGGCGCGCGCCCGCCTGAGCCCCTCCTCTCCTGGGCGCGCGCCCGCCTGAGCCCCTCCTCACCTGGGCGCGCGGCCGCCTGAGCCCCTCCTCTCCTGGGCGCGCGCCCGCCTGAGCCCCTCCTCACCTGGGCGCGCGGCCGCCTGAGCCCCTCCTCTCCTGGGCGCGCGGCCGCCTGAGCCCCTCCTCTCCTGGGCGCGCGCCCGCCTGAGCCCCTCCTCTCCTGGGCGCGCGGCCGCCTGAGCCCCTCCTCACCTGAGCTTGCTCCACCTGTGGGCCCCGTTGGTCATGGTGAAGCCGCCTGTCTCCAGCTGCTGGATGTGCATGGCCAGGAGGTGGGCCGAGGGCAGGGTGGGCTGCGCCCGGAAGCGCCGCCCTTCCATCAGACACAGGCTGTCGCTCTTCAGGAAGACCTGGTGGTCCAGCCGGGGCGTGGGCCGGGGAGAGACAGGGCGTGGTCAGTGCAGGAGCCTCAGCCGGGGCCAGCGCAGCCCAACCAGTCCCAGCGGGTCCTGCGTTCTCCACGCACGGGGTCTACCCGGCTCTCTGAATTAGCTTCCAGTCCCGAATGTTCCTGGATGGTTGGACTTGGCTCACACCTGCGGGGTCTTAAGCTTTCACGGCCCTGACAGCCGCTGGGAGGTTTTGTGCCTCCTGCTGCTGAAATGGTGAGTCCCTTTCCTTGCTCTCTGCTGGACTCCAGGAAGTGCCAGGTAACCCAGCTTCCCTAAATGAGACCCCGGCTGACCAGAGCAGGGCCCCGTGTCTGCGTGTCCAGCAAAGACATGCAGGAGCCGTCCCACCCGTGGACAGCTGTGGCTGGGGCTTGAGGCCGAGCTCTGAGACCCAAGACGGGGACAGGCTGTGGCTGCTCTGGGACTCGTCTGAGTCATGTTTGGGGATGGCTGGTCACTTCCAGCAGCAATTCCTTGTTCATCATCTCATGAGGCCACCCCTGCCGTCCTGGAGGAGGTCCAGGTCGGTCAAGCTCAGGCCCCAGCCACAGACCTCAGTGCTGTCCTCTGGGCACCTGTGCTCTGTGTGAGGAACTCAGACCAGCAAGGCCCCGGGACCGAGCAGGTGGGACACCTCTGCCCAGGTGGCAACAGAGGCCCTGCCGGGAGATGACTCCAAGGCCTCCGTGAGGCCACCCTGGCTGGGCCACCTGCACACACTCTGTGGTGCCTGCGTCTGGGTGCGGCAGGCTCTGCACAGCAGTTCGTTTAGGAGAGGGCCTCGGGGGACCAAAGCCGCCCGGCCACGTAAAGTGCTGGTACCTCCACGGCTTTCAGCTCCTCCATGACCTCTGCTATCTTTGCAGGCAGAATTCTCCAGGCCTGAAATGAAAGCACAGGTGAGCCTCCTGCGGCCGTGCGGGTACCCACCCCCGCCTTGGGGCCCGAGGGGGACGCACAGGGGACTGCCTCACGGCCAGGTGCTCCAGCCCGCTCAGGATCTGCATGGCTGTCGCGAAGTTTCTCTGCTCATAGCAAGATTTTGCAATCAGCAAAAATTTGGACAGCAAGTTCACCTGCAGCTGCAATAAGAAAATGACACATTCAGCGTCTTCTGGTTTAAGATGAACAAAGGGAATATTTGAGAACCTGTTAAAATCACCCAGCTCCAAGACACAAGAGCGTGTGCTGCATCACGTGTGTGGAAAGGAAGCGGCTGTGTGGACGCAGGTGAGCGGTGGCCGTGGAGGGGCTGGGCTGGCGGGACGGGGTGGGCATGACTTGAAATAAAACAAAATAAAAGCAAAGCCTGATACGCGGAAAGACTTGAAAAGAAGTCCACCCTCACTTCTCAAAAGCAAGATTGTGCCTGGATGCACCTCCCCAGGCAGCTTCAGGACTGGGAAAGGCGACCCCACCCAGGGAGAGGCCGCTGTCGTGTCCACAGGCAGATGGGGAGCCACAGGCAGCTCCGTGCCCACCCCCCAACCCGCTGCGCCAAGCCCGTGGCAGGAGTGTTTGGGTGCAGTCCGGGGTGGGTGCCTGAGTGCCGCCCCCTCCTCCGGGGCTCTGTGGCTGGCGGTGACGACCTTGCTGGCCTTGGTTGGAACACCCCATGGGTGGTGAATGCCTCACCCAGCAGGATTCCTATTCTGAGCAGTCCCAAAGGGCTGCGTTCCTGGATCCACTTCCAGGGCTTCAGGAAGATTCTGGAGAACTCAGCTGACCCCTCCTGTTGTAGCTGCCTGTCCCTGAGGAATCACCTTGGCCTGGGCCATCCTTTGGTGGAAACCAAGGCTGCAGAGTCCAGCTGGACGCCATGCCCCGGATCGACTCTTTTTTTTTTTTTTTTTGAGATGGAGTCTTGCTCTGTGGCCCAGGCTGGAGTGCAGTGGCGCGATCTCGGCTCGGTGCAGCCTCCACCTCCCGGGTTCAAGTGATTCTCCTGCCTCAGCCTCTCAAAGTGCTGGGATTACAGGCGTGATAATTTTTGTATTTTTAGTGGAGACAGGGTTTCCCCATGTTGGTCAGGCTGGTCTCGAACTCCTGACCTCGTGATCTGCCCGCCTTGGACTCCCAAAGTGCTGGGATTACAGATGTGATAATTTTTGTATTTTTAGTGGAGATGAGGTTTCACCATATTGGCCAGGCAGGTCTCGAACTCCTGACCTCATGATCCACCCGCCTTGGACTCCCAAAGTGCTGGGATCACAGCCGTGATAATTTTTGTATTTTTAGTAGAGATGGGGTTTCACCATGTCAGCCAGGCTGGTCTCGAACTCCTGACCTCATGATCTGCCTGCCTCAGACTCCCAAAGTGCTGGGATCACAGGCGTGATAATTTTTGTATTTTTAGTAGAGATGGGGTTTCACCATGTCAGCCAGGCTGGTCTCGAACTCCTGACCTCGTGATCTGCCCGCCTCGGACTCCCAAAGTGCTGGGATTAGAGGCGTGAGCCACCGCGCCTGCCCCCGGGCTCAACTCTTGTCTGCAGGGCCCCTGTGCAGCTGAAGGCGCCTCATGTGATCCTGGGCTCACCCCGACTGCGGCCCCAGCCCTCTTGCCTGAGCGCCTTGAGAGGAGCTTGAGAAGTGTTTACCGGATACACTTTCTACGCTGACGTCTCAGTCTGTTTCTTCATCGGTTTAAGTAGATGCAAAGTATGTAATTTTGAGATAAAACTATTTCGCCACACTTTTTCACTGTTGTTTTAACCTTTTGATTTTTAATTGTAAAAAGTATGTAATAGAGGATTTACCTTTGTAGCCTTTTCTGAGTGCACGGTTCAGCCGTGTTAACTACATCCACACTGTGCAGCATGTCTGCGACTCTCCATCTTCCCAAACGGAAACTCGGTCCCCGTTCAACACGAGCTCCCCGTGCCCCACTCCCAGCCCCCGGCGCCCACCCTGCTACTTTGTCTCCGTGAATCTTGCGCCTCCAGGCGCCTCGTGTACGTGGAGCCGTCCACTGTCCGTGCTTCGCGACTGGCTCGTTTCCCTGAGCCTGAGTCCCTCGAGGTTCATCGTGCTGCCGCAGGCGTCAGAATTTCCCTCCTGTTAAGGCTGAATAAGTTCTCAAGGTACAAAGAGGCCGCATTTTCTTTATCTGTTCTTCTCTCCGTGGACATTTAGGTGCCTCCACCTCTTGGCTATGGTGTTCCATATTTTTAAACAAATCTAAAGAAACCAAAGCCCTATTCTGCTTTCAAACTCCCCATTTTTATTTTTTATTTTTTTTGAGATAGGGTCTCGCACCGTCGTCTAGGCTGCCGTGGTGCAACCTCAGCTCACTGCAACCGCCACCTCCTGGGCTCCAGTGATCCTCCCGCCTCAGCCTCCTGAGGAGCTGGGACTCCAGGTGTGCGCCACCAGCCTGGACAATTTTTTATATTTTCAGTAGAGACGGGGTTTCGATATGTTGTCCAAGCTGATCCCAACTCCTGGTCTCAAGTGATCTGCCCTCCTCGGCCTCCCAAAGGGCTGGGGTTACAGGCATCAGCCACTGCGACCGGCCTGCGTTTTCTTAAGGTGAGAAATTTTACGCTGTTTCTTCCTGCTTCTGTTTCCACCTTGTCTCCCTCCAGACGTCGTCTAAACGGTGCCACCAAGACATTGTCTGAACGGAACCACCGACCCCCCATTTTCTTCAGGTGAGAAATTTTATGCCGTTTCTTCCTGCCCTTGTGTCTCCACCTCGCCTCACTCCAGGCATCGTCAGAACGGAGCCACTGACCCCCGAGCATTTTTATTGATCACTGCTGCCCTCTGTGCTCGAATTTTGTATTTTAATGATTTTCTGGGGTCCTGAATTTACAAATGTGAAACTCAGTGTCCTGGATTGTTCCGACCTCACAGCCATTGAGACACAATACGTCAGGACATCGTGGCTCTAACACTTGTTAGATGGACGAGCGTGGTGCTTTTAGAAGTGGGTCTCCGGCGAGGTCCGTCCGCTCCCGTGAGGAGGTGAGGGGCCTGTTCTGAGCGATCCGCAGCTCCCTTTTGCTAACGGGGATGTGGCAGCAGTGCCGAGCTCTGTCCCGGCCACGCTGGGTGCCAGCAGCCCTGGGTGTGAGCCTGCACGACTCTTGCCCACCCTGCAGACCTGTACACGGGTGCGTGACCAGGACGAGCGGCCATCCCGGAGACCCTCAGGCAGGGCCGCCGCAGGCTCGAGGTGGGTCTCAGGCTGGGAGGGGCAGTCCTCCACCCGCTGGGGCAGCTCGGGGTGAGGGTGCGCCCAGGACGATGTGGGTTGGCCAGGTGACAGCCACCTGTCCTTGTGCTCATCCTCATGAAGCCTGGCCACACGGGCCGTGCGTGAAGGCTCTGGTTTAGGGAAATCGCATTTTCATGTCCCTCACGATATGGTGAAAACCATGGATCTGAGGAAAGAGGCAACCAGGCTCCCTGTTCCCACGCCCCGTGCTGGCGTGCCCTGGCGACAAATCCCCAAAGTTGGAAAGTTCTCCCCAAGGGAGGAGAGAAGGCGGTGCCTCTGCCTTCGTTTACGGCCCGGGGTTGCCTGCGGGCTTGGAGGGGTGTGAAGGAATAATAGGAAGGGAAGCTCTGTCCACCGTGGAGGTGGCTTTGCCGCCTGGCAGGGAGGTACTGCACCTTGGTGGACTGCGAGCAGCTCCTGGTTCCCCCAGAGCCTTCAGCCCACTCTGGGACAGCAGCAGGGACGGCAGTGATGGGGTTCGTGGCCGGGAGTCCTGTTCCTTGGGCTCAAGTTTGCTTTCAGAGAGCTCCGGCCCAGGAGGGGGTGGGCGTCTACCTGCCTGCTGTGGGGGAAGGGGCCCTGTAATCCTGAGTCTTACTTGGAGCGGGACCTGGTGACCCCAGCCCACGACAGCCAAGCGCCAGCTGAGCTCAGGTGTGAGGAGATCACAGTCCTCTGTAATAGGCTGTCCGTCTGCTGGGTGAAGGCATCCGCTGGGTGAAGGTGCAGACCCCTGGGGCTGGGGGACTCTGGCCTCCTGAGAAGCTGTGGACCCTGATGCCTCCTGGGCAGGTAAGCCCCGTGAAGGATGAGCTGGTCGAGGCAGTGACTCTCTAGGGGCTGCACAGTGCCCTGCCTGACAGCAGGTGGGGCAGGTCAGGGGAGGAGCCCCCAGTCCAGCCCAAGCCCCACAGGACCTAGAAGAGGCTGAGACTGGGCCCCGGCGCTGGAGCTTGACCTTGACCTTGGTCAGACCACGGAGCCGATCCGTTCCACAGACTAAGAACCCACAATGAGCATTCGGCCAGGAGGAGCCCAGGGTGGGACGCTGGGCATCACAAGCCCCAGCCCAGGGGCCAGGCTCAGGCACAGAGGGGATGGGGCCTGGGGTGGAGTGGGGTGTGTGGCGGAGCCCAGTGCTGGGGGTGGTGCGTGAGGGACTCTGTGTGTGGTGAGCACAGGTGGGGGTGGTAGCAGTGGTGGGTGCAGCTTGTCCTGGGTCTCCAGGCGGCCCACAGCCAAGGATCACCCACCACTGAGGGGAGCCATCTCTGGCTGCAGATGTGGACGTGGCTGTGGAAGTGGCCGTGGATGTGGATGTGGCCGTGGATGTGGCAGGCAGTGCTGGGGGAGAGCTGGGAGGGCGGCTGACCCCCCTCCTCCTGATGTAGTGAAGCCTGTGCCCTGCTCCCCTCAGCCTTGGGTCGGGTGTGGTTCCAAGGGACACAGAGTTGGGTTCACTGCATTGGGAGAGGGTTCAGGCCACGGCCTTATAGGAGGCGCTGCCACCCCCGCGTAGGTGGGCCCCACGCCCCGTGTTGGCCTCGGAACTGTAGGGTGCCCACCTTGGAGGTGTGGCTGGTCACAATCTCTGCAGCCACCCAGGTGCTGACGTCATCTGCGTTTCTTAGAAGCTGTAACAGATACTTGTCCTGAACGTAATTGGGCAGAAATAAGCTGCAGGTTTTGGCCGAAAGAGACTCAGAAGAGCTGGCTCTGGAAGAGAAATATGGTCCCTGTCACCCCCAGGACTTGTGCAGTGGCCCTGCCCGGCCCTGGGGCTGCTGGTGCAGGGTGGGCTGGGGTCGGGCCACGAGGCCGCTCCAACTGGCAGACACCACTCTCTCGCGTCTCTGGAGACACAGGCATCTCCTGCTGGTCAGGAGCGTCCACAAGACTCTTACGGGAAGCCCCCGAGACCCTCCACCACCGCTCCCAGCTGAGGGTCCCGGACGCTCACTTGGGGATGGCAGTGCTCTTGTCCATGACGCCCAGGGCCCGTGAGTTCAGGAAGTGGACCGGGTGGCACTTTTGAAACAACTCCTGCCCAGAACATGGAAACAAGAGGTTCAGGCTTCCATCCCTTAGGGCCTTGTGTCCAAGGCAGGGTCCCAGGGAGGGTGGGTGTTTTCTGGGGGGCCAGCTCTGCAATCCCAGGTTCAATACCCATCTAACAGTCCACAGGGGTCGGCTGCAGGGCTCCCCATGTGCTTGGCCCCCAGGGGCTCATGGTGTCCGGGGCAGCCCTCGTGACAGCAGGTGGATCACTAGATTGGCATCACTGCTGTCACCTGCTACATGATGTGGGCTCCCGGGATGGCAGGGACCTGGGAAGAGGCCACCTGAGGGCTGGCTGTGGTGGCGGCAGAGGAAGTTGGGCAGGGCCCTGGCAGCTGGGTGGGGGCACAAGGAACCGGGTTGGCCCAGCTCCGGTGGAGGGGCTGGGGGGAGAGACTCAGCGCCCCATGCGGCCCTCAGGGCATCCTCTAGTGCCTGTGAGGCCAGAGTGCTGGGCAGAGGCAGGGCCAGGCCCAGCGGGCAGTGGTCTGGAGAGGAGGACTCAGCTTTGCTGGGGCCTCCCATTGAGGCAGCAGCCGCCTGGACCTGTGCACCTGGCAGCCACCCCCAACCTGTGCACCTGGCAGCTGGCCCCTTCTCTGCCCGTCTGTTCCTCTGGAAGCAGCCGCTGAGGGCCCTATGGGCGCGGAGTGTTTCTGGGGCCCCGACTCGCAGGTGACCTGGGCGCAGATCCTCGCCCTCCTCACCTGCTGTAGCAGCGTGAGCTGGCTGAAGAGCTGGTGAGTGCTGTACTCCGTCAGGAAGTAGGGCCCCTTCTCACTGGTCTTGGCGCAGGGGCCGTAGAAGTCCTCGAGGAAGCAGGGCTTGGGCAGGGCGGCAGCAATGGTGTAGGGGCGCTCCTTGTGTGGCGGCAGCACCAGCCCGTTGCCTCGGGGCAGCCTCCAGGGGAAGCTCTGCAGGGCAGGCCGGGCACTGAGGGGCCTAAGCTCCGTGTCCCCTCTGGGTCAGGGGTCCAGGGAGGCAGGGTTGGGGGGTGAGGACCAGGCCAGGTGCAAGCCCAGTACTCCTCAGACTGGCCCAGCCAGAGCCAGAGAGCAGCCTGCCCACCCGCAGCTGTGCTGGCACAAGGATGCCTGTCCTGGTCGTTTCAGCAGGTGCCCCACGGGCAGGACGCTGAGGTTTAATGGAGAGGGCATTTCTCTCCCCACACTGGCTTCTGCCTTAGTCTCTGGCCCGTGGGTCAATGAGTCACAGCAGGACCCTCCTCCCCTGAGCACCCGGGATGGTGCAGGAGGTGCCAGCGCAGCAGGGCTGCCTGGGACCGGGAACATGGAGGGGGTATGTGAGTGTGCACGTGTGGATGTGAGGGTGCATGCGTGTGTGTGTGGATGCGTGTGCGGGTGCACGTGTGTGCATGTGTGGATTGCGTGAGGGTGCACACGTGTAGGTGTGGATATGTGTGAGGGTGCACACGTGTAGGTGTGGATATGTGTGAGGGTGCACACGAGTGCATGTATGGCTGTGTGAAGGTGCACGTGCGTGTGCACGTGTGGATTGAGTGTGCACGCATGTGCACGTGTGGATTGTGTGAAGGTGCATGCATATGTGCACGTGTGGATGTGTGTGATGTGCACAGGTATGTATGTGCACACAAGTGTATGTGCACACGTCTATGTGTATGCATGTATACAGCTGTGCCCATTTGCACTTGTGTGTATGTGTGTGCATGCACCAGTTGTGTCTTTGAGGCTGGGCTCAGGGACCCACATCCGCCTGTCCAGGGAGGACCTCCCCTGAGAAAGGACCCCACCTTCCTGGAGATGCCGTCCTCTGAGAGCCTCTTACAGAGGGCGTTGAAGGGTCTGGCATCCTCCTCGGCCTCCCTGGGGTTCTCCAGGTCTGTGCCGCGAGGGTTGCCCTCGGCCCGCCGGTCCATGCCCACCTCCAGGAGGCCCAGCAGGTGCTTGGCAGAGCCGTCCAGGGGTAGGATCTAGGCAGAAGCACAGTGGTGGGGGGGTCACTGCCACCTTCTGGAGGAGGGCGGCACCTCCCACTGTGGGAGCCCCGGGTGCGGCCGCCCAGCTCAGCGCCACTGTCACCTTGGAGGAGATGAAGTCCTCTAGCTTCCCCAGCAGCCCGCTGTTCCGAGGGAAGTCCACAGCGTAGCAGTCCTCCACCCAGGCCTGCAGGACGCAGAGGCTCCGCCTGTAGATCTTGGTGAAGGTCGAGGTGGGGTCCTGGTGGGCCCTGGAGACGCAGGGGAGCTGCTGAGCTGCCAGGATGTGGGAGTCGGGGGCAGAGGCCCAGGGGCTTGCATGTGGCTCTCCCAGAGAGGCAGGGTGGGACCAGGCTCCATGTGTGCAGGGGGCTTAGGGGGCTGGGGGTCTTCCGTGGGTCCCTCCCCCGAGGCAGGAGCTGAGGTGCCAGGGAGGTGCCCAGCCTGGGCGTGTGGGGGCAAGGGGGTGCGTGGAGTGTCCTGGGGGGGCAGCAGATCAGCCCAGAGAGAGGCAGAGCCCCTCCCCCCTCAGCCCACCACCCCTCTCCTGACACCAGGTGCTGGCCATGGGTACCGAGGGAGGCTGGCGGCCGGTAGGACCCTCTGCTTGGTGCTTCCCCTTCCCCCAGCTGACCTTCTGGCTCTCACTGCCTGCCCACCTGCCCTCCGCTTTCCTCCCAGGTCAGCAGGAAGAGACCCCGACTCCCCCAGGTCCCCTCCCAGAGCTCCCAGGTGCCCAGGCCACCGCCCTCCTGCCCCAGCTGCTTTCTCCGCATCCCTGTGTGTCCTCCACCTCCAGCCGGACCTCCAGCCAGGCTTCCCTGGCCCCTCACCCCCTTGGGTCGCCAGGGACCACCTCGTTCTTCATGGTGGCTAAACCAGGCCCATGGGCGCCCACCCTGCCCCAGGGGGAAGCTCTGGCGGGCGTGGAGCTGTGGAGCTTGGTACCTGGTCAGCGTGCTGTTGATGCGGTCGAGGAGGAAGTGCAGGAAGTCGTGGGGTGTGCAGAAGTAGCGGAAGGTGTAGAGGAATTGCTGCACATAACCCTCCAGGAAGGCATCACTGTGGGGCGGGGCGGGCGGCGGTGAGGTGGTGGGGTGGCCGCACCCCAGGGCTCGGCTAGTGTTCGGTGGTGGGGTGTGACTGTATGTGTGTGTGCGTTTTCTTTGAGTATCACTGTCAGGAGAATCCCCGGAGAAATTAAAGGGGGGACATGGATAACCCTCAAATTTCAAATTTCATTTGAAATTCCCAACTACTTCCAGCCTTCCAGCACCAGGGCCTTTTTTTTTTTTTTTTTTTTTTTTTGGCAGAGTTTCGCTCTTGTCGCCCAGGCTGGAGTGCAATGGTGTGATCTCCGCCTCCCAGGTTCAAGCAATTTTCCTGCCTCAGCCTCCCGAATAGCTGGGACTACAGGCGCCTACCATGCCCGGCTGATTTTTGTGTTTTAGTAGAGATGGGGTTTCACCATGTTTCCCAGGCTGGTCTCGAACTCCTGACCTCAGGTGATCTGCCTGCCTCGGCCACCCAAAGTGCTGGAATGACAGGCGTGAGCCACCGTGCCCTGCTGAACACCAGGGCCTTTCTGAACGCAGCCCTATGCAGGGCTTTGTGACGTCTCCACTCGCAGGACCCGTTAGCTCGGGAAGCTGAGGGAGCTGGTGCCTCGGGACCGGGCGCAATGCTGCACGCTCAAAGGTTCTGGGTCTTCACTGGGTGAAACCGCGCCACCCTCAGGAGACACTGACCAGGGCCCCGCCTGCAGGTCTGGGACTGTCCTGGGAGCCCGACGGCCACGGTCAGGAAGCGGAGGCCTGGCAAGGCCTCCTCCCACCCTGGAGGAGTCTCAGGCAGGAGATGGCGTGGCCCTGGAACAAGGGGCCTGGTCACCCACTCACCTGGGGTCCGAGGACACAGGTGGCCACAGCCCCAGCCCCAGGCTGCCCTGCAAAGGTGACGCCCACCAGGTCCACAGAGCGGGGAAGCCCCTCGTGACCACATCACGGCCAGGAGACGCTCCTTCCATGGAAGCACAGCACTCACACTCACGCCATGCAAGCCACAAACTGTACAACCACAGACACGCACGCCACACACGTGGACAAAGCCACACAGAACTCGACAACCAGACGCGCACACCACACACATGCACAAAGCCACACAGAACTCCACAACCAGACGCGCACACCACACACGCGCACACAAGCCACACTATACCCCACACCACACATACGTGCACACACACACTATACCCGCCACACACCACAGATCACACATGTGCACACATGCCACACTATACCTCACACCACATGTGCACACACTATACCCCACACCGCACAGCACACACGTGCACACACACACTGTACCCCACACCACACACACTATACTCCACACACCACACACACACTACCGCATACCACACACCACACATGTGCATACGCACCACACAAAACCCAACCACACACGTGTACACGCCACACTACACCCCATGCCATACACACATGCACACCTGCCACGCAATACCCAACCACACACCACACACGCCACACAATACTCCACATCACACACCATACATGGGCACGCAAGCCACACATCACCCCACACATGCACACACATCACACTATACCTCACAACCGCACACGTACCTACTACACCACACGATATCCCACAACCACACACCACACACGTGCACACATGTCACATTATACCCCACGCCACACATGCGTGTGCTTACATGCCAGACAGTATCCCATCAGCACATACACACACCACACACATCACACACTCCATACAAGCCTAAATACACATCACATTTGTGTACTACACATGCACAACAAAGCACATCACACATTACCCGGACACACCACACATGCACACACACCAAGAACGCACCACACTGCACACGTGCCCAGTCACGCACACGGACGTCTCCCGCAACGGCACAGAGACCCTGCGGTGGGCGTGGGCTGTGTCTGTCTTGCAGTTGAGGAGGCTGAGAACTAGGTCCGAGGGTCAGCCTGGACCCCTGGCTAGTAGGTGGCCCCATGTGACCAGGGGCAGCTCACCTTGGGAGAACGGGGTCGGAGGTGGGGCCACGTCCCTCTCTAGAGGGTCCTTGGGGTAACGGGGTTGGGGGGGCCACGTCCCTCTCTAGAGGGTCCTTGGGGTAACGGGGTTGGGGGCCCACGTCCCTCTCTAGAGGGTCCTTGGGGTAACGGGGTTGGGGGGGCCACATCCCTCTCTAGAGGGTCCTTGGGGTAACGGGGTTGGGGGGCCACGTCCCTCTCTAGAGGGTCCTTGGGGTAACGGGGTTGGGGGGGCCACGTCCCTCTCTAGAGGGTCCTTGGGGTAACGGGGTTGGGGGGCCACGTCCCTCTCTAGAGGGTCCTTGGGGTAACGGGGTTGGGGGGGCCACGTCCCTCTCTAGAGGGTCCTTGGGGTAACGGGGTTGGGGGTGGCCACCATCCCTCTCTGGGGGCCTGCCTGTCCCCACTGGCTGCTGAGAGCCCTGGCTCCCTGCTGTCCTCCTTGGCGTCCTTTGCTGGGCCCCATGGCCTCTGCTCAGAGAGGACCCTTGGGGCTCCAAGGTGGTGTCATAAGGGTCCCATAAGCCAACATGGGGTTGGCCCCAGTCACTGGCAGGGTGGCCTCTCTGGGAGCTGGTCAGACCAGTGGGTCCAGAGCCTGCTGCAGCTCCCAGTGCCTGAGAACAGGGTGCAGCCCAGGGGCCCATGCAGGCCAGAGTGGGTGAAGGGCCAAGGGGGCTGGTGGGGCGGCCGGGGGTCTGGCCCTGTGGCCCTGGTGGAGGTGAGTGGGCCCGGCGGCTCCTCCCTGCTGCAGGCGTACGTACGCACACCAGCGTTTACGGATCAGGGGTCTCCTGAGCCAGTGTGCACACCGAGTGGAGGGGGCTGCAGAAACACCCCAGCCTCACCCGTCCCTGGAGCTAATTACCCCGGGTGTTCTGACTCGGTGAGTTGGATGGAGTCCAGGCCACATCGCCGAGCTGCCTGTGCGTGTTATTTTTGGAAGCCATTCCGTGTGTTAATTATGTAGGGCGGTTCCGCAGCACCTCCGGGGACCACCAGGCGCACCCTGAGACCTGGTGCCCAGGCCCACAGGCGGCGGAGGCCACTCTGGCCAGGGCTCTGCAAAGCTGCCGGTGGCACCTAGTGCACATTGGCCTAAACCCCGATTAAACATTTCTCTAAACTAAAAAGTGCAAACCCAGCCTAGCTGACTGGCGAGGGCACGTTCCCCCCCTCTTCTCAGCACCCCGGGCTACGTCTCCTTTTCCGGGTGAGCTTTTCTCCCAACGCACCTGGAGTACAGGTAGGCCATGAGCCCCAGCGGCGTGCCGGCCTGCAGGATGCGGGCCTTCTGCCGGCCGCCCGGGTGCTTGTTGACGTTGTAGAAGATGAGCGAGGAGGACTCGTCCAGGGGGCTGAAGTCCAGCGTGTCGCAGGGTGCGGCCGCGATGTTCACGATCACTGGGAGGGTGCAGGGCTCCAGGCCCCAGCGTTCCGCGTACATGACCTGCCGGAGCGGGACACGGGCGCTTGGTCACTCTGCCCCTCGCCCCAGGGCTTCCTGGCATTGGACCCTCAAATCAGGGCCCCTTTTATAACTTCACACGGACAGATTTACAGCATCCAACAGTGGGAGGCCCGTCTGAAGCTACTGCCTCACGGGGCAGAGCGGGGCCCGGAGCCCACTTGCCTGCAGATACTTCTTGACCAAGCTGAGGAATTGCACCCTGGATTTCATTTCTTCTAGCTGCCCTTTCAGCTTGGACAGCATGGTCTTGACGTCGGAACCTGTGGGTGGAGCAGAGTGGGTGGGGGCCGGGCTGCCTGCAGCCAGGGTCTCGGACCTGTGCCCACAGGGGCCTTACCTTTGTTCCTCTTTTCCTTCTGTAAGAGTTTCTGGTAGAACTTCAGGGTCTTGCGGTAGTTTCTTTTCTCCATCATGAGCTGCTGTTCCAGCTCCTGGGGACGAAACACAGCGCCTAAGCCCCAGGCAGCCCCAACACACGTCAGCCACATCCAGGGCCAGGCCCCACCCCACTGGGGCCTCCTTGGCCTTGGAGATCAGCTGCAGGGCAGGGTCCCATGGAGACAGAGGCCCACTCAGCCAGCGAGGCCAGCCCCGGCCTGGGCAGTGTGGTCTGGGGGGCCCTGGGCTGCCCCCAGGCTCACAGGGCAGTGCCCAGCTTGGGGCCGACTGCTCCCTGCGCCCCTCACCCACAGTCAGGCCCTTGTGGGGGATGCTCAGGGGAACCAGGCCCCACCAAGTCAGCACCAGGCCCTCCTGCCCAAGCAGGCAGGGCTGTGCCACCTCTGGGCCCCCAAGTGCACATTGTGGGCGGGGCTGGGGGCAGGGGGTGGCAGCGGGACCTCCCCAACGTGCATCCCGTGTGTCTTCAGGTGTCTGCCTTTTTATTTTTTATTTTTTAATTTAGTTATTATTTTTGAGATGGGGTTTTTCTCTTGTTGCCCAGGCTGGAGTGCAATGGCACCATCTCAGCTCACCACAACCTCTGCCTCCCAGGTTCAAGCGATTCTCCTGCCTCAGCCTCCCGAGTAGCTGGGATTACAGGCATGCACCACCATGCCCGGCTAATTTTGTATTTTTGGTAGAGATGGGGTTTCTCCATGTTGGTCAGGCTGGTCTTGAACTCCCGACCTCAGGTGATCTGCCCGCCTCGGCCTCCCAGAGTGCCGGGATTACAGGTGTGAGCCACCACGCCTGGCCGTTTTTTATTTTTATTGACTTTTTAATTTTATTTTATTTTTTATTTTTTGAGATGAGGTCTTGCTGTCACTCGGGCTGGAGTGCGGTGGCCCGATTCGCTCTGCTGCCCAGGTGGGAGTGCAGTGGCGCGATCACAACTCACTGCAACCTCCAACTCCCTGGGTTCAAGCATTTCTCCCATCTCAGCCTCCCAAAGTGCTGGGATTACAGGCGTGAGCCACTGCACCAGCCTTGCCTTTCTTTTAAACTTAAAGAAGCCCAATGATGCGGATTCCAGCTGGCCTGTGCAGACGAGGCCCCCAAAAACCCTCCTCCCGGGAACCCACTGGCTGGACCATCGTGGTTTGCTGGGCGGCGGCCGCAGCGTTTGCCCCAGCCCTTGGGTGCTCCATAGAGCATGAGCGTTGAGTGTAAATGTGAGTGCACGCCCGGGTGTGATTCTCCGGAACCTGCCCAGAGTCTGAGTTCCTGCCTGCGAGATGGAGCCGGGGACCTCATCCCCAGGGCTGTCGCCATGAGGGAAGCAGGACTGAGGCCAGACGGGCAGGTCCTGATCACAGGAGCTGGGGGCGAGGGCCGCCGGGCACTGCTTCATGCACAGACAGCAGCTGGGGCTGAGCGCCTCCCTGGACGGGACTCTACATTCAGGGAGAGGGCGCCGCGTTGTCCCAGGATGCCTCCCACGCCTGGCCGGGCAGCCCTCGTCTGAGCACTCCTTCTGTCCTACGGGACAGGCACACGGGCGTAGAGGCTGGAGGAGGGGCGCCCTGAGGATGGGCTGCCAGGGCAGTGACCCCAGAGACGGCCCTTCCCTCTAGGGGTACAGGGGCAGATACAGCCTCCTCCTGCACCCGTGGGGCTTGGCCCAGTACTGAGGAGGGTGGTGATTCTGGGGGTGAGGAGGGTGGTGGTTCTGGGGTGAGGGGTCTGGGAAGTCTTGGGGGTCCATGGGAGCTGGGCCTTGAGCAGCAGGTCTTCAGGGGGACTGTGAGGTGCCACGGGGCAGGGGCACCTGGCTGGGGGCAGAGGTGAGAGGCGCGGCAGCCCTCGGCCCGCAGCCTCCTGTGAGGGGTTCACGTGCCCAGGGCCCGAAGCGACCGCCCCGAGGGGCTCATCCGCGAGCCGGTCCACCAGGCTTCCTTTTGTGAAGTGCGGTTGGCTCAGATCCACACAGCCACCCCCTCGCCTTGTCAGCCGCCAGTGACTCTGCTATTGACAGGGTTTATTTTTGAATGTTTTTTGCAAAATAAAAAAATGCAGGCGACATTTCTATTTAACTACTTGAATCCGCTCTATCTGGTGGTTCCATGGAGACGGGGTCCCTGTGCTGTCTTCTCCCACGCACGGGTTCAGCAGCGGCCGTGGCGGTGCCACGGAGGGCCAGGCTCCCCGCTACGGCAGTGTGGGCAGTGTCCCAGCTGCGTAAAGACCAGGCCTCTGCAGAACCTCGGCCACTAAGCCAGGTTCCCCAAGCCCTCCGGACCCCGCTGCCACCCAGCCAAGTGCGACCCTGCCTCCCACACTGAGCTGCAGGCTGCCGTGGCTGCCTAAAGTGCAGTGAAATTAAAACATCAGGTCCTCAGTCACGTGGGCCATGTTTCCAGAGCTCAGTAGCCACACGTGGCTGTTGGCTACCCGGTGGACAGCGTCTAGAACATTCCATCATCAAGGAAGGACCTACCGGGCTGGGCAGGTTGAGGTTGGTAAACGCAGGTGTCCCCATGGAGCTGTGTTCTGCTGCCGGGGCACCTGGTCCTGGCTTCTGAGGATGGTGGTGGCCACGTTCCCCCATGGCCTGCACCATGGGGCCCTCGTCCGGCCCCCGGAGGTCACCGGCGCCAGGCTCCATCCAGCCCTCTCACCCCCATCCATTTGCAGAGGTGCTGATGTCGAGAAAATCTCCTGGGAAAGGTCTGTGTACCCTGACGCATCCAGGAACCTGGAGGCGGGTGCCTGCGAGCCCGATGCCCGCCTGGCTGGAGTGCAGCTCACGCAGACTCCTCTCTGGCCGGCACCTCCACGGCCTCCGTTCACAGTCAGACTCGATGTCCGTCGGGGGCGCTCCTCACGCGGGAACCACAGGCGGACTCCATGAGGAGGACGGTCTTGACTGATTTTAATAAATCCACGGTAACTAAAATCCACACCACATGTGGGGCAGTGAGGAGGGAAACACGAGGCCAGGCTTCACCGGTGCAGACAGACGGGGGAGGAACCCACACCAGTGCTGTCCACGCTGACTCTGGGAGCCACGCTTGTTTTAACAGCAGGAGACGCGGATGCCAGCTCCACAGCCCCAGGGCACCCGCAGTGCTGAGCCCAGCACACACGGCCGGCACCAGTAGGTGGGGGTCAGCGCTGAAGGGAGGAAATGCCCACCGGCTGCTCCAGCCGCCCCAGAGAACGGCCCTCGCTGCACCGTGTGCGTTTTGGGCTGCGGATGTGAAAGTCTGTCTCCAGGTGGTTTTTGCCCTTGCTGTGTTTCTGAGCCTCCTGTTTTGAAAGAGACACAGTAGCTCCTCCAAGAGAAACGTGAGGCTGTGGCCATGGGCCGGACGCTGTGTGTTTGGGGGCCGAGTGCTCCCTGCTGGACACCATGAGTTTGGGGGCCGAGTGCTCCCCGCTGGACGCCGTGAGTTTGGGGGCCGAGTGCTCCCCGCTGGACTCTGTGCGTTTGGGGGCCGAGTGCTCCCCACTGGACGCCGTGCGTTTGGGGGCCGAGTGCTCCCCGCTGGACTCTGTGCGTTTGGGGGCCGAGTGCTCCCCGCTGGACGCCGTGCGTTTGGGGGCCGAGTGCTCCCCGCTGGACGCCGTGCGTTTGGGGGTGGAGTGCTCCCCGCTGGACTCTGCCAGTTTGGGGGCCGAGTGCTCCCCGCTGGACGCCATGCGTTTGGGGGCGGAGTGCTCCCGGCTGGACGCCGTGAGTTTGGGGGCTGAGTGCTCCCTGCTGGACTCCCTGCGTTTGGGGGCCGGGTCGTTTGGTGTTTGCTGTGCCGGCCGCCCTTTTCTCTCCCCAGCCCCGGGGGCGGCCTTTGCGTCCTCGAAGCCCCCTCAGGCCCTGTGTGGGGTGTCCGAGATGCAGGTGCAGAGGCTGTAGCACCATGCGGGTCTTTCACGTGGCCCAGAAGCTGAAATGAAGTGAAGGCTTCACAGAGCTTAACCCCTGTCCCCTCACCTGCCCTGAAGGGACACCGGGTCATGTTCTGGACTGAGTCATAAAGTGCAGGCCAGGAGGCGGCAGGAGAGGAGCAAGGAGGAGCCCCAGGAAGGGCTCCGATGCCCAGAGGCTGGGGGAGGCTTCCCACGGTGGCTCAGCTCGAGGCAGACGGTGGTAGGAGAGGTTCCCGGAGCTGATGGCCACTGGGCCCCTCCTGTCATCCACCCTGGAGTCCCGGGGCTCTCGAGAATGCAGCCCAGGTCGGGGCTGTGGGTCACTGGTCCCACCTTGCGTCCAGAGCTCTGCAGGCCTCTCCTGCACCCAGGACTCCCCGGTCTAAGACCTCCTCTCCCTGCTGGCCAGGGAGGAGTTGCAGCTGCTCCTGACCCAGGATGGCACTGCTGGCCAGAAAGCCCGGACCAGGCTGCAGCGACCAGGCCCAGTCTAGACTTGCTGGGCAGGCGTTTTTGGTGTTTTCTTTCACTGCAGAGCGAGGCTGCCCAAGGGCCCGGAGGCTGTGCCTGCCCCACGGAAAACACGACCGAACGCAACCTGGTCACGAGCATGGAGGGGCCTCCTGTGAACCCATCGCCCGGGCGACCATGAGAGAAAAGCCCTTCCCTGTCCTCAGACGTGGAGCCACCAGGAGCACCAGTGCAGACGAGCCTGTCCCTAGACGTGGAGCTCAGCCCAGGGAGGGGGCCCTGACCATCTTGACAGCCACGGGGTGGGGGCACCAGGACCAGTGTCACCCTGTTGGGGGCTCTGGGCACACGGTGCCATCTGTCACCTGCAGTGACCAGGAAGCTCTGCTGGAAGGAGACGCCCTGCCCCACCCGGCAGTGCCAAGGCCTGGGACTCACCGGGCTCTGGGCGTCGGGCAGGGCCCCGTCCGCCTGCTGCCGCCCCAGGTCCTTCACGTAGTTGTGGACGTCGGCCCCGAAGCAGTCGGCCTCGTAGAAGGCGCTGCACCAGCCGGGGCTGCAGCTCTGGAATCCGGCTGGGCCGGGGGACAAGGCTGGGCCGACCCCTTTGGACCTGGCCAGTCGGGTCACTGCCTCCACGTCTGAGGCCCCGCCAGCTGGCCGTCTGTCCTCGCCAGCCTCAGGCTGCTGCGCTCTCTCGGCTTTTACGGACCTCTGAGGCCGAAACCCCACCTCGAAGTTTCCCCGTGACAGTGCGTCCGAGTCCACATCCGACACCGAGGTGGGTGAGCAGGGGGCCCTGCTGCTGGTCCTGGCCATGGCTGGCTTCTCTTTTCCTTGAAAGAAAGAGACGCAGGTTACGTGGACAGTGGCTCCTGTGGGCGGAGCCCGGGCAGGCTGTTAATGGGAGGCCGGTGGTGCTTGCACACCCGACGCCCTTCTCTCTTGCACCCGCCCACCACGGGCGCCCCCCGGGCACGGCTGCCGCCTCCCAGTGCAGGGGAGATGCTGGGACCCTGAACTGCCGCACGGGGCCGGGTGACAGAGAGAGGCCTCTCCCCAGATGGAGCCCCACTCTGCGCCCTCACTGCTTCCAAACTCGTACTCGCCCCGGGGTGGGGCCGGGCCCTGTCCTCGCTGGCTCTGCTATCAGGACTGTGTCCCTCTGCCCCCTCACGCTCTCCTCTTTTCTTCTGGAATTTAAAAAGTGGTCCCCAGCTCTGTCCCTGCGGGAGCTTCCCCTGTGCAGGGCTTTCCTGCCATCCAGGAGTGCACGGGCCTCATGCCCCAGCCTGCCCGCCTGGTCTCCGACTTGATAGGAACTGGGCCCGTCACCAAGCCTGGCCACGACTACGGACAGCCTGAGGGTGACCACCACCCCCACCTTGTCCCTAACACCAAGCCTGCTGGCTGGACGCTGGGACGTCCCCAGCCTGGCACTCATGTGCCCTGGGATCCTGGGGCTAACAAGCCCACTTCTGCCTTGTCACCAAAGCCCCGGCTCACAGGCCCCCCTCTGCTTGGAGAGCGGATCCCACCTGGCTCCCGGCGGCTCCCACTGTCCCAGTGGCCGGTGACAGAGGACCCCCCACCTCCAAGGTCCTGGGCTCCTGCTCGCCCCCAGAAGAGGACGGCCTTTGGCTGGGCACCCCCAGGAGAGGACGGCCTTTGGCTGGGCACCCCCAGGAGAGGGCGGCCTTTGGCTGGGCACCCCCAGGAGAGGGCGGCCTTTGGCTGGGCACCCCCGGGGCAAAGGCAGCCCCGCTGGAGCAGTGCAGTCTGAGGCTGCTGGGACCCTGGGGCGCCCCCCGCATTGCAGAGAGCACAGAGGAGCCGCCCAGCAGAGCTCCTGCCGCGGGGCCCGCCCAGCACTTACCCAGGCGGTGCAGCGACGGCCTCTTGCTGGACGGGGAGCGGGGGCTTTGGCTGCCCTCGAGCTGTGACCCAGCCTCCTCGGCCGTGCTGACGACGAGAATGCAGGTCAGTCCCCACCTCCGCCCACTGGGAGGAGGCCACAGTCTCCACAGGGCGGGGCCCACAGGCCCACACGTCTATGCGGAGCTCTCGCTGGAGGCGGCAGGAGCTCACCCCTCTCAGTCACTAAGGGGCACAGCAGCCGACGGGATCCCTGGGTCATTCACTGCTTGGGGTCCCTGGGGGGACTCGGGAGCAGCCTCTCAGTGCTGCGGGGCCGAGGAGGCCGGGGCTGGGGTGGGTGCCCTTGCTCACAGCTGTGTTTACTCCACACGCACGCGGAGGAGCTGCCCGGGCTGCTGGCACCGCGTGGAGCTGTGAGCAAGGCAATGTGGGGTGGCCGCCGCCCCACCCAACACAGCTCAGTGCTGGGCCCTGTGGGGTCTGGGGCCACCTGTTTGGGAGTCTCTTCACCTCCTTGGGGCCCTCACACTGGTCCCTCTGAGCAGGGAGCCCTGTGGCCATCACTGCCCAGGCCCCCTGCAGCCTCCCGGAGAGCCCCTGCCTCATATTCTCTGAAAGCCCTTTCGTCCTCCAGAAGAAACCCAGGTCCGATGGGAAAGCTGTGAGTAGGCGTCAGGCCCAAGGAGGGGCTGCTGGGACCCCCACCCATCTCCACCAAGGGTAGCCCCTCTGGAGACAGCAGCGAGATGGAAGCGGAGGGTTGGGAGGGGAAGGCTGGGCCCGGGTCAGGCAGCAGAGCCCAGGCACAGTGGGCATCAGGGAGGGGCGGGAATGCAGGGCCGAACTGGGCACCCACCTTGGGGAGGGTGACGCCTGCCCGTTGACCACCTTAAAGAGGTTCTGCAGCAACTTCTCATCCCAGTACAGGTCACAGAACTTCTCGGAAATGGCGCCACAGAAAGTGGCAAAGGTGAGATCTTTCAAGGCGAAGATGTACTCCCCTGGTTTTGCAAAACGATGGAGACAAGTGAGATGGTGGCAGGGCTGCTCATCTGGTTCCCTTGTGGCTGATGAAACGGACAAGGCTGATCTCGGCTGGGGGGCTGGGGGAAGGGCGTGGGGCGGCCCCGAGTCCCCTGTGGGGCTCTCCCTGGCCCGGGCCTCCTCTGGGGCGTCTGCGGCCCCCACGTACCCATGATCAGAGCCTCCAGCCCATTGTCCAGGTAGCCATCGAAGGCAAATTCCTCCTGGATGAGGCGCGTGGCCTCCTGCAGCGACGGGCAGGCCGTCCTCCCTGGGAGTGGCGAGGCATCCACGCAGGGCAGACAGAGCCTCCGGTCTGCGGGCCGCGGCCTCTCTGGGACACTGTCTGGACTCTGGTCATCACGTTCCCCGGCAGGGGTGGCCCCGGGGCCCTCTGGCTCCTGGCCCGGGCGCTCGGTGGCCTTGCTTCGTGGGGGCTTGGGCGGGTGGCGTGGGCCGTGGTGGGCCGTGGTGGGCCCCAGGGCGTCGGGCCTGAGGCCCCCGGAAGCAACTCCAGGTGGGATCGGCTCAGCCGGCCCTTGCTCTACGGGCAGCGCAGATGCCTTCGTGGGCGGGGCGGGGACTGGAGAGCCGGGAGCTGCCGATGAGGCCCCCTCTGGCTGGTTTGCTGGGGCCTGGGGTGGAGGGCAGGGGCGGCCCTGGGCTGAGTCACGCTGCACTGACGCCCCAAGAGGCTCTGGGGCTGCTCCCTGTGGCCCCGGACCAGGCACCGGCCCGTCAGGCGTCTTCAGGCTGGGGGACCCAGCGTGGGCCTCCAGGGAGAGCTTCTCCTCACCTTCTCCCTCCCTCTGGCCGCCCCTCTCCTCGGACTCCTCCTGGGCCAAGGCAGGCTGGTCCCTACGGGAGGAGCAGAGCTCAGGAGGGGCTGCCTGCGCCCGGGACCCAGCAGCTCCGGGGTGTGGGGACGATGCTCACCTGGCCACACTTGCGTTCTGCGCGAGGACAATGGGCTTGAAGTGCGTGGCCTCGGAGGTGAACGCTGCAGGCAGCTGGGTGGCTTCTTCACCGCAGGGGTGCTGGCCGGGCACGGGCCCTGGCACAGCCACAAGCCCGGTGTCGCTGTTCACCGGCAGGAAGCCTGGGGAGCCAGGGGGCTGAGGGTGTGGGCGGGCGGAGTGGCCCCAGCACGTGCCGCACCACCGGCTCATCCCACCCAGTGCTCATCCCACCCAGTGCGTGGTGCCGCGTCCCCTCCCGCATGGCCCTGGGGGCTTCCTCTGTGCTGGGCCCTGGAATGGGAGGGTGGGTGAGACTGGTGCTTGGGGGAGGGCCAGCAGGCGGGGACGGGCCAGCAAGACCAGGCCCCACCAGAAGCCTTGGAGGGGCCTGCTGAGCAGGGCTCAGTACGGGGGTGGGGTGGGCTCTGTGTGGACTCTGGGGGTCTCCAGATGTGGGCTTGGGAGGGCCAGCTGCTGGGAGATGGGAGTGAGAACCTGGAGCTGGGGCCTGAGCGACTGGGAGTTTTGGGAGATGGGGGCTGGCAGGGGCAGGCAGGCTGGGCTGCATGGGCCACGTTGGCCGAGCTCTGGACTTGCTTCCCGGGTTTCCGAGAGGTGCCCGGCTGTGTCTGTCCATGCAGAGGTGGGGGCAGCTGTGGTGTCAGGTGCAGGAGCTGGTGGGGCAGCAGGGGCTGGTCAGGTCCCCACCTGGGCTGGGCTCTGGGGCTGGTGCCACACTGGGCTTCAGTTCAACCACTGAGAAGGCGTTTTGGAGGCTGATGGTCTCTTCCTCCTGGTACACCTGGGGAGGAGGTGACAGCCCTGGGCCAGGTGACCACGGAGCTCCGCCAGCGCCGGCAACACCCACAGGGCGTCCCCCACCACCCGCCGGTGCCGTGGAGCTTCCTGCTGGGGAGGAGCCGGGCATGGCGGCCACACGGCCCAAGCTCTGCAGCGGCTCTGCCTGGAGAGGGAGCCGTTGGGGCTCCTTTGCCTCCCAAGCCAACCAGGTTTCCGTGGGTTCCAGGGAGTGGGAGACGCCAGCACCACCCGAGACTCAGGGCCCACACTCCCAAAGCTCTCTGCGCCCGGGGTGGGTGCTGGGCCGCCGTCCTTGGGACCCTGCCCTGATCCTGATCTGGGTCCCTGGGGGCCACTGTGGGGCCTTTAGATGGGACTCGAGTGTCCCCCTGCACCCCCAGATGCACCCACCCACAGCTCGGTGGTCAACAGAGACCGGGGTGTGGGGCTGCCGGGAGCGGCCAGGCAAGGGCAAGTGCGTCCAGGAGGGAGGAAGCTAAGCGCGGCGGAGGAGGCGGCGGCCTGGCTGTTCTAGCCCACCTGGCAGATGGAAGCTCTGAGGTGGGCAAGGATTTTCCGGCTGTCCATGCCTCGCTGGAGGAGGTAGCTGCCGCACACCTGGAGGGAGGAGACAGTTCACACGTCCCGACAGGCCTCAGCCACGGCTGCACCGTCCCCGTGTCACTGGGTCCCCATCTGAAAAAGCTCAGGGCTGCCAGGAGGGTTTCCTGTTTGTTCTCACCGACACCCAACTACAGGCCCCGGACAAGCCTTTCTTAGAGCATTTCCTGAAAAGGGCTCACAGTCGGCCACTGTCCCCCAGGCTCCCTGGGAGGGCAGAATCCCAAACCCAGCGTTGGCCACAGACCTGGTAGCCTCGTCGCCTGGACACTGGCAGCCCTTGGTCACGTTCGCCTGAGCCCCACGCTCCCTGCCCCCGGCCACTCCTGTCCTCCCTTTATAAGCTCAGGCCTTGTGCACATGGGAACTGAGCTCAGCTTCCCCAGCTCTCAGTAGTTACTGAATAAAATCTGCTTTCACTGCTTGGCAGACGCCCAGCCGTGTCTAGATCTCATCCTCCTGCAGCAGAGGAGGCCTGAGAGGCCCACAGGGTCTGAGCAACCCGCCCAAGACCACAGAGCAGTCGAGGCGGAGACGGCTGGACCCAGGTCCCCAACCCCATGGCCGTCTCCGCTCCCCCAGACACGGCTCCTCCCCAGGAGGTCCTCCTGATCACCCACACCCAGCTCGGCTCCTCCCCAGGAGGTCCTCCTGATCACTGACACATGAGAGTTTGGCTCCTGCCCCACCTGCTGGTCCACCCGCTGGTCCCCATGCCGGGTGCGGGTGCAGGTCCCAGCAGGAGTACGTTAGAACCCAGCCCCAAAGCTTGAGTCCAGCAGGGAGACCAGGCAGGGAGGGGCGGGGCTGGTGGGATCCTCAGAGGAGGTGGGGGTTCGGGGTGGGGGGTGAGGTGTGGAGGCCTCTCTCTGCTCCCCTCCAGCAGGGCCTAAGAGCAGGGGTCTGCACGTGCCCACAGGACACCCCTTGCCCCCGCCCTGGCCTCTTGGACAAGCTGGAGAGAGCGGGCTCCGCAGGAGGAACGGCCATGGTGGGGAGCAGCAGAGACCCCCATGCTGTCCACCCACATGGACGTGGCCATGACGCGAAACCCACTCCCTTCCCCATGCGACGGCCAGGCCGACGTCTAGAAACAGGGACCTAGAAACAGACCTGGTGGCCTCATCACCTGGACACTGGCAGCCCGTGCTCCTCCACCCCCAGCTCAGCGAGGGCGGCCACTGCCCACAGTCCTTGGACCCTGGGCTGGGGCCATGACTGTGGTGTGGTTACCTTGATGGCCTCAGCCGCGGACGGCCGCTCCGGGGCACTGCGCCTGGCCATGTCCAGGAGGAGGGTCTTGAGCCTGCGTGGCAGGGCCAGCTTGTGGTTGCGGGGGACGCTGAACTTGGCTGCGGTCCACAGAACGGCGGCCACACAGTACACAGAGGCCTGGGCGGGTGGGGAGAGAATAGTGTCTACCGCAGGGCTGTGGGCTGCTGTGCCCAGCAGACCTGCCCACCTCAGGCACCCTGAGGGGCACCCAGGCACTGCCCCCACAGAGGGGCTCTCCTCAAGACCCCTCCTCAGCATCTATCAGGCCCCACCCTGGACCCCTGCATCCGCCTCCAGGTCGTGGTCCAGGAACCTGCAGGTCGAACTCTCCCCCATGGTTCTGTCCGCGTTTTAAACACCAGAGGGTTGGAAGCCTCAACTGGACTTTCCCACCTTCCACTCTCCTCACGAAGGCAGCAGCTCGAGGGTTTGAGGAGAACTGGCCAGCATAGCCCCCACCTCACGGACCCGGGAGCCCCCCGACTGGTGCCTGCTCCCGGAAGCCCCCCGACTGGTGCCGTGCTGCTACATGGCTAACAACTGGCTCTCCGAGCGAACACACCGCCTGTGTGCAAACTGAGTTCATCCGGCACGTTGCTGATGTAAGGGATGCACAGCACACCATTTGATGCACGTTTTGTAAGTTCCACAGAGCCAGTCAATTCTCACTGAAGGCTTTCATTGATAAAAATCAATGAAACCCATGTTCATCCACAGTCCACCACAATACACGAGTGCTGCTGACATGAGTGTTGGTTGATGTTTTCATTCATTTCAGTAAATGAGATGGAAGTGAAGCCGGACAGACCCATGCTGGAATTCGGGGCACCCCTCTGAGCGACGTCTTTGCTGAATCAGATGGTCGCGGTTGATATCGTAAGACCATGTCCTCCACCTTTTGGGCTATTCTCAAGGGAGCGGCCACAGACATGACACACTTTTAAGTTTAATCACATCATCCACGTGTTCTCCATCACTTCAGTAAGTCCAGAGAGTCAACAGAACAAGACATTTGTAGCGTTTGCTGCTTTCCCTGGTGTAAGTACTCCCACGTGGCTGACTTCTGGCTACCAATGCAGTGCCCTTGAGTGTGGAGCTGGGAAGAGGCAGCTCCCCTTTACAGAGTCTCCCCCATCCAGGCACAGCAGACGCAGACAGCCCCACGAGCATAGAACAGCCAACTAGAGTCAGATAAGTAGGAAATCACCCATTTTGAGCACTTGTTACACTTTTAAAAAATTAACCTTTTATTTTGTGATAATTGTACATAGTTTTAATAAATAATAGAGCTCATGTACTTTGTACCCAGTTTCCACAACAGTAGCAGCTTGCAAAATACTGATACTGATATAGTCCAGTATCTCAGCCAGCACATCGCCATTGGCACAAAAATCCTGGTTCGCCATATGTTGCATTTTCATTTTCACTCAGTTCTATATGTTTTTAAAATTTCCTTGAAATTTTCTCTTTGACACATAGAGTATTTAGAATGTGTTGTTTCGTTTCCAAGTGTTTGGAAAATTTCCCTTTTATTTTTGTTACTGTGGTCAGAGAACACATTTGTATGACTTAAATTCTTTTAAATTTGTTGAGGTTTGCGTTATGGCTCAGGATTTGGTCTAGCTTGGTGTATAGTCAGTGGGGCAACTGAGAAGAATGTGGATTCTGCTGTTGTTGGGTGGAGTGTCCTTTAAATGTTGATCCAGCCGTGTTGATTGACAGTGTTGTTGAGTTCCTTCATATTTTTACTGGTTTACAGTCTGATTGTTCTATCAAGTGTTCAGAGAGGGGAAACTGGCATCTCCAACTATAATTGTGGATTCATCTGTGTCTCTATTAATTCTATCAGTTTTGCTTCACATATTCTGCAGCTCTGTTATTTGGTGCATATATGTTTAGGATTGCTATGTCTTCTGGGCGGACTGACCCTTTATTGTTATAGAATGTCCCTCTTTATCTCTGGTAATTTTCTTTGCTCTGAAGTACACTTAACCTGATATTAATGCAGTCACTTCTGCTTTCTTTTTATCATTTTCATAATGTATCTTTTTCAACTCTTTTAACTTTCAACCTACTTATATTGTTTTATTTGAAGTGAGTTTCTGGTAGACAGTACATGGTTAGGTCATGTTTCTAAACATTACTCTGTCAATCTTCTTCCTTTCTTCTTCTCTTCCTCCTTCCTTCTCCTTTTTCCTTCTTCTTGTTCTTCTTCCTTCCTTCTTTCTTCCTTCTTCCTCCTTTATTTATTTAAGAGACAGGGTCTCGCTCTTGTCGCCCTGGCTGGAGTGCAATGGCTGTATCTGGGCTCACTGCAGCCTCCACCTCCCAGATTCCAGTGATTCTTCTGCCTCAGCCTCCCAAGTAGCTGGGATTACAGGCACCCACCACCATGCCTGGCAAATTTTTGTATTTTTAGTAGATACAGGGTTTCGTCATCTTGGCCAGGCTGGTCTCAAACTCCTGACCTCAGGTGATCCACCTGCCTCAGCCTCCCAAAGTGTTGGGATTACAGGCCTGAGCCACTGCACCTAGCCTGTTTCCTTAATTTCTGAAGGATATTTTTGCTGGAAATAGGTTTCTGGGTTGAAAGTTCTTTCAGAACTTAAAAAAATGCTATGCACTTCCTCTACAGTTACTGATGAGAAATCTGATCATCTGAACTGTTTTCCCCCCCCATATGTGTATATATGTAAGCTGCTGTTTCTCTCTCTTTTTGTTTTTTATTTTTATTTTTATTTTTTCGGAGAGGGGAGGGTTAGTATTCAGAGGTTTGACTATGATGTGTCCTGGTGTGGATTTCTTTGCATTGATCATGTTTGGGGTTTTCTCACCTTCTGAAATCTGTAGGCTTATGTGTCTTGCCAAAATTTGGAAGTTTTCAGCCATTATTTCTTTGAGTACTTTTTATGCACCACCCTCCTTCTCTTCTCTTTCCAGGATTTTGATGACATGGATATTAGATCTTTTATTATAGTCCCACAAGCTTCTCAGGCTCTGTTCAGTTCTTTTGGTCTATTTTCTCTTTGTTGTCCAAACTGTGTAATTTCTATTGTCTCCATTTCACCAATTCTTTCCTCTGCCCTCTCTATTCTGCTATTAAGCCCATTCATTGAGTTTTTTTAAAAAATCAGCTCTAAAATTTCCATTAGCTTTTTCTTTTTCTTTTCTATTCCTTGGTTGAAACTTTGTATTTCTTTGCTGAAACTTTTTCATTTGTTTCAAGCGTGTTTGCAATTGCCCAATGACGCATTTTTATGATGGTTGCTTTAAAAATTTTAAAGTCACTTTTAAAATTTCTGTCATCTCCAGGTTGGTATCATTGGTTGCCTGTTTTCATTCAGTTTGACATCTTCCTGATTCTTGGTATCATGAGTCCTTCCCCATTGCTTGATTTTGTCAGCTCTGTCAAAGATCAGATGATTGTAGGCGTGCAGCCTTATTTCTGGGCTCTCTATTCTCTTCCATTGGTCTATGTGTTTTTGTACCAGTGCCATGCTGTTTGGGTTACTGTGGCCTTGTAGTATAGTTTGAAGTTGGGTAACGTGATGCCTCTGGCTTTGTTCTTTTCACTTAAAATTGCTTTGGCTATTTCAGCTCTTTTTTGGTTCCATATGAATTTTAGAATAGTTTCCTCTAATTCTGTGAAAAATGACATTGGTAGTTTGATAACAATAGCATTGACTCTGCGGATTGCTTTGGGCAGTGTAGCTGTTTTACCAACACTGATCCTGCCCATCTGTGAGCATGGGATGTGTTTCCACTTGCTGGTGTGGTCTCCAATTCCTTTCAGCCATGATTTCCAGTTGTCCTTGCAGGACACGCTGCAGGGAAGGAAGGTCCTGGCTCCTGCTCACTTTCTTTGAGGCCACCTGGGGCCAGGGCAGGCACTGGACACTTCTCTGCAGTCTCACAAAGATGAGTCCAGGCTCCAGGCTCGGCCCTTGCTGGGCGGGGCCGCAGTGCTCCTGTGGGGTTTGGTTGGTGCAGAGCAGGGGGTGTAAATGCATCCTGGTCCTCCCTGGTCCTCTGATTACAGACCCAGGCTTTTGTTGGGGCATTTGTTTTACTTATTTTTTTGAGACTGAGTCTCACTCTGTCAACCAGGCTGGAGTGCAGTGGTACCATCTTTGCTCACTGCAACCTCTGCCTCCTGGGTTCAAGCAATTCTCCTGCTTCAGCCTCCCAAGTAGCTGGGATTATAGGTGCACACCACCACCCCTGGCTAATTTTTGTATTTTTAGTAGAGATGAGGTTTCACCATGTTGGCGAGGGTGGTCTCAAACTCCTAACGTCAGGTGATCGACCTGCCTTGGCCTCCCAAAGTGCTGGGATTACAGGTGTGAGCCACCACACCCGGCCCTGTTGGGGTATTTATTTTTTGAGACAGGGTCTGGCTCTGTCATCCAGGCTGGAGTGTAGTAGCATGATCTTGGCTCACTGCAACCTCCTGGGTTCAAACAATCCTCCCACCTCAGCCTCCCGAGTAGCTGGGATTACAGGCATGCGCCACCACACCTGGCTGGGATTACAGGCATGTGCCACCACACCTGGCTGGGATTACAGGCACGTGCCACCACACCCGGCTAATTTTTGTATTTTTAGTAGAGATGGGGTTTCGCCATGTTGCCCAGGCTGGTCTCGAACTCCTGGACTCAAGTGATCTGCCCGCCTTGGCCTCCCAAATTGCTGGAATTACAGGCGTGAGTCACCATGCCCGGCCAGTTGGGGCTTAAACTCTTTTTTATTACTCCAAAAAGCTTCATTTTTTCTTAGTTTTCTGACTCTGTGCTTGTGCCTCAGCACTTTCCCAGCGATTTTCGTTCCTTGAAGGGGAAAGCACTAACCCTGAAGGGATCCCACAGGAACACACACAGTGCACACAGAGCCACTGCAGCCTCACGGACGCGGTTTTTGTTTGAGACAATCTCATAAGAGCTTCAGGTCTCACAGCACCAACCCCCTGAGGTCGGCCTGGGCCACCTGCAGATGACAGTGCTTTCCCAGCCTTCTTGGTGTAAAGGTGAACGATCTATTGCTGGGGTTCAGGACAGCCTCTTTTCGTTACAGGCTAGACTGCAGGAAAGCCTTCGATGGTTTGGCAAATGGTGGACCATTCCGAGTTTCTCTAGACAACATCCCCAGAAGATGAAAAAGCGCGGCTTTTAGTGTGCGCCCATTGCTTTTTCCCGGTCACCGGCTTCTTTACCTCCAAGTCTCAATATGTGAGGCAGAAGGAAAACCCAGGGCACTCACGGCTGCCTTGTTCCTTGGTCCAGAGGCCCCTCGCCGGCTGCCGTCTCCTCCCCCTGCAGGTGGCCTGGTGCTTGTTTTTTGCACAGTGTGCAGGGTGCTTACTGCAGGGTGCTTAGTGCAGGGTGCTTACTGCAGGGTGTTTAGTGCAGGGTGTTTGTTTAGTGCAGGGTGCTTAGTGCAGGGTGTTTAGTGCAGGGTGCTTACTGCAGGGTGTTTAATGCAGGGTGGTTAGCGCAGGGTGCTTATTGCAGGGTGTTTGTTTAGTGCAGGGTGCTTAGTGTAGGGTACTTAGTGCTCTTCCTCGGTGGGAGGAGCGGGAAGTACACATTTCTATCATTCCTGAGTGGAAGTTTTACCTTGATTTTGAATGTAATTTATTGAATTGTATTTAAATTTGTGTAATTTAAATTTTAAGAATGCTCATGTTTCACAGGTGCCTTATACACATCCCTGGTTGTTTAGCCCTTAGTTCTCGTGAGCCAGGAGGCGCAGCTCTAGTGCACATGGCCAGTGCCGTCCACACCAAGCCCTGTCTTGGTGCCCCGGCCAGAGCCACGGCCCTGCTGGCAGATACCGCCTGTGGCCGCCTGGCCAGGAAGGGCTGCCCTGACTCCCTCGAGTCCTGATGGGGGGCTGCTGGACAGATGGGGGACGTGGCATCCCCGAGGGCTGGGGGCAGGGCTGGGGCAGGGTGGGGAGGGCCCGGGTACCTTTTCAGTTACCAGCCTCTCCTCTGCCAGCTCGGGAGCCAGAAAGAACGAGTCATAGGAACCTAAGAGAGAAACCCGACTGAGCTTTCCTCACCCCTGGCGAGCCGGTGCTGGACTCGGCCTGAGGGGAACCCACACACTCACCGTTGGCAGGGGGTGGCTGGAAGAGCACAGCCCCGTCCTCAGCAACCAGCACGGAGTCCAGACACAGGTAGGCTGTGGCAGAGCTTGGGTCAGGGCGGGTATGCATGCTGCCCCGCACTTGGGGCTGGCTGGGGGGAAGGAGCTGCGGAGCCTCAGTCAGGCCGGGCAGCCCCCCAGCCTCCCCATTGCACGGGCACGCACCTGCCAGTGCACGCACATGGCCTGACCCCAGCCCCCGGGGTCCTCGGAGCTGCCTCCTCCCAGCCCTCCCCGAGGGTAGCGCTGCCCCAGCCGACACAGTGGCTGCAGCGGCATATCTGCGGCTGAAAGGGAGCCAAGCGGCAGGGAGAACACGGTAACTTGAAGCCCCCGTGTCACAGGCCCCGTCCCGAGTCAGGGCCCACGGGGCAGCCACGGGCTCACGGTGGACGGACACTGGAGCCGGGTGTGTCTCCGATGGCCTCTCCCCCAGCCCTTTCAGATGCTGCCCTCATCACCCCCAGGACGTTTTTACGTCTCAGATGCACCGTCCGTCTGCCCTGATGTCTGGCAGGGCTAGGCTTTGACGGGGCAGACCCGTGCAATGCTGAAGATTCCCTCCCCACTCCAAAGCCAATTGCTGCCTCCCTGGGGACAATGTCACTGTGTTGAGAATGTGTGGGCGAGGGCCATGGCAAAGTCCCCGTTCCTCTTTACGGCACAGTCACCGGTTTCAAGGCCCACCTTGCAGGCATCTGTCCCCACACCTCCCTCGGTGCTGCAACCCAGCAGGCACCCACAAGGTGCTCCAGACGGGAGCCGCCTGTTCCGTTCACCGGAGACACTGTCCTGGCTGCCCCTGGGTCCCTTGGTTCAGGTGGGGGCCAGTTACGCATGGGACGGCAGGGGTGATGGGACAGTGGGGGGGCGTGGGACGGTGTGGGGGGTGGGACGGCGGGGGTGTGGGACGGCGGTGGGGGGTGGAACAGCAGTGGGGGGTGGGGACGGCGGGGGGGATGGGATGGTGCGTGCGTCACCTGGGTGCTCAGGGCGTGTCTGCAGTGCGCGGAGGCAGGCCAGGCACAGGGCCCACAGCTCGTACTCCCGGAAGGGCCGGCCCAGCTGGGACAGGAGGTCCTGCAGGGACACCCACTGTGGGCAGGAGAGCGGCGAGGTCAGTGTGGACACCCCTTGCCAGGGCCCGCCGCCTGGAGAGGCATGTCCGGGGGACAGGCCAGGGTGAGGCCCACTCAGCCCCTGAGTAGGCGCCCCCCACACCTGATAGAAGGGCTAGGGAGGTCCCTAAGTCAACTCCAGCGTGTGGGGGCCGTGGGGAGACTGGGGCCCTTGGCCCTGTGGGTGGGAACGTCCCACGGTGCAGCCACTGCAGACGACAGTGCTGCCGTTCCTTGAAAAGCTCAACATACACCTCCCAGGTGACAGCAGTTCCACACGGCCACATTCCCCGAGGAACCGAGGGCAGGGCTCACGCATACGTGCACACCCATGTTCCCAGCAGCACGGCTCGAAATAGCCAACACGGGGAGCACCCAGGCATCCACGGACGGACGCAGGGGCAGTGTGGATGGCGCTTGGCCTCGGGACAGGGATGGGGGGTTCTCACGCAGGCTCCCTGGGGAGGAACCGTGAGGACAGTGGGCTCAGTGAAGAGACCAGACACACAGCTCTGTCCATCCCACTCCCACGAGGCCCCTGGACAGAGCTCATGGAGGGGAAGGGTGGGACGGGGTGCAGGGGCCAGGCTCATGGAGGTGGAGGGCGGGACGGGGTGCAGGGGGCGGGCTCGGGGGTTGGGGTTTCGTGTGGGCTGATGGGGACAGCTGTGCAACAGCGTGAACACACCCAATGCCGCTGAGCTGTGCTCTTGCAGAGGGTTGAAGTGGTGGCTTTTGTTCGGTGCATTTTCTCACATACACACACACCGTGACACCAGGCATGCGTTCAGCCTGGGAGGCCACTCTCCACTCCAAGGCCTCACGGACAGCTGGGACCAAAGTCCACCCTCCAACAGGTGGCTCGGCCACCCTGTGCCTCCGTGTGCCCTTCGGGAAGGTAGGCTGTTGTGCGTGGGAAGGCGTGCCGCCAGGGAGAGTGGTGGAGGGCGACGGGGCACTGCGCCCTTGTCCTTCAGATCAACGAGGCCTGGTGGCTTGAGGGCACCCCCGTCCCCGGGCCAGGCGCTGCCTGGCAGATGGACTTGCATGCAGGCCACTGACTTCAGGTGACCTTGCCCGGAGGAGCTCACGGGGACACAGCTGGGGGTGGCTCACTGAGGAGCCAAGGAGGGCAAAATGCACTTGGCCAGGCCTTGGCCCAAGCGTCTTCGGCTGGACAGAGGGGCCGACGGACCAGGCCCCCCAGAACACTGGCTCCAACAGCATCCTCCATCCCTCGTGAGGAGCAGCTGACCAGGGGCAGCACTGGGCTGGGGAGGCCCCATCCTGTGTGGAGGCCACGTCCGGGCAGCCGCACCAGATCCCAGCGTCCCCGCGGAGGCAGCGGAGGTGGCCCAGCACCGACACCACCAAGCCCCACAGATGAGCAAGCTCAACCCACAGCTTTGGTTTCTAACTTTTAAACCGTCAGAATAGGAAGATGAGGAGGGCTGTGAGCATCAGGACTGGGGACACGGAGCCCCTGAAATGACATCACGGAGCCGGGGCTGCTGGCCTTGCTTCCCGGAAGAAAATTAATCCCTCGGGACGGCCGTGCGGGGCTGTGTGAGGAGCCGGGCAGGGCTGAGGAGGCGGCTGCTTTCTGGGTCATCCAGAGGCAAACGTCTACCCGAGAGGCCACGCCTGGGTGACAGCATCCCCAGCCGCAGCCACAGCTTCCTTCAGAAACGGGGCAGCTCAATGAAAATGTCTTTAATTATGGAGCGAGGGTGAAGGTTAATTCTCTGAGTTAAACAAAGCGTTTGCATCTGTGGAGAGGCCCGGCCCCGGACTCACTGACCGCCGACCCCTCCACCCACACACAAGACCCAGGCACCCACCTGCTCCGCGGCTGCACTTTCCAGCTGCCTAGCTCCTTCTGGAATTCTCTCATCGTCCCTGGGAGTCTGGGCTTCACCGCTAGCATCTCGAGGGTCTGCAGGGGCCTCTGCTGGCCCCTGGCTGGGGTGTGAAGTCTCGGGCTGTCCTGGACTGCCGGGCACCCCAGGGCCCCTGTCCGTGCTGCGGCCTGCACAGGGAACCCGTCCCAGCTGGTGTTCCGGCTCCTGCTCCGGCCACAGCCTGCATTTGGGCTGAGCCTGGAAGCTAGAAAGGCCATTTTTCCTGTCCAGAAAGGCCTTCCTGGGGTCCGGAGAGAATAATTCCGATATGGGCAGCTGGCTTTTCCCGCGGGTCAGCGGCAGGCAGAGGGTGGCCTCGGGGCTGTCGGACAGCAGCCTAGGGAACGTCTGCACCTTCCGCAGGCGGCTTCTCCTGAGGGCGTCTCTGTCCAGCTCCCCGAGGGTGCGCTCGGCATCCAGGACGAGGCCGGCCAGCCCCTCCCGGCTGTGGCTCTCGCCATTTCTCACCGGGGTGGACAGCAGAGCCTTGGTTGGGGAGGCTCTGGGGCCCCGGCTCGTCTCAGACTCCGGGCCTTCGGGGGTCGGCAGAACCTCCGGGTCAGTGCTGGGGTCCCCGGGCGGCCTCCTGGGCCCAGCGTTTCCTGGGGCAGGTCTCTCCCGCCAGCTGCTCTCGCTGACATCTGGGCACAAGCAAGATGTGGTCACGGCTGGGTGCCCCTCCCGCCCCTCCCCTCTCCTCCCGCCCCTCCCCTCTCCTCCCACCCCTCCCCTCTCCTCCCACCCCTCCCCTCCCACCTCTCCCCTCCCCTCCCCTCTCCTCCCCTCCCACGATCACAGACCCCAACCCAGGCTCTCACAGGAGGGGGCTCCCGCCTTCCTCTCCTGCCCCACTCATCAGGTCATCCTGGCTAATTAGAGGCTGGGGCTGCCTCTCCCCCAGGCCAGGCGGGGCTTCCCTCTGGGGCTTCCTATGGGAGCCTGGACCTAATTATCTCATCCAAAGGCACGTCGTTTTCCTCGAGGATTACACAGGTGAGTCCCCACAGGAAGAACCTGGATGATGTGGCTACGGCCGTCAGCGGCCGCCTCCCACACACGGCGTTGATCTCTCTCTGCTGTGTGTGGCTCTGTTCTGCCTACTTCACACTGCACACACTGCCTACTCCACACTGCACACACTGCCTACTCTACACTGCACACACTGCCTATTCCACACTGCACACACTGCCTACTCCACACTGCACACACTGCCTACTCCACACTGTACACACTGCCTACTCCACACTGTACACACTGCCTACTCCACACTGCACACACTGCCTACTCCACACTGTACACACTGCCTACTCTACACTGCACACACTGCCTATTCCACACTGCACACACTGCCTACTCTACACTGCACACACTGCCTATTCCACACTGCACACACTGCCTACTCCACACTGCACACACTGCCTACTCCACACTGCACACACTGCCTACTCCACACTGCGCCCCTCCCGCAGCAGCACAAACCCTGAGCTGCAAACGTGCTCATTCAGCAGGGAGGGCCCTGCCGGCCACCATGAGACTCCTCGTGGCCGTGCCCTGGCTACCGTCCTGAGGCCCCACGGGGCTCCGTGCTGCAGGTAGCGATGCCAATGCAGACACGGCCTCTGTTCAAAGGCGGCCTGAGAGACACCAGAATATGCGTGAGCCACAAACGCCCCAGATGCTGCAGCTGCAGCTCTGTAACGCACCCACCTGGCGCTCCTGGTGGGGGCAGGTGAAATTCAGTTGTGAAACATCAACCCATCCGTTTATTGAAATGCCCATGAGACTAACACCCAGATGCCTGGCACCAATGCCACACCGGCACCAATGCCACACTGGCACCAATGCCACAGACTTCTGAAGCTGAGCCTGAGTCACCTCTGCCTGCGTGGGTGCCTGCAAGGCTGGCACAGGCAACATGATGCACATGAGAGTGTGGAAATGGGTGTGTGCATAGGACCAGCATGTTTGCGTGTCTGACCACGTGTGAGGCAGTGGACGTGGTAGGCATGAGAGCGGGTGTGTAATGTGTGCATTCTGGTGTGGGCGTGTGCAGTGTGAACAGGCATGCCTGAATTTTCATGTGTGTGACTGTGAGCAAGAGTGAATATGTGTGTACGAGGCACATGTGATCTATTTGAACACTCGTGTGTGACTGTCAGTGTGTGAATACGTGAGTTTGTGTGATCTCTGAATGTGTGAGTGGGTGTGTGCGTGTGTGCGTGTGTGTGCGCAGCATGTGTGTGTGCATGGGTGTGTTGCAGCGTGTGTGCAGCACATGTGCATAGGTGTGTGTGCATGGGTTGTGCAGTGTGTGCATGGGTGTGTGTGCAGCGTGTGTGTGCATGGGTGTGTGTAACGTGTGTGTGCAGTGTGTGCGCATGGGTGTGTGTGCATGGGTGTGTGCAGCATGGGTGTGCATGTGCATAGGTGTGTGTGTGCATAGGTGTGTGTGCAGTGTGTGTGCATGGGTGTGTGTGGCATGTGTGTGCATGGGTGTGTGTGCAGTATGGGTGTGTGTGCAGTGTGTGTGTGTGCATGGGTGTGTTTGCAGCATGTGCACGTGTGCATACATGGCACACAGGTATATGTGCATGAGGATGCACGTGTGTGGGTTCAAGAACTCACCCTGCAGCGCTCCGAAGGACTCGATGGAGAGGACCCTCCTCCCCACAGCAGAGAGGCTCCGGCACACGCGACAGGAGGATGTGAGCTGCAGCTTCTCTTCACACAGCGCGATGATGCTCTGGGGACGGGAACACCTCAGACAGGAAGGCTCGGAGGAGGGGCCATCTCCCGCAGCCACCCACCCGACACGGCCGGATCCTTTGAAGGTGACCTGGGGACAGTCCCCAGAGCCTGCCTGCGCCTGCCTTGCCCATTTTCTAGTATGAAAAGGCAGCACATCTGGGTTGCAGAGAACCAGGAGGCTTGTCACAAGCAAAACCTTTCATAACAAAAATGGACAATAAAAAACCAAGTCCTCCTTTAAGCAAAATGCCATGCCATGAGACTGTGGTTGCGGAACCCAGGTGAGGCTGCTGGGCGTGGGTGTGGTGAGCACACGGTGTCCAGGCCTGTGGGGTCAGGGTCACAGCCTGGGGTGGCCCAGGGCAGCCTCGCTTACCTCAAGGTCCGGCCGGTCCCCGGGGTCCTCCGCCTGCATCCGGCTCAGCAGCGCCTCGAGGTCTTGGCTCAGCCTGGGTTCCAGTGTGGGCTCTGCCACGTACTCGAGGGCGGCCTTCAGCGTGGCCCCCAGAGAGTAGATGTGCGCCTGTGGGCACGACAGGCTGTCAGCTCCAGAGTCTCTGCGTGTGCGCCACCCCGACCGCGGCCAGCACTTCTCCGGGCCAGGAGCTCAAGTTTCAGGAATCGTGAGATTCCCCTGAGGGGAAGCAGCACCCGTGCCCACGCTGCCCACACCCTTGCCGCCCGCGCCCACGCCGCTGGCACCCTCGCCGCCCGCGCCCACGCTGCTCACACCCATACCGCCCACACTTTTGCCGCCCCTGCCGCCACCCACGTCCACACTGCCCGTGCCCACGCCGCCCACACCCTCCTCACTTGTACCCACGCCGCCCATGCTGCTCGCACCCATGCCACCCATGCCCTTGCCGCCTGTGCCCACGCCGCCTGTGCCCACACCGCCTGTGCCCACACCGCCTGTGCCCACACCGCCTGTGCCCACACCGTCCGTGCCCACATTGCTCGCACCCACGCCACCCATGCCCTTGCCGCCTGCGCCCATGCCACCCACGCCCACACCACCTGCGCCCACACTGCCCGCGCCCTCGCCGCCCGCGCAGTTGGGCCTAGATCTGTGCTGGCCATGGCCCCGCCCCTCTGCGCTTTCTGGAGGGACACAGACTCCTCTGGCCTTTCAGTGTTTAGGTCAAAAACTTCAAAACCTCAAAAACTGGATTTCAGTAGAAGGAAAGATGGGTTTTTCTTTTTGTTTGAGAGTCTGGGTTTTCCTCCCTTGCCTGAGAGGGTGGGCTCTGCACGAGGTCCACCCTGGACACGGCCGCACTTCAGGCCTGGACACTTCTTCCCAGGACGGCTGCCTGTGGGGCTTCACCTTTCCCACAAGAGGAAGCAGAACGCAGAGCGGCTCAGGAACCTGCCTGGGGCCACATCGCAGGTCACACAGCTCATGTGTGGAGCCAGGACCTGACCCAGGGCCTGCTCTGCCCCCGCACCTGTGCTCCCAAGTGTCCACTCTAGTCCAGGCTGGCTGAGTGGACACGCACCTGCATCCTGGGCTGGCTGAGTGGACATGCACCTGCGTCCTGGGCTGGCTGAGTGGACGCGCATCCGTGTCCTGGGCTGCCCTGGCCCCAGGCCTCTCCCTGGGTGGTCTCAAGATATCGTCACAGAACCCTGAGACCCACCTCCCCAGTCCGTCGTGAGGTCCAAGGTGACCAGCGGAGCATCCAGTCTTCACAGAAAGCCCTGCATCCCGCGGCCCCAGGCTAGCTGGTCATCCTGGCCGACTCCCCCTCTCTGTCAGGGTCTGTCTCAGGGTCAGGCTGCAGGGACCCAGCCAGATCCCAGGGCCCCTGACTCCACCTGAGCCTGGCTCCAACCACTATCACCAAGCTCATCCAATTCTGCCTCAAACTCCTTTTTCTCCTGAGATGTCTTATTTGAACAAGACAGAAAGTGTCACAGAGAAGAAACCAGGTGCACCCAGCACCCCACACTTTCTTCTCTGGGGCATAAACTGCCTCGCAGGTGGTTCCACTTCCACAGTCTGGTGTGTGTGTGTGTGTGTGTGTGTGTGGACGGTCCTGGGGCTTCCTGGTCTGGACACGGGCACACATGCAGACACATACGTGCACACCCAGCACACACAGACAGCTGGACACGCATCTCTTCTCTCTCCCCAGCTGCACTCTGCCTGCATCCTGGCTTTTTCATGGCGTGAATCTCCTTCCCGGTCAGGAACCCCGGCTGACCTTCTCTGTCCCATGCCTGGCCCTGCCTCCCCCGCAGGCTGGTTTCTGCTTCTCCTCTACCCTCTCCCTCCTGCACCCTGCCTGGTGCCCTGGGGCAGCCCACCTGGCACACCAGCCAGGCCCCCGGCCGCTGGCCATCCCCACAGACTCCCTGCTGTGCACGCACCTCTGGTAGGGGACCTGGCACCTCCCTGTCCCCTCACGGCTCGCCTGGCACCGGCCCCAGCCACTGTCTCTGACTTTGCACCTTGGGCCAGGAGCCCCGATAGCTGCTCTGCTGCCAACTCCTGGGGTCTCCTGTGCCATCCGGGGGGGACCTGCCAGCCTCTCGTGCCTGGGCCAGGGTCCGCCTCCCTGGGGGACCTGTGACATGCATGTTTGGGCACACAGGGTCCGTCCCCTCCGCTCTGATGCTGCTGTGGGTGCTTCCCATGTTCTGCTGTCATGACCGACACTTCCCTGGGTGCCCCATGTGGCATCTGTGGGTGCCCCGTGTGGCGTCAGTGGGTGCCCCATGTGGCGTCAGTGGGTGCCCCGTGTGGCGTCTGTGGGTGCCGCGTGTGACGTCAGTGGGTGCCCCATGTGGCATCTGTGCAGCCATGTCAGGTGTGCAAAGCCTCAATTCCAAGAAGGGGGATGCTGGGTCCCAGGTCACCTCCACTTACAATTCTGACAGCTGCGACAAACCCTCCTGATAAATGACCGTCCGGTTTACTCACCAGCCGCAGCCAGTCTCTGCGGCTTTGCCAATCTGTTAGAGTAAACTCACTCGTCGAGTTAATTTGCATTTTTGTAATTATGAATGAGACCAAGCATCTGTTCGTATCTACTCGCAGTTTTAATTTTTCCTCTAAATCCCCATGCAAGGACTATGCTTTCTCCGCTGAGGTAGGACTGCCGAGCGCCCCTGCGCATCAGGGCTCGCCTCAGCCTGGGCGCCGCACACACGCTTGCTGTGTGTGTTGCCAGCTTCTAACGTTGTGCGTGTGTCTTCTCACATCCAAGAGCTCTAAGTGCCCATGTGTGGAATCTGACCTGTTTATCTTCAGCAGCTTTGCAGGAGGATGTTCTCCACCCCGAGGCTACAGGGACAGCTTTCCTTTGTTTCTGCTAATATTTTTATAATTTTAAGATATCCAGACCTAATCTGTTTGAAGCCTCACTCTCTGGGGTGTGAACTTGGAGGGCACCCTCCGGCTGGCACCATAAGGAAGGGCTCCTCCTGCCCCTGAGACGCTATCCTTGCAGCCGCGGAGCCTCACATCTCCAGGTCTCTGCATGGCCGCGGGCGAGGGGCCCCTTGGAGCCCAGAGGACGCAGTCGGCCCTCGAGGTGCAGAGCCATACGGGGCCTGCCTTGCACCGATGCAGGGAGCTCAGCATTTCTGCCTTCTGGAAGCTTCTGACCTGAAGGATGGTGCACCCTGAAGGAGGGAAACACAACTGTGTGCTGCCCGCGGGGGTCAGGAGACAGCGATACATGGAGAAACAGATTTCTGTGAGAAACTGTGCTGGAATCAGAAGCTGCAGTATTTGAGCCACCGGCGAAGAGCAGCCGTTTGAGTGAGTTCCCTGGGGGTCATGTTGCCAGGGAAGGCTCCTCTCAGGAAACAAGGACCTCGGAGGCCCCAGGGCAGCAGGACGAGGCTGGACCACGGGCAGGCGTCTGGCAGAGGAAGGGAGGGTGGGGCCCACTCTCCAAGCCTGTGGGCCAGAAAACCTGGGACGCTGTCCTGGGAGCACCGAGTGGCCCTGCCTGGCTGGGCTTGGCCGTCAGCGGAGGGAACAGGCTGGAGGGAGGCCGATCAGGCATGAAATGATCACACCTTAGGCCACAGGGCGACGGGGAGCCGGGTCGAGGAGGTGGACGTTGCAGCTTCCTGCTCCGGGCCTCTCTGTGGTCCAAAGCCTGCAGCTCCCACGGCGCCTGCGATCGCGATGGGCATCCCGGTAGCTCTCGCCTCGAGTGGGGACAGGGCCTGGCCACGCACGTGAAGTGGACGTGAAAACTTCCCCACGAGATGCGATTCCTGAGCAAACGCGGTCAAGCCAAGTGGTTTTCAGTTCAACACTGGTTGAAGTTTTTCTCCAAACTGAAAAGGCCACCTCTCTAGGGGGTAGGAAGCGGGTTACACTCTCCCGAGTCTCGCTTCAGGAAGCCCCTCCTCTGCTCTGCTGGAGATTCTTGGATCAGGGTCCAGGTCAGCCCTGGGAGGCTCTTCGTGGCCCTGGGAAGCAATTCCAGTGGACTTGAGGTGACTGGTTCAAAGAAGAATTGCGGCTGCAGCACTCAGCGTGGTGGGTCCACCACAGCCCGGGCCTCAGGAGGACACTGTGAACACGCACCTGGGGGCTCCCAGGACCGCCTGGGCCCAGACAGGGCCTCACTGGCCAGGGCTCTGCAGACAAATGGTTGATCAGATTTCGGGGCAGGAACCCCATAGAAGGGGCTGGAGCATCCTGCCACACCAGGAAGTGGGTCAGAGCCCAGCAGAGCTGCGTCCCAAGGACCGGGGTGCCTTCTGAGCTTCAGGTGGAATCAGCAGAACAGACAAAATCCCATCAAAGACGTGCGAATCTTAAATTCATAAGATCATAAAACCAAGCTCACTGGTCCACGTTGGAGGACGCTGGATGCACTCACTGCTTTGAAAACAGGTGGATGAAGAGAAGGAGTCGAGCCTCCCACCTCTCTGTCCACAGGGACTGTCTGCTGCGGCTGCCCAGCGTCGATGAGGGCGGCTCTCCTGAGAGCGGGAGCCCTGCTCACGAACCAAGGTGAGGACTACTGTGGCGGCTCGCAGGATTCATGGTGGCTGCTGACGGCTGTCAGGGAGCAGACACCACAGGTCCCCGGTGGGCCCTGGTAGGAACCTGAGTCCTACGGCACCCCTGACTGTCCTGGGCCTGGCCTTAGGGACAAACCACCAGGTTTTCAACAAAAACCACAAGGAAGAAAGAGAGTCGGGGGTGTGGGGTCATGAGAGACTCAGGAGGCACAGAGGCAGCCAGGTGTGTGGATCTCACTCAGATCGCATGGGGAGATGGCTGGAAGAGCAAGATTCGGGCAGCAGAGGGGGGACCGGAACCCTCAGTCCATACCCACCCAGGCTGGGAGTGGCTTGAACGTTTCCGAGCGTGGCCGAGGCTCTGTGGTTACGTGTTAAGAGGGGCCTGATCTTTTCGGGTAAATCCGAGGCTGGGTGGAAAGCCTATTCCTTGAAACTTGCTGTAGTTTCGCTAATGTAGCTTCGCATATGCTGTTCTTACTCTCTTTTCTGTATGTTTAAAATGTTTTGTCATGAACATTAAAAAATAAAAAGCACTATCCACTGAAAGCCTTGTCCTCACCCAAAGACTGAGGATCAATCCAGTGCTGCAGACATGCACCATGCTACACATGTGTGCCTGTGACATGCAACACGCTACATGCATGCACACACACCACATACATACACATGCCACACTGCACACACATGCATGCTACACACAGGATACACTCGTGTGCCCGTGACACATAGACTACATGCATGCACACACACCACACACATGCACGCTACACACTGCACACACACCAAACTGCACACACATGCACGCTACACACACCATGCTACACACGTGTGCCCATGACACATACCACATGCATGCACACACCACATACATGCACACCACACTGCACACACATGCACGCTACACACATACATCATGCTACACGTGTCCGTGACATAACACACTACATGCTTGCACACACACACTGCACACACATGCACACTACACACACACCATGCTACACACGTGCCCATGACAACACACTACATGCATGCACGCACACATTACACCACAAACATGCACACACCATAGTTCATACACAGGCATGCTACACACACCATACCACACACATGTATGCACACCATGCAACACTCATGTGGCCACAACACACCATACCACATGCATGGACACACACATTACACACATGTGCCCATGATATACACACCACATGCATGTACACATCATGCAACACACATGCTCACAACACACTATGTGCATGCACATGCATTATGCACATGTGCCCGATACACACACCACATGCATGTACACATGCAACACACGTGCTCATGACACACACTATGTGCATGCACACACATTACACACATGACCATGACACACACCATACTACATGCATGCACACATGGCATACATGTACAAGATGCATACCACATTACATTCATGCACACCATCATACACGTGTGCTTGAAACACACCACACACCATACTGCATACGTGTGCACAACCCACAGACATAGCATGCCATGCATGTACACACGGGCATGACACCACGCTACATACATGTACACACTACATAGATGCACACATATGCCAGACCACATACATGTGCACACAAAACACACTATATCATATTGCATGCATATGCACACACCATGCACACACACACTATACTACATACACGTGCACATGACACACTATACTGTATACATGTGCACAGAGACACAGACACACAATTGGACATGGACATGGATACATTCTCTGCCAGGCAGCAGCTGCATGGGTCCCCAGCAGAAGAGGGTGAGCAGAGGTTGGTGCACAGCTGGGTGATCTGCTGTGGGCTGGGTCAGCTGCCATGCAGGGCAGCAGGGAACGCAGACTCAGATGGCAGAGGCTGCATCTGAATTCTGGCCCTGCCATGGCCTGACCAGGCCAGCTAGGGCACGTCTGCACATTTCCGAGCTGTGCTCAGCTTGACTGTGGACAGTGTTCCTGCAGAGTGGGCAGCAGCATTCTCGGCTGTGGCCAATGGCTTGAGCACAATAACCCCAGATGGCACCTCCCTCAGCCTAGATGCAGGGGTGCTGAGCAGCACCAAGCACAGCCCCGGTCTCCAGGGGATCTAATACCTGAGGACCCAGAGCACATTAGCAAAACTACAGCAAGTTTCAAGGAACTGGAGTGGGGCCAGCCTCTGTGGGCTATGGGTCAGGGAGGATTCCATGGAGATGTGAGTGAAGCTGTGAGAAGACAAGAGAGGACACTCCAGGTCAAAGGAGCAACCTGGGCAAAGATGTGGAGGCAAAAGTATGGACCAGAGGTTTGAAAACCCGGCCGAGCATCCAGATGGCCAGGGCCCACTGCACATATGCCTACCAGGCACTGCACACACAGAGGGCAGGAGACCAGCAACAACCCTCCTGGGATCATGCTCTCAACAGTGATTCCCACAGCCTTGAGAATAGAACTTATCTCCATACCACACGGAAAGCCAGGGTATTCATTCCTTCCCTCCATTCCCCTTTGTTTCCATCCAGGCACCTGGAACCCATCCGTCCACCCATCCATCCACTTATCCATCCATCTGCCCATCCCCCATCCACCATGCATCCATCCGCCTATGTATCCATCCACCCATCTAACTACATATCCACCCATCTATCAACCCATCCTCCACACATCCACCCACCCATCTATCCTCCATCAATCCACCCACCCATGATCCATCCACAAATCCACCCATACATCTGCCTGTTCATACACCTATCAATCCATGTATCTACCCATCCACCCATCCATCCATCCACCTATCCACTCACCCACCCATCTATCTATCCATTCATCCATCCATCCATCCACCCATCCATTCACCCACCCATCCATCCATGCATTCACCCACCCATCCATCCATCCATCCACCCATCCATTCACCCACCCATCCATCCATGCATTCACCCACCCATCCATCCATCCATCCACCCATCCATTCACCCACCCATCCATCCACTTAACTGCCCATCCACACGTCCACTCACCCATCCACCCAGCCAGCCATCTACATATTCACCCATCTACCTACCCATCCATCAGCCCATCCTCCACCCGTCCATCCTCTACTAATCCATACACTCATCCGTCCATTCACCCATCCATCCACACATCCATCCCTATCCGACTGTTCATCCACCCATCCACCCACCTACCCATCCTCCACCCATCTATCCACCCATCAATTCATACACTCATCAATCCATCTGCCTGTTCATCCACCCATCCATCCATCCATCCATCTACCCATCCATTTACTCACCCATGCATCTACTCATCTATCCTCCACCCAACCATCCACCCACCCATCCATGTGCCTGTTCATCTACCCATCTATCTACTTATCCACCCATCCACCTGTTCATCTACCATCCACCCACCCATCCATCCACTCATCCATTCATCTACCCATCCACCCACTCACCCATTCATCCACCCATCCATCCTCCACACATACAACCACCCACCCACCCATCCATCCACTTATCTATCCAACCACATGTCCATCTACCTATTCACCCACCCACCCATCCAGCCACCCATCCATCCACATATCCACCATCCACCCATCTATCCACCCACCCATCCATCCATTTGTTCATCCACCCATCCATCCACATATCCACCATGCACCCATCCACCCACTCATCCATCCACATATCCACCATCTACCTTTTCATCCACCCATCCACCCACCATCCATCCACCCATCCATCCACATATCCACCATCCATCTATCCATCCACCCATCCACCCACCCATCCATTTACCCATCCATCCACATATCTACCTTTCCACCCATCTTTCCACCCACCCATCCATTCACATATCCACCATCCACCCATCCACCCACTCATCCATCCACATATCCACCACCTACCTGTTCATAATCCCATCCACCCACCCATCCACACATCCACCTATCCATTCACATATTAACCATCCATCTATCCATCCACCCATGCATCCACCTAACCATCCATCTGTTCATCCACGCATCCATCCACATATCCACCATCCACCCATCCGCCCATTCGTCCATCCACATACCCACCATCTACTTGTTCATCCACCCATCATCCATCCACCCATCCATCCACATATTAACCATCTATCTGTCCATCCACCTATCTACCCACCCATCCATCCACATATCCACCATCATCTGTCCATTCACCCATCCACCTGCCCATCCACCCACCTATCCACCTATCCATCCACCTGGCCATCCACTCATCCATCCCTTCATTCATCCATCATCAATAATCTATGCTCCAACCATCAATCCATTTATTTAGAAAATAACTCAGCAAATAACCTTCTGGTTAGTTATTGGTTGACACTGCCTGATACACACCCGGTGGTATCAGCAACCTTCCCACTCACCGCCCTTCCTTCTGTGTTGGAAGTTCCCCATCTTCACCGCCCTTCCTTCCGTGTTGGAAGTTCCCCATCTTCACCGCCCTTCCTTCCGTGTTGGAAGTTCCCCATCTTCACCGCCCTTCCTTCCGTGTTGCAAGTTCCCCATCTTCATTCAGTGAACCCTACTCAACCTCAGGTCCCAGTTGAAACTCCACCTTCTCACAGTGGCCTCTGGAGGCCTCTGATGCAAACAAGAGCCTTGGGGCCCCATTCTCATGTCCCAGCATTATTGGATCCCCAGCCTGTGGGTCTCACATCAAGTCTGTCACTTGTGTAGACCAGAACCAGCAAGAGGCAGGACCCCACTCACCCTGCTGTCTGTGAGCCCAGACGCTTGCTAAGCCTGCATGTCGTGGATGAATGCCAAGCAAACAGGCCAGCGATGGGGGAGGGGTCGGAGTCTTCCAGGCCGGGCCACTGGAGCCCATTGGTGCTCAGGGCAGCGGGGTGGAGAGGGGAGCCTCATGGGGTGGAGGCTGGAGAAGTTAAGAAGAGAATGAAAATGACACATAAAAGCCCTAGTGTGTTTGGAAGTTTAGAGACGACTGTTGGGAATAAATGCTTTCCATGGCCACACGGAATAAATCTCACACCCGTGATGCTGGGTGGAGGACTAGCCACCAAAGGCAAGCGCTGCAGGAGCCCACCCACAGGAGGCACAAAAACAGGAAAACCGCAACCTCTGCTCTGCGCTGTCCAGACAGTGACCCGGGGAACAGGCAGGAGCTGCTGCCATCCATCTGGGTGCTGCTTACACAGATGTTCGGTGTGAAAATCCTTCAAGTTGTATGTTTGTGATATCTGCATTTTTCTGCATGTATATCTCAATAAAAAGTAAGAAAAAACCAATCTGTTCACATTGTTAAAATAACTCAGGGGCTAAAGAAGAAATCCCAGTGGAAATAAAAAAAAAAATTAGAAGGAAATGATCATGCAAACATTATGTGGCAAACTCATAGGCTGCAACAAAACCTACAGGTTGAGGAACATTCATAGCCTTAAGTACTCTTACTGATATTGGAAAGGAAGAAAAGCTGAAAGCCAATGACCTAAGTGTCCAGCTCGAGTCAGAAAAGGGATGGATCCTAAACTCAGAACAAGGAGGAAAAGAGAGAATGAGAAACAAGAATCAATGGAAAAGAAAACACAGACAGGCCAGGAGAGCAGACGGGACACAGAGGAGGCTCTTTGGAAAAATGAACGAACTAAACCCCTAGTGAGACTGGGAAGAGAAAGCACAAATTAACTGTCCAATCAGAGAATTGGGGTGACCTGCAGCTAATGCAGCGCCTGAAGAGGAGAGCACCTGCAGCTGAAGGCCAGAGATTTCACAAACATAAAAAGCAGACCCACAGCTGACTCAGTAAGAAACACCAGAGATCAGTCCTATAACTATTTTTTTAAGAAGTGGCGTCTCACTCTGCTGCTCAGGCTGGAGTGCAGTGGGGTAATCATGGCTCACTGCAGCCTGGAACTCCTGGGCCCACGCAGTCCTCCCGCCTCAGCCTCCTGAGCGGCTGGGGCTACAGGTACATGCCACCATGCCCGGCTAATTTTTAAAATGTTGTGTAGAGACAGGGTCTCAGTTTGTTGCCTAGGCTGGTCTCTAACTCTGGTCTTCAAGTGATCCTCCTGACTCGGCCTCCCCAAATCTCCCTGTGCTGGGATTATAGGGGTGAGCCACTGTGCCCAGCCAGTCCTGTAGCTATTAAAAACTGAGCAGTAGTTAAAAATCTTTCCTAAAGAAAACAGGTGGCCCTGTAAGTGAGTTTTACCAGACTTTCAAGGAACAGATCATCCCATTCTTAAATAAACAGGACAAAGAAAGGGAGGGGGTGCTGCTTATACAGGATTAGAACAATCCTGAGGCCGGTGAAAACATCAACAAAATGGGAAATCGCCAGTCCACTCCAATATGCGCAACAATCTGAAGCAAGCGTTAGTAAATCCAATTAAACAGTGTATACAAAAGGCAAGACACTTGCCCAATTTAGGTTTTTCTATGTAAGAAAGGATGATTTAATATAAGAAAATAAAGATGTGAATATGAAAATCTTAAGAAAAAATTAAAGGATCATGTCAAAGGATGCAGAAGAAACATCTTGTAAAATTGACACACACATTCACGATCAAACTCTGCATCAAGGGGGACTCGCGGTGGAGGCGGGCGCCATTCTGGATGAGGAAGGTGAAAAGCGCTCTTTTTAGAATGGGGGATGGGGGGAGTGGTCAGTTTCTCCCTGAGATGGGACAGTGCCCAGCCTCACACTGCTTCTGTTCCAAGACTCATTGCTGTTCCCTGCTGCATCAAGTAAGAGAAGGAAGGAAAACCTGTAGCAGGACCATCGGATGGGAGGAACCAACACTTGTTTCTTTGTCAGTGATTGATCAGTTAAATAGGAAAACTAAAAGAATCTGTAAGTTATTAGAAATATTAAAAAAACTTTAGCAAGATGGCTGGATATAAAATAAAGATACTAAAGTGAATTGTGGCCAGACACAGTGGCTCATGCCTGTAATCCCAGCACTTTGGGAGGCCAAGGTAAGAAAATCACTTGAGCCCAGGAGTTCAAGACCAGCCTGGGCAACCTAACAATACCCTGCCTCTACAAAAATAAAAATAAAAACATTAGCTGGGTGTGGTGGCGTGTGCCTACAGTCTCAGCTACTTAGGAAGCTGACGTGGGAGGATTGCTTGAACTCAGAAATTTGGGGCTGCAGTGAGCTATGCCACTGTGCTGCACCCTGTCTCGAAAGAAAAAAAAGTGCATTGCATTTCTGTAGACTAGCAACAAACAAACAGAAAAATGTAATTAAAAAGAGGACAATACAATTGGCCGGGGCCAGTGGCTCATGCCTTTATCCCCAGCACTTTGGGAGGCCAAGGGGAGAGGATCACTTGAAGGCAGGAGTTCAAGACCAGCCTGGGCAACAGAGTGAGACCCCATCTCTATAAAAATTTTAAAAAATTAGCTGGACATGGTGGTGCACACTTGCAGCCCCACCTACTTGGGAGGCTGAGGTGGGAGGATCACTTGAGCCCAGGAGGTGGAGGCTGCAGTGAGCCGTGATTGCTCCAATGCACTCTAGCCTGGGTGACAGAGTGAGACCCTGCCTCAAAACCAAAACAAAACAAAAAGAGGACAATGAATTTTAGAATAGAATCAAAAAACATCACATTCCTGAGGAAAATCTAATAAACTATATCTAAGACACCTACAGCAAAACTTTACAACGTTAAAGTAACTTCAGGTGGATCAAATGTGAAACAAAACTTAAAACTCTTCGTAGAAAATATCAGTGACTATCGGCTCAACCTTGAAATGGGAAAGGTTTCTTGTGAAGGTTAGACCCTAACAGTAGAAGAAGCATTAAAACATTTGATTATATTAAAATCGAGCAACTACTTTTCAGCAGAGGACACCGTCGGCCAGCTTTTCTCTGAGTGTGGCTCAAGAGGTTAAACTCTTCCTGTAATGATGCCGAGACGGCATTTGCCTTGGTCATCCCATTCCCTCATGAGCGGACAGTGGAGTTAGGGTTAGGGCTGGGGTTGGGCTTGGGGTTGGGGCTGGGGCCACGTGATGTGATATCACAGCCGACTGAATGCAGAAGCTGCCATGAAAATCCAGGCGTTTTCCACAACCCAGACGTGAAAGATTTACAAATATGCAACCCAATGCCACTCTTCTCACTAATTTTGGAAAGAAAAATATTCTTCATAAAAATGTTATGTATGTTAACATGCAATGGGTATTGTGATTTTTAAATGAATTAATAGATAACTTAAAATGTCTTGGTTTTAATTTATATCATCATAAACATGAAGAGACAGAACGCACATAAGCAAACGCTCTTAGGGGCAGACAATACTTTTTAGGGTTATAAAGCTTCACTGGAGAGGCACTCCTCACCCACATCCCCTATGACGCAGGAAGGAGATGCAGCGCGGTGCTGTCCTGTGTGTGAGACCCCAGGCCCCTGCCACGCCTGTGTCCTGCAGGAGCCAGACCCCAGGCCAGACCCCAGACCCCAGGCCAGACCCCAGATCCCAGGCCCCTGCCACGTCCACGTCCTGCAGGAGCCAGCGATCCTCACACCGTGTTCTCGGGCCTGCAGTTGGGGGAGTTCCAGGAACAGATGTACGTCCACCTGCCCCACGAGCCACACTTCCTCCTGGGCATGCACCCTAGAGAAACCTCGCCAAGATGTGTTCTTGGTGTACACACCAGGAAACACCTGCGCACCCCTCAGTCCCCTCACAAGCGGGGATTTAAATGTAGCGTTTCACCCGACGGGATAACACACAGCAGGTGCCACATTATGGCCACACAGTGCTCTGCAGATGAAGTTTAACAAGAAATACATAAAAGGAAGTCCTGGAAGATCACAGATGGCCTCAAGTCTTTTCAGAAAGTTAAAAATGGCCCCGAGGAAACAACAGGACTTGGAGGAACGTGCAACGCGGGATAAAAATGAAGGAATGCGAGTCCCACGGGGGAACCACGGAGTAGGGGGACCGGGCACGGCCTGGGCTGAGGTCATGTCCAGGTCTGAGCTGGATTATGACATGACTAGGAACGCAAGCACAAAACTAAAACTCCCTCATGTGCACCAGGGATCACAGCCACCAGGCCACGTGCCACGTCACAGCCACCAGGCCATGCGCTGCGTTCACAGCCACAGGCCACAGCCACATCCCAGCCACCAGGCCACACACCATGTCCCGGCCACCAGGCCACGTGCCGCGTCACGGCCACCAGGCCACTGCTGCAGGGAGTTGGGTTCTGGACGCTGGGGTGCACTAAAATGTAGGACCCCCGCAGCAGAGGCCTCCTGGGGCACCCTGCCCACCTCCCAGGGTGAAGGGCTCCAGCCTCACTTGTTTCAGAGTGAAAGTAAGCAGGGTGCGGGAAGCCATCCCAAAACTCTTCTTTCCTTGTTTTTGAGGCAAGGTCTTGCTCTGTCAGCCAGGCTGGAGTGCAGTGGTGCCATCTCCGCTCACTGCAGCCTCGACCTCTTGGGTTCAAGAGATCCTCCTGCCTCAGACTCCCGAGTAGCTGGGACCACAGGCGTGCACCACTGCATCCGGCTAACTTTTGTATTTTTAGTAGAGACGGGGTTCGCCATGTTGGCCAGGCTGGTCTTGAACTCCTGGGCTCAAGCGATCTGCCCGCCTCAGCCTCCCAGAGCGCTGGGATTACAGGAGTGAGCCACCATGCCCAGCCCCCAAACTCTTCTTTCAAGGTCAAATTTTAAGGTCATGACATAGCTGATGGGCTTTTATTGGGAAGATCTTTGAGTTCCTAGTTACTTATTTGTTAAGGATTGCTTTACTTTCTCTGCCCATGGGCTTCGTGACAGTAGGAACCACCAATGGGCCACTCCCTGCCCGGGGACAGAGCCCAGCCTGATGGACTGATCGACTCTGAAGGCCCCGGGGTGATTCCGCCCCTCTCCAGCCGGCCACACAGGTGCTGACCTCAAGGCGCTGGGCTGCCGTTGCCCGACTCCTCCCACGCAAAGGGTCCCCAAGGGGCTGCACTGGAGTCTGCTCTGGGAGCAGCAGCATCTATGACTCTGCCGGTGAGGCCCCCAGGGTGGCCCATGCCCACGCCCATACCCAGGAGCTGTGCCTGGAGGCCTTGTGTCTGGAGAGGCTGTGAGTGGCCCGGCTGCTAACTCCCTCAGAGGAGCTGTGATTCCCTGCCGATCATCACTGGTCATTTTGGTCACTTTTAACATGTTAAGTGTAGTAAATTCGCATTCCAGAAAACCTGCTATAAAATGGTAATGATGACAAACGTAGCCAAAGCCTCTGCCCACAGTCTGAGCTGCCCACAGAGAACCCACAGTCCGAGCTGCCCACAGAACCCACAGTCCGAGCTGCCCACAGAGAACGCTGCAGGGGACGAAGCCGGGTGTGCCCCAGAGGCCGTCCCTATAGCCCAGTGAACCGGGCAGCAGCGGCTCCGCTCCCGGCCAGAGGCCACTTGCAGAGGTCGCCCCAAGGCAGGTGCATTTCTGAGTTAATGGCAGAGGCCACCATAGAGGTAAAAGGGGGGTGTGGCACATTACCCCCACCTGCACTTACCTCAAAGGTGTTCCCGGTCACGTCGAACTCGGGGGGAACGAAGGCACCCTCAGGGTCGTCTTGGGGAGGAGAGAGAGAAGGAGAGAAGGCTTCTGGTCACACCTGCAAACCTGAACCCGCCAGCTGAGAAGGGCCTGGAGAGGGAGCGGCCCCAGGTTCCCTCCCCGCAGACCTGGTGTCCCCAGACCATTTTAGGCCATGAAAAAGGGAAATCAGCTCCTTAACGGTTATGATGGGAAATGGGTTCCAAAGTGGAAGAGGGAAGGGTTCTACCACTTTCCCAAGAAGGAAGCTGAAGACATTCACCAGGGAAAATCAGCTCCCGGGCAGGGGCCACGCAGTGGGAGCAGCTGACCCACGGAGGCAGGGGCGTCCCACCCTCCCGGGCCTGCGTCCACTCACAGCAGGGCAGGCGGGACTGGCTCAGGGGAGACAGAAGAGGGGCATAGCCTGCCCTTAGGGGAAGTCCTGAGCGGAGGGGGCTCAGGGCGGGCCGAGTGTCCCTCTGGTGTCTGAGGGTAGGCGTGACTGCCGTGGCACAGCAGGCACCCCCACGGACCCTCGGCCACTCTCCAGCCTGAGTCCCTCCCAAGGAAGAGAAGGTCTCCACAGGAAACCCGGGTCCGGGCATGCTCCCAGCATCTGCTCCGGCAGAGCCAGTGCTCACATCCCCCCTGAAAGGCACCTCCACCCCGCGTGCCCGCCGCCGCCGCCACCGCCACCGCCGCCTCACCGCTGAGCTGCTCCATGAAACACACGTTCCCGCTGGTGTTGAAGGCCAGGGTGTCGGGCGTGATGCACAGGCTCTGGAAGATGGCGGCGTGGGCCACGCTCCGCATGGACAGGCTGCACTCCAGGCACACGGCCCAGGCTTCCTGCTCGCTGAGGCCGCGGTCCCGCAGGGAGAGGATGTCAGCCAGAGACACGTTCTCCTGCCAAGACCGGCCCTGGCCGTGAGCCCGGCAGGACCCCCAGCCAGGCCCCGGCACCCCCACCGAGACGATTCCCTGGGGAAACGGACGACTCGTGGCAGCGTTTCAACGCGTGGGTCAGGGAAAGGGCTTTAGACCACGTCTCATTTTGTTTCAAGAGTCGTCCTGCTGTTCCCTGGACGTCAGAGCCACGGAACATTTGGTGGCACCGTCGGCGTGCTGCCCAGAGCAGGTGTCGGCTCCTGGAGCCTGGGCACGGGGCCTTCCTCCCGGAGGCTCGGCCAGAGCTGCTGGGTCACCTGCTCCGTGGAGCACCCCGACCCCGCAGGCTCACGGCTGGACTGGCCTGTGGAGGCTGCCAACAGATGAGCGAGGCGACGGAGTGGACATCCCCAACTGTGGACTCGTGCAGAGCTAACGGGGCGTGATCCTGACACTCACATGACTTACAACCACACGCGCTGCCAACATTTGTTCCAGGCAATTCACACGGAGGACACAGTCACGGCGGTTCCCTCCATGTGGCTCGGCCGCCCCCATGTGGGCTCACCTCCAAATCCGAGTGGGCTCCTGGACTCCGCGAGGGCTCAGCTGTGATCACGATGGTTGCCACCAACACCCACACCCCCCCCATGCACATGCACAAACATACCCACCTAGCACACGTGCTCACCCTCACACAGACACACGCATCCCCATACATGCATCCCACATGGACACACGCCAACACAGGGCACGCTCACACAGTAACACTCGGACGCTGGTGCAAGGTGTGTGCACACTCACAGTTCCATCCGCTTCACACACACACACTCATGCAATGAGAACAGACATCCTCATACACACACACACCTCACACTCACACACATACTACATGCCACCGCACACATGCCTAACACTGACCATATGCACGCACAGACATGCACACCCGCACACACCCATTCCCACACTTGGTGCACACACCCTCACAGGAACACACAAGGCTGCACAATCCACACTCGCACGCACCCGAGTATGGAGCTGAAGGCCCTCTTGGGTGTGCTGCTCCCCGGCCGGGGCACCCCATGTGCAGGTAGGAGGGGGTGGCCGGGGGCTGCAGCCTGGACACTATGGGTGGGGCCCGTGAGGAGGAGGCAGAGGCCCCTTCTCCCCCATCGCTGGCCCCCCCTCCCCCAGTGCACAGGGCGGCTCTGGCTGTACTGGAGCCACTGGGCTGATGTCCTGAGAGGCACCTCCTGCCTCCGGTCCCCCTACCCTGCCCCAGCGGCTGGCACTGCAAGAGGCCCCCCAGGCACAGGAAAGGGATGAAGGGCTCAAACCAAAGCAGGAGGCCAACAAACGACGGGATCAGGGCATGGGCGCCCGGTGGGGCCTGGCCATGGGGCTGGCTCTGCGTCTGTTCGTGGGGTCCTGGCACATCCCGTCCATCTCCTTCTTGCGGTCCAGGGAGGGGCTTGATGACATCATTTCCCAGGCCCTTCCAGCTCTTTCTATGGCGGGAATCTCCCTGCCCCATTCCTGTGGCCCGTGATCGATCAAAGGTGTTTGATTTGGGCTCAAGCCTGCCGCCCTCTTAGCACCGCCCAGGACTCCTCAGGACTCCAGAGAGCCCGAAGCTCCCAGCGACGCCTGTGAGGCTGGTTAAAGAGGTACCTGGGCACTGCGTACACACAAACACATGCACACACCCATGCACCTGCACACGCAGGCGCACACATATGTACACACTCCCGTGCACTGGCACACACATGCACACAGCGCAACATGCCCACGCACACGTGCCTGCAAACACGGGCACAGACGTGCACCAAGCGGTAAGTCAGTCTGAGGACCCCGTAGGTTGTGCTGCTTAGGAGGAAGGGAGTCAGCATGAGGCGCGTCTCAGCCGGTCCCCGTCCCCCTGCGGGGCCCTGGGGTGCCTCTGGCTGTCACTCACAGGTCAGGCGCCTGCCGCCAGCCCACAGAATGGTGTCGAGACACGTGGACCCGGGAAGGGAGCCCAGGTCAGCCGTGCCAGCAGGGCCACCACTCGCACACAGCACGCCCTCCTGCTCAGACCTGGAGGGGAGATGCCTGGTGATGGGCAGCCCCCTCCTCCCCTCAGGGAAGCCGGACACCTGGAGCCCCAGCACCCATGAGAGGTGGGCGTGTCTGAATTCCGTCGGAGATTCTCTGGATGACTTTAGCGGTGAATTCCATGGGGTCTGTGGCTGAAGCCTCCCCTCAGGGATAGGATGGTCTCAGCCTCTCTGGGGCTTTCCAGAGGGTGGGCTTCCGCTCACACAGGGTCCTGAGCCCGGCCACCCAGGGGGTCTTGTCATGTGCTGAGGGCTCCCAGGCCTGAACTCTGGGCCCCGGGTCACCTGCCCTCTGGGACCTGCAGCCTCCACCCTGCTCTGGCACAGGTGAGAGGAATTAGCCCTCCTTGCCCGAATCCACACTGGCTGGGTGAGCAAGGGGGGGTCAGACAGGCCTAAGAGGCCAGGACAGGACGAGAGGACTGGGAGAGACACAGGCAGCACTCAGCAGCCTGGGGATCCCACGTCCTTGGGCTCCCCCCGCCACATCCCAGCAGACAACCCCACGACCACCCTCAAGGTCGGGAGCTATCTGGGCGTCCTGTAGTCCTGAGCTGTGGGCGTCCTGTAGTCACCTCCAGAAGGGGCCCTTGGAGACCCCGGGGCTCTCAGCCTTGCTACCAGGTAGGTTCAAGTCCACAGCTGGGCCAGGAAGCTTCGTGCTCAAGTAAAATACGCCCAGCCGGGCTGCGGGGCTGCCGAGGTGGCCTCGACAGGAGTTTAATGGGCTGTGGCAGACACTTGGGAAGGAGGTGACGTGCTGTGAATAGCAACGCCGGCCTCAGCTGGCCGACGCCTGTCTGTCTGCCCAGCGCCGCCTCCTGCGCACCTGTCTGCCCAGCACCCACGAGGGCCCCACGGCAGGCTGGGGCCTCGTGACTTTCCACACTTCAGCCTCTCCTGCCCCTGCCAATACAGTCTGACCTTGTTGTGGCTGGCCAGCTTTCAGTGACTCCGTCTGCCGGCACAGACCCAGCCTCTTGAGCAGGCCCAGAGGGTTCTTCATGACCTAGTCCAGCCCACCGACCACCCACCCTGCCCCTTACCATCCCTAGCAGGGCGTGCCTGGGTGAGCCATGGGGTAGGTCTGAGAGCAGGGACCACCTAAGACCTGTTCCTTGCAGGACAGGAAAGACTGGTCCCCACTTTGCAATTGTGTGGCCACGAACTCCACCCCCAACCCAGGTGGGAGGAGGGATTCGGGAAGGCAGGTGGACATGAACTCCACCCCCATCCCAGGTGGGAGGAGGGATTTGGGAAGGCAGGTGGACATGAACTCCACCCCCATCCCACGTGGGAGGAGGGATTTGGGAAGGCAGGTGGCCACGAACTCCACCCCCATCCCAGGTGGGAGGAGGGATTTGGGAAGGCAGGTGGCCACGAACTCCACCCCCATCCCAGGTGGGAGGAGGGATTTGGGAAGGCAGGTGGACATGAACCCCCGGGACTGGGCTGCTCTCCAGGGCAGCAGCACATCAGCCAGTCCCTGGGTCTCAGAGGGCAGGGCACGCTTCCCACCGAGGACCCTTATCTCATGGCAGGTCCCCATTAGGGGCCCTGTGCATTCAGAAAGCTCCCACACCCCCCGCCACACTGCCAGGCAGACTTCGAGCCAGGGTTACACAGGGACGCCTAGATCGTGTGGCGCATTTGAAATACACTGTCTTATGACCAACTGATTTTTTTCAGCCGTGGGATTCTAACAGGACTAATACAAAACTCCAATCACAGCTGGGAGCACTGGCTGCCAATCCCCAGGCCTCCTGACAGCTCTCTTCACACTGCCAGGCCCCCACCACAAAACCACCTCTGCTCCCGAGGTGCCTTCTGCTCTGAGCTCATCCTGGCACAGATGTCATATGGACCCTGCAGCGGGGACGTCCTCTTCTTTACTGGGAGCCCCCAGCTGTGTGCCCCTCCAGGGAGCAACTGCATCCTGTCCAGCCTCAGATTCTGAGCCCAGCCTGACACCGGCACACAGGAGGTTCTGGGAGGCAGTTGCTGAACTCTGGGAGGGATGATAGTGCTGCCTGCCTCTCAGGGACCCGGGACACGTCCTGCTCTGGCACCCAAACCGGTGCACCCTCTTCGTCTCATCTGAATTCCCATGGGGCAGCCAGCATTGCCCATCCATCGACTCCAGCCGCCTGGACTGTGTGCCTCTTCTGCAGCCGCTGTTCTGCCTGGATTGCACTGTTCTGCCTCAGATCCCATACCCCCATCCACAGTGACTGAAATCTCATGGGAATCCCGGGCAGGACACCTCCAGGAAGCCCTCCTTGCATCACCCCCACAGAACATCTCCCTGTCTATCGTGTACTGGTGGTTCTTTGCCTGTACTGGGATCCAACCTGGTCACTTCCTCCAGGACCTGCTGGCCCACTTGCTGATGCTCTGGTAGGTTCCAGCTGAGAGTGTTCTCACACACGCACGGCCACGTGTCTCTGGGGCCCACACCATAGTGAAGTTGCTGGGACACAGGGCACTGGTGCCTTCTACTTCACCAGCGAATGCTGGGCTGTTTTCCAAAGAGGCTGCTCCATTTGTCCTCCCACTGGCGCGAGGGAGAGCTGCTGCGCCGTCCTTGCCAGCACAAGCCGCTGTCCGCTCTTCAGTTCTTGCCAGCCTGGCGGTCTTGGGAAGGCATTCGTGGGGGTGTATTTTGCATTTTCCTGATTGCAATGAGCAAACATCTTTTCACATGTTCAGCAGCCATTTGGATTTTCTTTGGGACCATGTCAAGGGAGGGACATTCCAGGGGCTCCGGTGGGTGTCCATAGGGGTCTATTTCTTGACCCCATCATGGAGCCAGCCATTATAATTAGCTGTAGAATGAGTGAGTTCCTACATCTTATGAAGCCTGCATATGTCCTGGGCCTGGCGCCACCGTGCTTTCCCGGCAGCTGCCCTGCACCCTTGGCCTTCCGGCATTCTGGGATGATGATGCAACCTCACCGTGCCCTCACCTCACCCAGGACGGTTTTCCCATGCAAGTCAGGTGCCCCGATGGAGATTTCAGAACCTTCCAAGCCAAACACGTGTGGGAAGCAGAGTCTGAACGCCAGGGGAATTCTGAGACATGGGGTGTGTTGGGCTCAGTACTGGGCACAGGGTTGGGCCAGGGACCACCCGATGCTTTCCAGGAGTGTCTGCGAAGGGCCCACCTGAACGTTCCCACTGCACGCTGCAAACTCGGTGGGATGACAGTTCACCTGGAGGCCTTGGTGGACGTCACAGGATGGAGCCACCCACCCCAGTACTGTGCCGGCCGGGAGCTGTCCGGCCGGCCCGAGGACACTGGTGTGTGCGTGGGGGTGGGGAGCGGGAGTGGGGAGTGTGCAGAAAGACAGCCTGTGGCTCCAAGTGGGCTCGCGCCTGGCGCGGCGTGTTGTGTGCGTGGCACCGGCTGCTGCCTCCGTGTGCGGAGCGGGGAGGCCCTCAAGGCTCAGGCCTCTGATGCACGAAGGAGCTGTGGGAAGAGCTGCGTCCTCAGGGCCGCCTCCTAACAGATACCCTGGGATGTGTCCTGGGGCGTTTCTGAAGGCTGCGGGCTGCCCCTCCCTCTCGGTCAGAGCCGAGGTGATCTTGGAAGCTTTATTGCCTCCCCTGGCTGCTCCTCTCTGCAGCCTTCAACTGCACCGAATCCAGGCCATGGTGGGGGCGGGGGCATCGCCAACCCCCGCACAGCCTCAGCTGTTTCTAGGTGGCTGGGCCGAGGGCCTCCTGGGGCTGAACCTTCCCAGAAGGACGGTGCTTCCACAGCAGAAACTCCCGGTCCCTTCAGAGCCCACTCCCCTGGGGCAGCAGGTGGGGACTGCGAGGGGGTCAGGCCCGCGGCTGCTGCAGCCGGGATTCCCTGCTCCAGGCTTACTTGGCCGGCTTTAAAGAGAGGGCGCCACAACATCCCACTAATGGCTGCAGGTGACGACGCTGTCACCCGGAGACGCAGGCGCCCAGCGTCTGGGCTCTTGCCTGTTGGAGGTTTGGCAGATCTCGGATCCCTGGAGGGTGAGGGTCCCTCTGGGAGCTGCTGTATCCCCTGGGGGCCACCTCTCATGCTTCCGGGCCTGGCTTGTCCACTCCATCCCAGCCAAGCCAGAGCTGAGCTACAGGGTCAGACCCAGCCAAGGTGGCGTCTGGGCAGCCGGTGCTGTAGGGTGGGCGGTCCATGAGCAGAAGCGCCAGGGTATGCAGATGGCAGGCAGAGCCCCTCTGCACCTTGCGGGGTAGGGGGGTCTTGGGTGAAGGCCCGGAAAACCAGAGAGCAGGAAGCAGCTCTCAGTCTCGGGGGGCAGTCATCCAGCGCTCCCCCCACCCCCCGCTCCTGAACCTCAGCTCCGGGGACCTCATCCCCCAGCTCCTGAGCGGCGCCTGATTGGACTCTGCTGCTCTGCACCCCGCTGGCCTCCTGGGGCCCGGCAGGGAGTAAGCAGACCCCCCTCCGTCCTCCTTGCTGCCCCCACACTGTCCCGCCAGGGTTTCCACCAGGAGCTACCGCGCACCAACTTCTGCAGGGGCTGCCCACCCGCCGCCGTCCCGTGCGCATTCGGGGGTGCTGTCCCCTCCGGGTGAAAATCCTAACGCGGGGGCTGAGAACGGCGGTGGGAACCCCTCGGCCATGGAGGGCGCCTGGGGAGGCGGGAGCTCACAGCCCCTCCCGGGTCCTCCCCCCGGGCGCTCTCCGCGGACCCCTCGGCGGCGGAAGGGGCCCCCCAGTGGGGCCGGGGGCTCACCTCGTCCTCGGGGAGGGTGGGCAGCGGCTCGAAGTCGTAGAAGTCCAGGTCTTTGCCGTCCTCCTCGTAAAGATCCGCCGCGGCCGGGTCCATGGCCTGCATCCTGCGGCCGCGCCGCGCACCGCCCCCGGGGCCTCCGGCTGGGCTGGGCTGGGCTCGGCTACGCGCGCCCTGGCTCCATGGAGACGCGCCCGGCCCTCGCCCGCCCCCGCCCGCCCGCCGCTGCCGCAGTGTCTCCAGGGGACGCGGTCAGGGATACGGGGCGGGCCCGGGGGGCGCGGGGGGCGCGGGGTGCGCGGGGGCTGCGCGGCGCTGTCCGGACCCGGCGCCTAGGGAACGTCGCTCCTTCCTGGGGGAGGCACCGGGGGCGGAGCCAGGCGTGTGGCCTCCGCGGGGAGCCACGGGGTCTGCGCCCCACCTGGGCCCCAAGGGTCGAGGGGCGGAGCCGGCGCCCAGGAAAGCTCGGACGGGCAGACCCCCTCGCCGGCTCCCGCCGCCCCCGTCCCACCCCCGCTGCTGCCGGGCGGGGCTGCCGCAGTCCCGGGGTGGCCTCTGCAGCGGCGTTGGGCAGGGCCGGGCGGGGCCCGGGGTGGGGGGCGGGGCCCGGGGTGGGGGGCGGGGCGGTCGCTGGGCCGGGGTCTCTCCTGAGCGAGGGTCTTTCGGAGGCCCGGGGATGTTGGGGGTGGGGCAATAACGCTGCCTCATCCCCACCTGGAGGCATCGGAGAGACCCACTGGGCACCCGACCCTCCCCGGTCCTGGGGGACCCTGGGGGGTCCTGGGGCTCTTGACCTCTTCCTGCCCCAAAGGCCCCCCGGGGCTTTCTTCAGCGCCAGGGTGACCCCGGCCCACGGTAGTGCCGCGGTCAGAAGAGCCAGGATAGCCCCAAGCTCGGCCAAGAGGCAGGGAGGGTGGAGGAGAATCTCACCTTCCCCGGCCACCCCCAGAACTCCCACAGGAGAGAGGGCGGCTTCAGGGCCCGGCTGTCAGCTCCCCGTCCGTGTGGCTGGCCAGGCACACAGTAGGTACTTAATCCATGCTCCTGGCTTGAAGGAGCAGCAGGGCTTTTGACCGCAGAGTGGGAGGGTGCAGTGTGTTCAGGGACGTGAATTCCCAGCACTCTGTCCCCTGGTCGGTCACCCGGGCTGTCACTCTGGCCTGGCAGGGAGTTCAGGGGCTCAGCTCCCCGGGAGCCAGGTGGGCACTGAAGCCGGAGGCTGGGAGTGGGGCAGGTGCTGGGCAGACTCCCTGCGTCCAGCCAGGCAGCCCCACCTTATTGAAAATGCCCACCCTGGGGCCCACCCTGGTCCACCGAGTCAGCAGTCAGGTGCAGCCTCCCCCATCCTTGGGTGTTTGGAAGCTTGGGCAGCAAGCCAAGGTGGAGTGGGCTGGAGCTGGAGAGGAGGAGTCTCACAGAGGGTGGCCTCAGCCAGCTGTCCCTGAGCTCTCTCTCTGTGGGCCCCACAGGGCCTGCAGCGCCCCAGTCCCTGTCTTGGAAGGAGGCGGAAGTGGCAGGCAGACTCTGCTCCAGGAGCCTGATCCCGCTGCACCCTGGTGCTCAGACCTGGACATTGGAGCTGAGCCCCTGGGCTCCTGGGCCCTCTGCTGCAGGGCTGGGGCCGCCTCCTTTGTCAGGTCTGGATGTGCCCCTGACGCCTCTCAGCTGCCACCCAGACTTGTGCCTCCGGGGGAACGCCGGGCTGACGTGACCCCAAAGGGAAGGCACCAGGGACCCCACAAGCACAGGACTTTGTCACCGAGTGCCCAGGTCACCTCACGGGCTTGGGGTGAGGATATAGACACTGAATAGGGGGCAAAGGTAACCCCATAATTTGGGGGGCAGCCATAGGGCAAGCACTCCTGGAAAGACGTGCATGCGGTTGGTAAAATGCAGAACTCACAGGCTCCTGGAGTCGGCCGTGTCAGCTTCGGCTGTTGCGGCCTAAAACCCCTCAGCAGGCATTTCCCACACCTGGGTCACTCAGCGCTGCTGCTGCTCAGGGCTGGGCACGTGGGGAGGGGCCTCGGGCAGGGGCCGCAGGCTCTTTCTTTTACGCACCTGCTGCTTTCCTTTAAAGATTTGTGGGCTTTGGTCTCTGTTGTTCTGGGGAGTGGTGGGAACTTCCAGACGTTTTGCGAGTTGTCCCGGGCGCCCGCACACTCGCCTGCAGTGATAAAGCTTTGACCCAAGTGGAGGGTGCGATGTCGGTCCTGTGTCCTGGCACCTCAGTTATGCTGGACGAGGGCGCAGTTCCTCCAGGGTCTGGATTCATCGCCCCACGTCTTCTAGAGCTGGTGAGCAGCTTCTGGGTGCCACGCGGAAACGGCCAAGAGCCCTCCGTGAGCCACAAGGAACGGCCTCCTCATCAAGCCCTCCTGCCTCTCGGTGCCAGCCCTGTGTGCCCAGCATGTGCTGGCACAGCTTCCTCCCGAGGATGCTTGTGGTGGTGTCGGAATTCTGAGGGGCTTCCCAGCTGCACGATCAGGTCCGTGGTCCAGGGCCATGACTTGGTGGCACTTTCGTCCTCTTCCAACTCTTCCATGGCCTCTACCCATCCTCTGCCCCACCCCACTGCCCTTTCCCACCAGACGTTCCCCTCTGCTAGAGGCAACAGCCTGAACTGTGGCTCCTGGCTGGAGTGAGGAACCTGGTTCCTCCCTCCCTGCCCAGGCCCTGCCCACCCTCCCTCCTCCATGAGGGGCCCAGGGTAGGACTCCCAGATGCTTCTCCTGAGACCTTGCTCCGAGGGGGTTACCGGGCCCTTGTCACACCCGGACGCTGTCAGGATCGGCCTTGTCCTTCTCACTCGGTCTCCCACAGTCGGCGCTCAGCTGGACTGGGCTGCGTGCTGAGGCGGGTGGAGCAGGGGTCTTCAGGGCCTTGGCTCTCGTTTTCCCTAAAACAATTTTGAAAAGCTGCCAAATCACTCACACATGTTGACGTCAACATCCAGGTTTCTTAAAAAATCCAGACATGTAAATGATGGCAAATAATGTCATTTCTGGTGTGATGTAAATACTCACATTTTGAAGTAAAATTGTTAGTCACTCCTGTAAATGTATCTAGGAAGCTAAATGCCAAAATGGTTTTGATACCTACTGTCAGTCGTTTAAAGAATTCGTAAACACATTCTTCTCTAACAGTCCGAGATCTTCGTGCTGACATTTTTCCTCAGACGCATCATAGCCATCTGGTTTTTGCCCAGATTGTATCTGACGATGAATTATTTTTATGCCCGAGTTTCTGTTGGCTCCTCATCACACTTTGCAACAAATACACATGTAAATTTTAATAAATCAGATATTTAGTAAAGAAAAAAAGGAAATGTGGAAGTAAATGGCGGTGCTCCTGTTAGAGATTGGGAGCCGGCACGCGGGAACCGTGGACCACGACTGGCTTCTGCGGGGAGCTGCCCTGTGGCTCTGGCGGAAACACGGTCTCCTCACTTTGTCTCTGGGCGCTGGGCTGGCCCTGTCCTGCCAGGCTCACCCCACGGGGGAACCAATGCGGCTGGGAGCAGACGGAACCCCCGTCCCTCTGTGCGTGTGTGTATTTGTGTGTATATGTGTGCGTATGTGTGGGTATTTCTGTGTCTGTATGTGTATGTGTATTTGTGTGGATGTGTGTGTATATTTGTGTGTGTATGTGTGTATGTGTATTTGTGTGTGTATTTGTGTATGTGTGTGTATTTCTGTGTCTGTGTGTATGTGTATGTGTATTTGTGTGTATGTGTGTGTATTTGTGTGTATGTGTGTGTATTTGTGTATTTGTGTGTATTTGTGTATGTGTGTGTATTTGTGTGTGTATTCGTGTGTGTGTATTTGTGTATGTGTGTGTATTTGTGTCTATGTGTGTGTATTTGTGTGTGTGTTTATTTGTGTGTGTGTATGTGTGTGTGTATTTGTGTGTGTGTGCGTGCATTTTTCCTCAGTGTCTCTGAGATTCAACCATGTTGTTATGGGTAGTAGTAATTTATTGATTATTGTTACTGAATTGTATTAAATTACATCAATACCCCACAGTGGAGGTTCTCTTTCCAACGACGTCAATACCCCACAGTGGAGATTCTCTTTCCAACGACGTCAATACGCCACAGTGGAGGTTCTCTTTCCAATGACGTCAATACCCCACAGTGGAGGTTCTCTTTCCAATGACGTCAATACCCCACAGTGGAGGTTCTCTTTCCAACGACATCAATACCCCACAGTTGAGGTTCTCTTTCCAATTACGTCAATACCCCACAGTGGAGGTTCTCTTTCCAACGACATCAATACCCCACAGTTGAGGTTCTCTTTCCAACGACGTCAATACCCCACAGTTGAGGTTCTCTTTCCAACGACGTCAATACCCCACAGTTGAGGTTCTCTTTCCAATGATGGCAATACTCCACAGTTGAGGTTCTCTTTCCAATGACATCAATACTCCACAGTTGAGGCTCTCTTTCCAATGACGTCAATACCCCACAATTGAGGTTCTCTTTCCAACGACGTCAATACCCCACAGTGGAGGTTCTCTTTCCAACGACGTCAATACCCCACAGTGGAGGTTCTCTTTCCAACGACGTCAATACCCCACAGTGGAGGTTCTCTTTCCAACGACGTCAATACCCCACAGTGGAGGTTCTCTTTCCAACGACGTCAATACCCCACAGTGGAGGTTCTCTTTCCAACGACGTCAATACCCCACAGTGGAGGTTCTCTTTCCAACGACGTCAATACCCCACAGTGGAGGTTCTCTTTCCAACGACGTCAATACCCCACAGTGGAGGTTCTCTTTCCAACGACGTCAATACCCCACAGTGGAGGTTCTCTTTCCAACGACGTCAATACCCCACAGTGGAGGTTCTCTTTCCAACGACGTCAATACCCCACAGTGGAGGTTCTCTTTCCAACGACGTCAATACCCCACAGTTGAGGTTCTCTTTCAAATGACGTCAATACCCCACAGTTGAGGTTCTCTTTCCAATGACGTCAATACTCCACAGTTGAGGCTCTCTTTCCAATGACGTCAATACCCCACAGTTGAGGTTCTCTTTCCAACGACGTCAATACCCCACAGTGGAGGTTCTCTTTCTGCGCTGGTGGGCACTCAGGTGGCTTCTACAATTTGCAGCCTTAGGAACGAAGCTACGGGGGCATCTTTTCTTCAGGTGCCTGTGTTTCTGTTTGGCCTATCTTTAGAGTGGAGTTGCCGGGTCTTAGGTTATGCATGTATGAAGTTCCTGTTTTCCCCGCACTGGCGATGGCCGGGCACGGGGGCGGGTGTTGGGAAGGTGCCCTTCACCCTCCGTTTTGCCAGCCTGGCTTCTGCTGGGTCGAATGTGCCCGGGTGTGAGTCTGTTTCTAGACTCTATCCTTTCCCATCGGTCTGTCAGTTCTGCAACAGCCACAGAAGTCTCCACACAGAACCCACCCTTGCCTCTTCCCCCACCTCCTTCTTCTTCAAGAAAGTCCTGGCTGCCCGCGGTCCTCTGCATTTTCAGACCCACCTGGAAGCAGCGTGTCATGTGCCCCGCAGCATGGCTGGGGTTGCGCTCACCCTGCACAGCTTCCTCACCCGTGAACATGCATCTCCTTCCACATGTTCCGATTACCATCCTGTTCTCCCAACGATATTTTGTAGTTTTCTGTGAAAAGGCCTTATGCATCTTTTATTATGTTTAGCATGAATATCTGATATTTTGTGGTGCTACTGTAGATTCTGTCTTTGCAAAGCACTTATTTTCTGTTTAGTGCTGGCCTATAAAGTTGGTTTTTGTATAATGACCTTGTATCTGGCAACTTTGCTAAACCTGCTTATTAATTCTGATCTTCGTGTTGCTTTGGATTTTCTATGTAAGCAACCATATCATCTGAGAATAATGTCAGACTGACTTCTTCATTACTAATCCTTCTCATGTTTCTTTCTTCCTCCTCCTCACTGTCCCTGCCAGGGCCTCCTGAACAACAGGGAATAGCAGGGGTGGCGATCGTCCACTCTGCTGAGTTCCCAGTGGGAGAGAAGGCCAGCTTTCCATTTCACCATTAAGTGTAATTTTGCTTCAGGTTTTTGTAACTCCCTTTAGCAGACTAATTAAGTCTCCTTCTTTTGCTGATTTGCCAAGTGTTCTATTAAATCACAAACAGGCGCTGAATTTTATCAAGTGTGTTTTCTGCATCCACTAAGATGATTATGTGACTTTCTCTCATATTCTGAGGATGTGTTAGATTACACGGATAAATGGTTGATGTTGAACTAATTTTGCACTCCTTCCATCTGGTTGTGATATAGGGTCTTTACTCAGTATGCTGGATTTGGTGGACTAATATTTTGTGTAAGAACTTTTGCATTTATTTTCATCGGCCAGTGATGTGTCTTTCTTATAATGTCCCCGTTAGCTGTAAGTATCAAGGTTATGCTTCTTCCTGAAATAATTGGGATGTGTTCTTCTTTTTCTATTCTCTGAAAGAGTTTGAGTTCTAGTAAAACTACTGTTATTTTTTTTCCTTAAATGTCTGGTGGAATTCTCTGGTGAGGCCATCACTGGATCTAAAGGCATTTGTTTTTAAATACGAAGGTTTCAAATTATGAATTCAATTATTTAATACTTATACAACTATTAAGATGCTTTCAGGCCAGGCACAGTGGCTCACACCTATAATCTCAGCATTTTGGGAGGCTGAGGCAGGAGGATCATTTGAGACTAGGGGTTCAAGACCAGCCTGGCCAACATAGGGAGACCCCATCTCTAAAAATAAAGCTTTCACATTTCCTAGGAATTTCTGTCTTTTCCAAGTTATTGGCATCAACTTGCGTGTATTATCTATCTGCTCTTTACCTTTTAATGTCTGTAGGGTCTGAAGGAATAGCCCCCCAACTCCTGACATTTGTTACTTGTGCCTTCTTTCTTTTTTCTGGATTGGATTTGCCAGGACTATATTGATTTTATGAACCCTTTTAAAGGATATATATTTTTTATTTTGTTAATTTCTGTTCTTATTTTTTCTTTCTTTCTTTTTTCTTTTTTTTTTTTTGCAGACTGAGTCTCGCTCTGTTGCCCAGGCTGGAGTACAGTGGCACAATCTAAGCTCACTGCAACCTCTGTCTCCCAGGTTCAAGTGAGTCTCCTGCCTCAGCCTCCTGTGTAGCTGGGACTACAGGTGCACGCCACCACGCCTGGTTAATTTTTTTGTATTTTTAGTAGAGACAGGGTTTTACTGTGTTGCCCAGGCTGGTTTTGAACTCCTGAGCTCAGGCTATCTGCCTGCCTCGGCCTCCCAAAGTGCTAGGATTACAGATGTGAGCCACCGCGCCTGGCCACTGTTCTTATCTTTATGATTTCATTCCTCTAGTTTTGGTTAGTTTGTTATTATTTTTCTAAATTCTTGAGATGATTGTATAACTCACTGATTTTCACCCTTTTCTTATCTTTTCTTTCCTTTTTTTTTGAGACAAAGACTCACTCACTGTGTCACTTAGGCTGGAGTGCAGTGGCGTATCTTGGCTCACTGCAGCCTCTGCCTCCTGAGTTCAAGTGATCCTTCCACCTCAGCCTCTCGAGTAGCTAGGGTTACAGGCATGTGCCACCATGCCTGGCTAATTTTTGTATTTTTAGTAGAAACCAGGTTTTGCCATATTGCCCAGGCTGGTCTTGAACTCCTGACCCCAGGTGATCCGCCTGCCTCAGCCTCCCAAAGTGCTGAGATGACAGGTGTGAGCCACCGCGCCTGGCCTAAATCTACCATTTGTTAAGTGTTTTCTGTTTTCCCCTTGTTCTCTGCTCCCTTTTCTTTCTGACTTATTTTGTATTGGTTATTAATGTATTGTTTCATTTCTATTCTATATTAGTTGGAAGTTTGTAGACCTGCTGGAATCCATGGCTTGTGTTTTTAAGCAGTTTGGGAAAGTTTTCACCATTCTGTCATTAGATGCTGTTGCAGTGTTCCCTCCTGTTCTCTCTCTCTTGGACCCCGGCTCATCCCGGCATTCGTGGACTCCAGGGACGCACGTGTGCTAGATCCATCCAGCTCATTCCGGCATTCGTGGACTCCAGGGACACACGTGTGATAAATCTGCCCAGCTTGTCCCAGCATTGGTGGACTCCAGGCACACACATGTGATGGATCTGCACACACTACACTGTGTGTCTTTTGCCCTCTATTCTGTAGTTTATCTTTTAGTTTTATGCTCGATGTTTTCAGATGGTCCATCTTCCAGTTCACAAACTCTCTTTATGTCTAATCTACCATTAAACCCATTCATTGGATTCTTTCCATTATTTCTTTTTCAGGCCTTTTATTTATTTTAAAATTTTGATGGTTTCTGATTCTCTGCCAAAATTCTCAACCTTAGTTTCTATGTCTGTCAACTCTCAAACATCAAAAGGATCAGAATCCAGTTTAAAAGAGTATATTCAAGCACGAAGCTGAAAATAGCCATCCGGATAACACAGACTCCAAAGAAATGGGGTCAGTGCTCTGAAACTGAAAAGTTAAGGTCTCTGTTATATATGCAGAAAACAGAGAAATTTAAAAGGGTTACAGCATTTTTCATACAAGGCTGGCTTGTGAGTGATAGCAATTTGATTCGTTATACTCCGTTTGTTTTCTGTTTTCCATTTAAAAGAGCATATTTAGCATTCAGCCTTACACTGTGTGGTAGTCATGAGGTCTTGTGTCAGTCAGGGAAGAAAGGGGAGTTAATCTCTAATGAAGATCAGCAGGGAAGAGGGAGGGTCTTCCTGACGCCTTAACTTCTCTACATTTTACAAAACAATGTCGGTCAAGGAAAGGCTGATCTGCATTCAGGGAACAAAGGTTGCAGCTGCCTGTCCTCTGAGTCAGGTCCCGTCGTTGATTCCTTAAGGCTCAAAATTGTGCGAAGTTCCAGGGACTTTGGTTTTGAGTGACTGATTTCTGTGTGTTATTGAGCATGGTGGGCAAGCACAGGTCACCTTCACAAGCCTGTCTGAGAACTCCATGAGCTGCGGCCCCACGCGTCTCTCCTGTTGTCTGCTGTTTCTTACCTCCCTGAGCTGTGGCCCCACGCGTCTCCTGTTTCTTGCTGGCTTTTATGGGTGTGATCTTTTCTCTTTGAGTGCCTGATTATTTTAAATTGTGTGCTGGCTACTGTGTTTCGCAAAAGTATTCTTGGAAACTACTTGAGGCCTAGGGTTACTTTATCTTCCCCCAGAGAGAGTTTTAGTTTGCTCCTTTGGCACTATTTTTTTTTTTTAGATAGAGTCTTGCTCTGTTGCCCAGGCTGGAGTGCAGTGGTGCAATCTCAGCTCACTGCAACCTCTGCCTCCCAGGTTCAAGTGATTCTCCTGCTTCAGCCTCCCGGGTAGCTGGGATTACAGGTGTGTGCCACCACACCCAGCTAATGCCCCTTGCCCCCAGGAATTTGCCCCTCTTTTCTTTATTTGTGGTATTTTATGAAACACACTTGGTTTTATTGGGGTGTGTGGGATGGGGATCCATGACCCCAGGAAGATTCTGAGTGACGGGAGTGTCTTTTGTTATTCATGAGGAGCCCTGTGATAACTCCAGGGTTATGGCAATGAGGTGGACAAGTGGGGCCCCTGGGGAGGCCGCAGGATGGCGGTCCTCAGAGAGACCAGCAATGATAGGATCCAGGTGGGAACTTTCTGCTTCACCCACTGCCCTCCGGGAGAGGGATCTGGAGACCACACTCCAGACAACCCCAAGCAACAAGATCCGATGAGCTTCGGGGTTTGAGCCTGGGAGCTTCCAGGAGGGAGGCACGGCCGGAGAGGAGGCTCTGGGCCCTGAGGGCGCCTTGGCCGCCACCCTTCACTGGGCTGCATTGAACGTGGGAGGTGTTAGGTTTGGGGTAACATGTGAAGGTTTATTACACAGGTAGACACGTGCCATGGGGGTTGGTGGTACAGATTATTTCATCACCCAGGTACGGAGCCCCAGCGGTTACCTTTTCTGCTCCTCTCCCTCCTCTCACCCTCCCCACTCAAGGAGACCACAGTGTCAGTGATTCCCTTCTTTGTGTTCATAAGTTCTCATCATTTCGCTCCCACTTGTAAGTAAGAACGTGCGGTATTTGGTGTTTTGTTCCTGTGTTAGTTTGCTAAGAATAATAGCCCCCAGCTCCATCCATTTTCCCACAAAAGACACGATCTCCTTTTTCACGGCTGCATAGTATTCCATGGTACATATGTACCACATTTTCTTTATCCACTCTGCCATTGATGGGCATTTAGGTTGATTCCATGTCTTTGCTATTGTGAACAGTGCGGCGATGAACATTCACGTGCTTGTGTCTTCATGGTGGAATGATTTCTATTCCTCTGGATATATACCCAGTAATGGGATGGCTGGGTCAGATGATAGTTCTGCTTTTAGCTCTTTGAGGAATCTCCATCCTGCTTTCTGCAATGGTTGAACTAATTTACACTCCCACCAACAGTGTATAAGCCTTTCCTTTTCTCCCCAACTTCACCAGCATCTGTTATTTTCTGACGTTTTAATCACAGCCATTCTGACTAGTGTGAGATGGTATCTCACCGTGGTTTTTACTTGCGTTTCTCTAATGGTCAGTGGTATTGGGCTTTTTTTCATACACTTGTTGGCTGCATGTATGTCTTCTTTTGAGAAGTTTCTGTTCATGTCCTTTGTCTACTTTCTAATGGGGTTGATTGTTTTTCTCTCGTAAATTTGTTTAAGTTCTTGCAGATGCTGGACATTAGACCTTTGTCAGATGCAGGACATTAGACCTTTGTCAGATGCATAGTTTGCAAATATTGTCTCCCATTCTGTAGGTTGTCTGCTCACTCTGTTGATAGTCTCTTTTGCTGTGCAGAAGCTCTTCAGTTTAATTAGGTCCCACCTGTCAAGTTTTGCTTTTGTTGCGATTACTTTTGGTGTCTTTGTCATGAAATCTTTGCCCGTTCCTATGTCCAGGATGGTATTACCTAGGTTGTCTTCCAGGGTTTTTATAGTTTTGGGTTTTACATTTAGGTCTTTAATCCATCTTGAGTTGAATGTTTGTGTATGGTATAAGAAAGGGCTCCAGGTTCGGTCTTCTGCAAATGGCTAGCGGGCTATCCCAGCACCATTTATGGATGTGGAGTCTTTTTTCCGTTGTTTGTTTTTGTCAGCTTTGTTGAAGATCAGATGGTTGTAGGTGTGTGGTCTCATTTCTGAGATCTCTATTCTGTTCTGTTGGTCTATGTGCCTGTTTTTGTGCCAGTACCACGCTGTTTTGGTTACTGTAGATCTGCAGTATCATTTGAAGTTGGACAATGTGATGCTTCCAGCTTTGTTTTTTTTTTTTTTTTGCTTATGATTGCCTTGCCTATTTGGGCTCTTTTTTGGTTCCATATGAATTTTCAAATAGTTTTTTTTCTAGTTCTGTGAAGAATGTCATTGGTAGTTTGATACGAATAGCATTGAATCTAAGTTGCTCTGGGCAGTATGGACGTTTTGACAATATTGATTCTTCCTATCCACGAGCATGGGATGTTTTTCCATTTGTTTGTATCTTCTCTGATTTCTTTGAGCAGTGTTTTATAATTCTCATCGTAGAGCTCTTTCACCTCCCTGGTTAGCTCTACTCCTAGATGTTTTATTCTTTTTGTGGCAATTGTGAATGGGATTGCCTTTCTGATTTGGCTCTTGATTTGGCTGTTGTTGATGTATAGAAATGCTAGTGATTTTTGTACATTTATTTTGTATACTGCAACTTTGCTGAAGTTGTTTATCAGCTGGAGGAGCTTTGGGGCCAACTATGAGGTTTTCTAGATATAGAATCATGTTGTCTGCAAATGGAGATAGTTTGACTTCTTCTTTTCCTATTTGGGTATCCTGTATTTCTTTCTCTTGCCTGATTGCTTTGGCTAGGACTTCCAATACTATGTTGAATAGAAGTGGTGAGAGAGGGCATCCTTATCTTGTGCCGGTTTTCAAGGGGAACACTTCCAGCTTTTGCCCATTCAGCATGATGTTGGCAGTGGGTTTGTCATAGGACGGCTCTTAGAGGTATTGGATTTTATGGAAACCCTTTTCTGCATCTAGTGAGAAAATCATGTGGTTTTTGTCTTTCATCCTGTTTATGTGACAAATCACACTTATTGATTTGTGTATGTTGAACCAACCTTGCATCCCAGGGATGAAGTTTTCTTTTTTTGTTGTGTCTCTGCCAGGTTTTGGTGTCGAGATGATGCTGGCCTCATAGAATGAGCTGGGGAGGAATTCCTCCTCCTCAATTGTTTGGAATAGTTTCTGTAGGAATTGTACCAGCTCTTCTTTGCACATCTGGTAGAATTCAGCTGTGAATCCATCGGGTCCTGAAGTTTTTTTGGTTGGTAGGCCATTTATTACTGACTCGATTTTAGAGCTCATTATTTGTCTGTTCAGGGAATCAATTTCTTCTTGGTTCAGTCCTGGGAGGGTGTATGGGTGCAGGAATTTATTTATCTCTTCTAGCTTTTCTAGTTTGTGTGTGTAGAGGTGTTCATAGTAGTTTCTGATGGCTGCTTTGATTTCTGTGGGTCAGTGCTAACGTTCCCTTTATCATCTGTAATTAGCTTTATTTGGATCTTCTCTCTTTTTGTCTTTATTAATCTAGCTAGTGGCCTATATTATTATTTTTTAAAAAAACAACTCCTGGATTTATTGATCCTTTGAATGGTTTTATGTGTCTCAATTTCCTTCAGTTCAGCTCGATTTGTGTTGTTTCTCATCTAGCTTTGGGGTTGATTTGTTCTTGCTTCTCTAATTCTTTCAGTTGTGAATTTAGGTTGTTAATTGGAGATCTTTCTGACTTTTTAATATGGGCATTTAGTGCTATGAATTTCCCTCTTAACACTGCCTTAGCTGTGTCCCAGAGATTCTGGTGTGTTGTATCTTTGTTCTCCTTATTTTCAAATAACTTTTTGATTTCTGCCTTAATTTTACCCAAAAGTCATTCAGGGGCATGTTGTTTAATTTCCGTGTAATTGCATGGTTTTGAGTGATTTTCATAGTCTTGACTTTTATTTTTATTGTGCTGTGGTCTGAGAGTATGTTTGGTATGATTTTGGTTCTTTTATGTTTATTGAGAATTGGTTTATGTCCAATTATGTGATTTTAGAGCCTGTGCCATGTGGCAATGAGAGGAATGTATATTCTGTTGGTTTGGGTGGAGAGTTCTATAAATAGGTCTATTAGATCCATTTAGTCCAATCTTGAGTTTAGGTCCTGAATATCCTTGTTAATTTTCTGCCTCAATGACCTGTCTAATACTGCCAGTGGAGTGTTGAAGGCTCCCACTAGTATCGTGTGGGAGCCTATGTCTCCTCGTAGGTCTCAAAGAACTTGTTTTATAAATCTGGGAGCTCCTGTGTTGGGTGCATATATATTTAGGAGTTAGGTCTTCTTGTTAAATTGAACTTTCTACCATATAATGCCTTTTCTTGTCTTTTTTGATCTTTGTTGGTTTGAAATGTTTTGTCTGAAGTCAGGATTCCTACCCCTGCTTTTTTGCTTTCCATTTGCTTGGTAGATTTTCCTCCGTCCCTTTATTTTGAGCCTAATGAGTATCATTACGTGTGAGATGGGTCTCTTGAAGACAGCATAGTACTACTGGGTCTTGCTTTTGTATCCAGCTTGCCACTCTGTGCCTTTTAAGTGGGGCATTTAGCCCATTTATATTCAAGGTCAGTGTTGATCTGTGTGGATTTGATCCTGTCCCTGTGCTGTTAGCTGCTTATTATGCTGGCGTGTTTGTGTGGTTGCTTCATAGTGTCACTAGTCTGTGTATTTAAGTGCATTTTTGTATTAGCTGGTCTTTCGTTTCTGTATTTAGTGCTCCTTTCAAGATCTCTTTTAGGCAGGCCTCGTGGTGATGAATTCCCTCAACATTTCCTTGTCTGAAAAGGATCTTATTTCTCCTTCACTTAGGAAGCTTAGTTTGGCTGAATATCGAATTCTTGGTTGAAGATTTTTTTCTTTAGGAATGTTGAATATAGGTCCCCCGTCTCTTCTTGCTTGTAGGGTTTCAGCTGAGAGGTCTGCTGTTAGGCTGATGGGGTTCCCTTTGTAGGTGGTCTGCCCTTTCTCTCTAGCTGCCTTTAACATTCTTTCTTTCATACTGACATTGGAAAATCTGACGATTATGTCAGACATTTTGGGGATGATCTTTTTGTGTAGAATCTTGCAGGGGTTCTCCGTAGTTCCTGAATTTGACTGTTGGCCTCTTTAGCAAGGTGGGGGAAGTTTTCATGAACGAGACCCTGAAATATGTTTTCCAAGTTGTTTGCTTTCTCCCCTTCCCTTTCAGGATGCCAGTGATTCATAGGTTTGGCCTCTTTACATAATTCCATACTTCTTGGAGGTTTTTTAATTCTTTTTTCTTTATTTTTGTCTGATTTCAGAGAACCAGTCTTCAAGTTCTGAGATTCTTACCTCAGTTTGGTTGATTCTGCAGTTAATACTTGTGATTGCATTGTGAAATTCTTTTTTTAAGAATTTTTTTTGAGAAGGATTCTCACTCTGTCACCCAGGCTGGAGTGCAGTGTCATGATCTCAGCTCACTGCAACCTCAACCTCCTGGGTTCAAGCAATTCTGCTGCCTCAGCCTCCAGAGTAGCTGGGATTACAGTTACTTGCCACCATGCCCGGCTAGGTTTTGTATTTTTAGTAGATACGGGGTTTCACCATGTTGGCCAGGCTGGTCTCGAACTCCTGACCTCAGGTGATCCACCCGTCTCGGCCTCCCAAAGTGCTGGGATTACAGGCGTGAGCCACCGTGCACGGCCTGAAATTCCTGTATTGTGTTTACTCAGCTATGCTGGGATTACAGGAGTGAGCCACCGCACCTGACCTGAAATTCTTGTATTGTGGTGACTCGTCTCTGCTGGGATTACAGGAGTGAGCCACCGCGCCCGGCCTAAAATTCTTGTATTGTGGTGACTCAGCTCTGTCAGATCCATGAGGTTGTTTTTCACGCCAGCTATTTCGTCCTTCAGCTCCTGTATCATTTTATTGTGATTCTTATTTTCCTTGAGTTGGGTTTTGCTGTCCTCCTGAATCTCAACGACCTTTGCTCCTAGCTGTATTCTGAATTCTATTTCTGTCACTCCAGGCAGTTCATCAGCCTGGTTAAGAACTCTTCTTGGAGAGCTGGTGTGGCTGTTTGGAGGACACACAGCACTCTGGCCAGTTGAGTTACTGGACTTCTTGCATTGGTTCTTACAAGCAGGTTTTTAAAAGCAAAAAAGGGGACAAGGGGCCGGTCTCTGTTGAGCCGCAGACGCAGGACTCTGTTCCGCAGGATGGGGTTTGTTAAAGTTGTGCAGGATAAGGCCGACTTTAAGAGATACCAAGTGAAATTTAGAAGATGATGAGAGGGTAAAACTGATTGCTATGCTCGGAAACGCTTGGCGATTCAGTATAAAAACAAATACAACACACCCAAATACAGGATGATAGTTGGTGTAACAAACAGAGATATCATTTGTCAGATCGCTTATGCCCAGATAGAGGGGGTATGATAGTCTGCACAGCGTATGCACATGACCTGCCAAAATACAGTGTGAAGGTCGGCCTGATAAATTATGCCACAGCGTATTGTCCTGGCTGCTGCTGGCCTGCAGGTTTCTCAATAGGTCTGGCCTGGACAAGATCTAAGAAGGCGAAGTGGAGGTGACTGGTGATGAATAGAATGTGGAAAGCATTGCTGGTCGGCCAGGTGCCTTCACCTGCTATATGGATGCAGGCCTTGCCAGAACTACCACTGGCAATAAAGCTTTTGGCGCCCTGAATGGAGCTGTGGATGGAGGCTGGTCTATCCCTCACAGTACCAAACAATTTCCTGGTTATGATTCTGAAAACAAGGAATTTAATGCAGAAGTACACGGAAGGGCATCATGGGCCAGAATGTTGCAGATTACATGTGCTACTTAATGCAAGAAGATGAAGATGCTTACAAGAAACAGTTCTCTCAATACATAAAGAACAGCGTAACTCCAGACATGGTGGGGTGTAGGGACCAGCCCCACAGGGTCGGTGGGTTTTTCTCCCCGTGTGCGGAGACGAGAGATTGTAGAAATAAAGACACGAGACAAAGAGATAAAAGAAAAGACAGCGGGCCCGGGGGACCACTACCACCAAGACGCAGAGACCGGTAGTGGCCCCAAATGCCTGGCTGCGCTGTTATTTATTGGATACAAAGCAAAAGGGGCAGGGTAAAGAGTGTGAGTCATCTCCAGTGATTGATAAGGTCATGTGAGTCACGTGTCCACCAGACATGGGGCCCTTCCCTGTTAGGTAGCCGAGGCGGGGAGTGAGAGGACAGCTTATGTCATTATTTCTTCTATGTTCTTTTCAGAAAGATCAAAGACTTTAATACTTTCACTAATTTTGCTACTGCTATCTAGAGGGCGGAGCCAGGTGTACGGGATGGAACATGAGAGCGGACCAGGAGCGTGACCGCTGCACTGACGCTTCCGCTAGACCACAGTCTGCTCGGCGACGGGTGTCTTCCCAGATGCTGGCATCACCGCTAGACCAAGGAGCCCTCTGGTGGCCCTGTCCGGGCATGACAGAAGGCTCACGCACTTGCCTTGTAGTCACTTGTCACTCACCATGTCCCTTCAGCTCCTATCTCTGTATGGCCTGGTTTTTCCTACGTTATGATTGTAGAGCGAGGATTATTATAATATTGGAATAAAGAGTAATTGCTACAAACTGATGATGAATGATATTCATATATAATCATATCTATGATCTAGATCTAGCATAACTCTTGTTGTTTTATATATTTTGTTACACTGGATCAGCTCGTGCCCTCCGTCTCTTGCCTCGGCACCTGGCTGGCTTGCCGCCCACAGTGGGGGAGAGAGATAAGAAAGCTCATGCTGCTCTACAAGAGAATCCAGGCTATGAGAAGAAGCCCAAGAAAGAAGTTCGAAAGAAGAGGCAAAACCGTCCCAAAATGGCCTTTGCTCAGAAGAAAGTTCGGGTAGCTCAAAGAAGGCAAGCTTCCTTGGAGCTCAGGAGCTGCTGAGAGCTCAACCGAACAATTACCTATGAGGATTTTTCAGATCAAGACAATAAACCTACAGACAGAAAAAAAAAAAAAAGACGAGGTGTGACCCACACCAGCTGTTTGTCAGGAGTCCCCACTGTCTACAGGGCGGCCGTTGACTGGTGATTAGCTCAGCTGTTTGTCAGGAGTCCCCTCTGTCTACAGGGTGGCTGTTGACTGGTGATTAGCTCAGCTGTTTGTCAGGAGTCTCCTCTGTCTACAGGGCCGCCATTGACTCACCAGTCAACGGCTGTTGAACTCTGGGGTCTGAGTGACGGCCTGGCGTGGGGCATGTCAGGCTCATTTATTGCTACTTGGTGTCGGTCGGTCTCTAAGGCAGGGAGGGCGGCCGCTCTTATTCCAGGGCCTCTCTGGGCTGATAACTTAAAGGGACCCACATTCCTCAGATAAAAGCTGCTTTCTCATCTGCATCTTTTATAATATCCTTTAGAATAAACGGGTAAATGTACATAAGCACTTCCCTGAGTTCTGCGAGCCGTCCTGGCAAATTAATCGAACCCAAGGAGGGGATCATGGGAACCCCACTTTGCAGCCAGTCAGAAAGGAGCATCCGGGTGGGCCAGACCTGTGATCGGGACCTGCAGTGCGGGTGGCTTGTGGGACAGCTTCCCCTCGTGGGGCCGGACACCATCGCCGGGTAGATGGTGTAGAGGCTGAACGGAATTATAGGACACTCAGCTGGTGTCCCTGGAGACACACATGTCCGGCCACAGAAGTGTTCTGTGGTGTCGAGTGAGTGCAGAGAAGAAAACAGCTTGTTGTTCCTCTTGCTCTCTTCATGGAAGAAGATTCCATAAAGGGCCTTACCAGGTGACCGGGGAGGTGGCCGTCAGGCTGTGAGGCGAAGGGTGACGTGAAGGTGGGGGCGTGTCTGAAGGGCAGGGCCAGGCGAGACCTTCCTGGCCCTTAGACTAAGCCATTATAAACAACTTTGTCTTTAAAACAAAATTCCAGAATAAACTCAAACTGAATCCGAATGAGATGCGTCTTGTTCATCGGCCATGCCGTTTGCAAACGCGTAAACAGCAAAACTGATCTTATACTGTAGTTTTCTGTAAATAAAATTCAAAAAGCCCATCACCTTTCCTGGATGAATGGTCATTTCTTGGAAAATAACGGAACGCTCCTTTTCATTCAATTAAATAGGATATGTTTCTCAGAAAAAGATGAAAAGACCTGAGAAGCAGGTACGTACTTAATGCACTCACGTTTTCTCTTCTGTCTGTTGGCTGGCGCGCCGATCACAGGGAAGGGGCCGTGCTCAGCACCCGGACACTCCGGCCCCGCCCCCAGGGCAGCAGCAGAAACCAGGGACTGCTCGGTGTGTGCCTCCTCGGGTGCAGGTCCCGGCCTGCACGGGGTGTCTGTGGAGGCAGGACTTTCCGGGAGCAGGGTGCGCGGTCCAGGGCAGAACAGGGCCACGGGGCTCCGGGATGCTGCGTAGTGCCGTGGGCCCTCGGGGCGATGGTGGCCGCTCAGTGAGGCTGAGGCCTGGGGGGTGTCGGGCCCCCGGATCCCAGCACCGGTGAGGGTGTCCCAGCCTCTAGGACGTCCTCCAGTCCCACATTTCCTCTGTGCCTCAATGGCTTCTCCAAAAACCAGCTCAGAGCAGGAGGCCTCCTCCTGGCTGATGCCCAGATGCCATCTGCAGAGCAGGGTCAGGGTCCCGGAGCCCACTGATGCCCTGACGTGCTTATGAGAACTGGAGGGGACCCTTCATGGGGCCCAATGCTCACAGGTCCCAGCTCCACCCCTACCCAGTGTGGGGATTTGAGCCCCGTCCTCATCTGAACACTGCAGAGGGGCCGAAACACACGTGAGAGAACCCGGGAGGCCCCAGCCCAGACCCAGCCCAGGTCACCGGGCCCCCTGTACATTCCCTTAGAGCCCGGCTGGGATGCTCCCAGGGCTCAGCCCCTGCGGGTGGCTCCTGGGCCTGGGAAGGGGACGGTACAGGACTGTGCGTGTCCTTGTTGCTCGCCGACCACAGGTGCCGTCTCCCGACCTAATTCCCCCTGGGTCCTGGGCCTCACTGGGTGCTCTTGGCCACGGGCCCTTCCCTGGCAGCCTTGCTTTTGTACTCACAGTGGAGGCTGCTTGCCTCGCCCCTGCCACACCTCCCACAGGGGCTGCCGTCCTTCCCTGATGCTGTGGCCTGACGGGGCAGGAGGCTGGGGTCCCTGGTGCTCTCCAGGAGCTCCAGCTGTGGACACTGTGATATTTCACCCCTCCTTCCAGGAGGGCCGCAGGCTGAGGCCGAGACACGCGGTTTCCCTTGAGGCATTCCAAGCTGTGGCCTGGCCTCCGCTGGCTCCCAGAGGCCCCCGGGGGAGGCACAAATGCCGCTGATGTCAGAGGGCAGCGTCACGGATCTGGCCCCAGAAGTTTCTGTGTGGGGCCTGCCTGCCCTTCTCCCCTGTGACCTGGGGAGGCCCCAGCCTTGCAGGGGAGGGTCACTGCCCCTGCACGGCGCTAAGGCGGGAGGCATGTGGAAGGAGAGGGACGGTGGCTTAGAGACCCTGCGTGTGAATGGCGTGGAGCCCACCGTGGTTCCCGAGGCCCCTGGGTCAGCACCTCCAGAGCAGGACTGAGGCCCCGGACACACAAGAGAGTCACAAGGTTCTTATTTCTGCTTCCCGTGGATGACCATCCTGCCCATGAAATCCAGCCGAGCCTGAGGCTGCTCCCAGTACATCCAGGAGGCTGACACGATGCAGCTGGGCCCTCTCCGCCAGCCCTGCCCTCTGCTCTGAAGGCTGATGCTACTCAGCCAGGCCCAGGCACCTGGCCCCTCCCCAACATCAGCCTGCTTCTTGCTGGGTGTGTGTGAAATCGATTTTAAGCCTTCAGGAGGTGTAAGTGACGCACAGTGAGCTAGAGTGCAGCCCCACAGGCTGGGGCCCGCGGCTACACCGTGAGGCCATCGCTAGCCTCCTGCAGTGCCATGTCCACCTGTCTGCTGTGCCCCTGCCGCCAGCTTGGCCCTCTCTCCCCCGGTTTGCCTGTGGGCCGGGGGTCCTGTGAAGGAGTGTGAGGGGGCACGGGCTCACAGCCCTGGAGGGTCAGAGGCGTCAGGGACGTGCTGGAGCCGCATCTCACTCTGGAGACCAGGCCGGATGGAGAAGTGGATGTAGGCCAGGGTGGCGGGGCAGGGGCAGGGCAGGGGCGGGGCAGTGAAGGGGCAGGGCAGGGGCAGGGGCAGCACAGGGACAGCACAGGGGCAGCGCAGGGGCAGGGCAGGGGCAGGGCAGGGGCGGGGCAGGGGCGGGGCAGGGGCGGGGCAGTGAAGGGGCAGGGCAGGGGCAGGGGCAGCACAGGGACAGCACAGGGGCAGCGCAGGGGCAGGGCAGGGCAGGGGCAGGGGCAAGACAGGGGCAGCACGGGGCAGGGGCAGGGGCAGGGCAGGGGCAGTGAAGGGGCAGGGCAGGGACGACCCACTCAGGGCTCCGGAGGTCGGTGTCCAGACTGCGAGTCCAGCCTCAGGGTCCAGCGGGAATTTAGCTGTGCAAGTTCCCTTCCCAGGCGCCGGGACCTGCCCCCGGGGTCACCTTTGAAGAAGGAGGAGAAATTCCCTGCAGCCCTGACTCCCCAGAGTGCCCTGGGGGAGGACTGCGGAGCTGAGGCAGCTTGAGAAGGAGGCAGGTGGGCCCCGCAGAAGGCCCAGAGCAGCTCAAGATGCAGGGGCAGCTGCCCGTGGGTGGGGCTGTGTCCCAACCTGGGCGGCGCTTCCTCACATCCTCGGAAGGCACCGCCTGGAGCCGAGGCCCCGCTGTGGCTTCCCAGCTGCCTGCTGAGGTTTGCTGCCGCCTCTTCCTTCCTCCCCAGTTGACCAATGAGCCCACCTTGGTCCAAAGAGCAAGTCAGGGTGAGAATCCCACCACTGACTGACTATCCTGCTGCCCCCGACAGAGCCCTGGAGACCAGCCGCCCCCACAGGGACCCAGAGACCAGACTCCCCCACAGGGACCCAGAGACCAGACCCCCCCACAGGGACCCAGAGACCACCCACCCCCACAGGGACCCAGAGACCAGACCCGCCCACAGGGACCCAGAGACCAGGCCCCCCCACAGGGACCCAGAGACCAGACCCCCCCACAGGGACCCAGAGACCAGACCCCCCAACAGGGACCCAGAGACCAGCCACCCCCACACAGGGGCCCAGAGACCAGACCCCCCCACAGGGACCCAGAGACCAGCCACCCGCACACAGGGACCCAGAGACCAGACCCCCCCCACAGGGACCCAGAGACCAGACCCCCCAACAGGGACCCAGAGACCCCCCCAACCACAGGGACCCAGAGACCAGACACCCCCACAGGGACCCAGAGACCAGCCGCCCCAACAGGGACCCAGAGACCAGACCCCCCAACAGGGACCCAGAGACCCCCCCCGCCACAGGTACCCAGAGACCAGAGCCCCCAACAGGGACCCAGAGATGAGCCGCCCCCACAGGGACCCAGAGACCAGACCCCCCCACAGGGACCCAGGGACCAGACCCCCCCACAGGGACCCAGAGACCAGCCACCTCACAGGGACCCAGAGACCAGAACCCCCCACAGGGACCCAGAGACCAGAACCCCCCACAGGGACCCAGAGACCAGCCGCCCCCACAGGGACCCAGAGACCAGGACCCCCCCACAGGGACCCAGAGACCAGCTGCCCCCACAGGGACCCAGAGACCAGAAACCCCCACAGGGACCCAGAGACCAGCTGCCCCCACAGGGACCCAGAGACCAGAACCCCCCCACAGGGACCCAGAGACCAGACCCACCACAGGGACCCAGAGACCAGCCGCCCCCACAGGGACCCAGAGACCAGACCCCCCAACAGGGACCCAGAGACCCCCCCCACCACAGGGACCCAGAGACCAGCCGCCCCCACAGGGACCCAGAGACCAGACCCCCCAACAGGGACCCAGAGACCCCCCCCCCACCACAGGGACCCAGAGACCAGACACCCCCACAGGGACCCAGAGACCAGACCCCCCCAACAGGGACCCAGAGACCAGACCCGCCCACAGGGACCCAGAGACCAGACCCGCCCACAGGGACCCAGAGACCAGGCCCCCCCACAGGGACCCAGAGACCAGACCCCCCCACAGGGACCCAGAGACCAGCCGCCCCCACAGGGACCCAGAGACCAGACCCCCCCCACAGGGACCCAGAGACCAGACCCGCCCACAGGGACCCAGAGACCAGCCGCCCCCACAGGGACCCAGAGACCAGCCACCCCCACACGGACCCAGAGACCAGACCCCCCCACAGGGACCCAGAGACCAGCCGCCCCCACAGGGACCCAGAGACCAGACCCCCCCCACAGGGACCCAGAGACCAGCCGCCCCCACAGGGACCCAGAGACCAGCCGCCCCCACAGGGACCCAGAGACCAGCCGCCCCCACAGGGACCCAGAGACCAGCCACCCCCACACAGGGACCCAGAGACCAGACCCGCCCACAGGGACCCAGAGACCAGCCACCCCCACACAGGGATGCAGAGACCAGACCCGCCCACAGGGACCCAGGGACCAGAACCCCCCACAGGGACCCAGAGACCAGCCGCCCCCACAGGGACCCAGAGACCAGCCGCCCCCACAGGGACCCAGGGACCAGAACCCCCACAGGGACCCAGAGACCAGCCGCCCCCACAGGGACCCAGGGACCAGAACCCCCACAGGGACCCAGAGACCAGCCGCCCCCACAGGGACCCAGAGACCAGAACCCCCAACAGGGACCCAGAGACCAGACCCGCCTACAGGGACCCAGGGACCAGAACCCCTACAGGGACCCAGAGACAAGACCCCCCAACAGGGACCCAGAGACCAGCCGCCCCTACAGGGACCCAGAGACCAGACCCCCCCACAGGGACCCAGAGATCAGCCGCCCCCACAGGGACCCAGAGACCAGAACCCCTCACAGGGACCCAGAGACCAGCCGCCCCCACAGGGACCCAGAGACCAGGACCCCCCCACAGGGACCCAGAGACCAGACCCGCCCACAGGGACCCAGAGACCAGAACCCCTACAGGGACCCAGAGACCAGACCCCCCAACAGGGACCCAGAGACCCCCCCACCACAGGGACCCAGAGACCAGACACCCCCACAGGTACCCAGAGACCAGACCCCCCAACAGGGACCCAGAGACCAGACCCGCCCACAGGGACCCAGAGACCAGAACCCCTACAGGGACCCAGAGACCAGCCGCCTCCACAGGGACCCAGAGACCAGACCCCCCCACAGAGACCCAGAGACAAGCCGCCCCCACAGGGACCCAGAGACCAGAACCCCCCCACAGGGACCCAGAGACCAGCTGCCCCCACAGGTACCCAGAGACCAGACCCCCCCACAGGGACCCAGAGACCCCCCCCACCACAGGGACCCAGAGACCAGATCCCCCCACAGGGACCCAGAGACCAGACCCCCCCACAGGGACCCAGAGACCAGAACCTCTCACAGGGACCCAGAGACCAGTTGCCCCCACAGGGACCCAGAGACCAGAACCCCCCCACAGGGACCCAGAGACCAGACCCCCCAACAGGGACCCAGAGACCAGACCCGCCCACAGGGACCCAGAGACCAGCCGCCTCCACAGGGACCCAGAGACCAGACCCGCCCACAGGGACCCAGAGACCAGACCCCCCCACAGAGACCCAGAGACCAGCCGCCCCCACAGGGACCCAGAGACCAGAACCCCCCACAGGGACCCAGAGACCAGCCGCCCCCCCAGGGACCCAGAGACCAGAACCCCCACAGAGACCCAGAGACCAGACCCCCCAACAGGGACCCAGAGACCAGACCCCCCCACAGGGACCCAGAGATCAGCCGCCCCCACAGGGACCCAGAGACCAGAACCCCCCACAGGGACCCAGAGACCAGCCGCCCCCACAGGGACCCAGAGACCAGGACCCCCCCAAAGGGACCCAGAGACCAGACCCGCCCACAGGGACCCAGAGACCAGAACCCCTACAGGGACCCAGAGACCAGACCCCCCAACAGGGACCCAGAGACCCCCCCCACCACAGGGACCCAGAGACCAGACACCCCCACAGGGACCCAGAGACCAGAACCCCCCCACAGGGACCCAGAGACCAGACCCGCCTACAGGGACCCAGCGACCAGAACCCCTACAGGGACCCAGAGACCAGACCCCCCAACAGGGACCCAGAGACCCCCCCCACCACAGGGACCCAGAGACCAGACACCCCCACAGGGACCCAGAGACCAGCCGCCCCCACAGGGACCCAGAGACCCCCCCCCACCACAGGGACCCAGAGACCAGACCCCCCCCACAGGGACCCAGAGACCAGACCCCCCCAACAGACCCAGAGACCAGACCCGCCCACAGGGACCCAGAGACCAGAACCCCTACAGGGACCCAGAGACCAGCCGCCTCCACAGGGACCCAGAGACCAGACCCCCCCACAGAGACCCAGAGACAAGCCGCCCCCACAGGGACCCAGAGACCAGAACCCCCCCACAGGGACCCAGAGACCAGCTGCCCCCACAGGTACCCAGAGACCAGACCCCCCCACAGGGACCCAGAGACCCCCCCCACCACAGGGACCCAGAGACCAGACCCCCCCACAGGGACCCAGAGACCAGAAACCCCCACAGGGACCCAGAGACCAGCTGCCCCCACAGGGACCCAGAGACCAGAACCCCCCCACAGGGACCCAGAGACCAGACCCACCACAGGGACCCAGAGACCAGCCGCCCCCACAGGGACCCAGAGACCAGACCCCCCAACAGGGACCCAGAGACCCCCCCCACCACAGGGACCCAGAGACCAGCCGCCCCCACAGGGACCCAGAGACCAGACCCCCCAACAGGGACCCAGAGACCCCCCCCCCACCACAGGGACCCAGAGACCAGAACCCCCCCACAGGGACCCAGAGACCAGACCCGCCTACAGGGACCCAGCGACCAGAACCCCTACAGGGACCCAGAGACCAGACCCCCCAACAGGGACCCAGAGACCCCCCCCACCACAGGGACCCAGAGACCAGACACCCCCACAGGGACCCAGAGACCAGCCGCCCCCACAGGGACCCAGAGACCCCCCCCCACCACAGGGACCCAGAGACCAGACCCCCCCCACAGGGACCCAGAGACCAGACCCCCCCAACAGGGACCTGGAGACCAGCTCCCCTATGGTACCAGCCCAGGCTGTCTCACACCCAGGGACCCAGTGGCCCCGAATGAAGTCTGCCGTGTTTTAACAAGCATCATTGAACCATGTTTCCTTTAACACTGCTCACCTGCAGGCCATCGGCCCCACCCCACCGAGGCACTGAAGCCACAGGTGCTGCAGTGGATTCTTTACCCTGGCAGCTCAGCCCACGCCAGCGTCCCGCACTCCCTTGGAGGCAGAGACCCCGGAACTCATTTTAAACAGTGTTTACCAGGAGACACAGACCACAGATACACAGCCCACGTGACACAGGACCTAGTACTCAATTGAGACGACTCAGACCACGAGAACTCAGCCTCCCAAACACACAGAAGAACACACGGGCGCAGCTCCAGCCCACCACATGCAAACGCACCACCACCGCCGCCACCTGGGCACACGGAGGGTGAAATTTCAGCCCATACCAGTGGCACCAAGAAAGTAGCCCAGAAAATGTGTCCTCATCCTACAGCAGCACAGACTGCTACTGTCACCTCGAGTATTTTACCCAGCAACACAGCTCACTATGAATCCAATACGAGCATTAACCCTAACAGGGAGGCACTACGTGCCAGAGTTCCTCACTCCACGAAGACGTGGGCCACGAGTACTCTCCGAACCAGGGCAGAGACATGGGTACTAACCCAGGCTATCCCTCACCAGGGTACTCACTCCACTAGGACCTAGACCAAGGGTACTTTCTGGACCATGACAGAGACATGAGTACTAAACCAGCCAATCCCACACCAGGGGTATTCACCCCTCTAGGACCTGGACTTGGAGTAATCTCTGAGCCAGGGCGCAGACATGGGTACTCACCTGCTTTGTCCCTGGCCGATGTCAGCCCTGCACCACTCTGTGGCTTGTTCAGTGACCCTGTCTGGGAGAGGCTGGGGGGCGGCTGGCAGGGAGGGACTTGAGCTCTGGGTGCCTCTGCTGCCGGTTCTGACCTGCAGGCCTCCCTGAAGGGCTATGTTGGGTGTGGTTGGAGTTGTGAGTAGGGAGCAAGGTGTCTGTTGCGATTACAGGGGAAGTTGTTGATATTTATGTAGAAAAGAAGTAATTAGAGTGAGTTTAAGAGTGTCCTCTTAACAGTGGTTTTCCCAGTACCCACGTCCTGGGATGGGAGTGGGAAGGAAAGGCAGGCCCTGGCAACCCCAGTCATTTCCTGGGACACAGGACAGAGGTGTGAGGTCCAAGTCGGCGCCCACTTGGGCCTGAGCGGTGCTGCTTGTCCTCTGGAAGTCGGCCGCCTGCAGATCTGTGGCCGGGGGGATGCAGCCTGGGGTCTGGGGTCCTGAGTCCTTGCAGGACCGTCTGTGGGCAGCCACGTCTGTGCTCAGGCACTGGCCCTGCAGCCCCCAGGAGGCCTGGACAGCCAGTGTTGGGAGTTGCCCTGGTGGGCCCCAGCTCACCCAGCAGCCCTCCCTCCAGGCCCAGAGGAGCCAGCACGGCGGGCATGAAGGGCTTGTCTTGCTGCTGAGCCCACTTGCAGCCTGACCTGTCTCACTGGGAGACACTGATCTTCTAGCTGTGGCCCGAGGGACAGGCCTCTCACGTGTGCCAGGCCCTCCTATGCCCCTCCTGCTCCGCCTGCCCTGAACAACCACAGCACTCAGATGCCTGCTCAGACTTGGCCCCAGGGACCCTCCGAATTGGCTTCTCTGTCCCTGTGCCCAGTAGCCTCCCCAGATGCCCACCAGGCCCCGCCTCCACCCCACCGTTGACCTGGCCTCACAGCACTTTGTCTGTCCTCACGGGGTGCTCACCCTTTCCCTCCCCCTACCCCGTCCCCTGCCTCCCTGGGCACACGCTGCCCCTGCAGACACAGGGCCGGCCTCCATCTGCCCAAGGTACCCCCACCCCACCCACCTCAAAGGCTACAGAACAGTCCTTGGTCTTGAATACAACAGGCAGAATTTCTGGCCGAAGGTGCCTGTGCAGTAAAGGCTCTGCAGAAGCCTCTAGGCTCAGGTACAAACCCTGGCAGTGCAGTGGAAGGGAAGCGTGATGAAGTGAGACACAGAGGAGCAGGATCCACGTGAGACACGGAGGAGCAGGGTCCACGTGAGACACGGAGGAGCAGGGTCCACGTGAGACACGGAGGAGCAGGGTCCACGTGAGACGTGGAGGAGCAGGGTCCACAGTCCCCGCACAGTGAACACACCCACTGTTCCAGCTCAGGCCAATGCTGGTCCCGACAGCGTCCCCCGAGAAATGCAAGCACCAAGGGTCAGGGAGCAAGTGGCAGGACCGGTCAGGCACCATCTGGGCACTGGGTAGGTGTGGAAGTGCCCGTTGCAGCCAGTCTCTGCACATGGGGGGCATTCACCACATCAGTGCAGGGCCCTGAGCTCCTTCCAGGGTCCCTAGACAGGCTTCCTGCAGCTGCTGTCACTGATGGGCGACACTGCAGCCTAGCGTGTGGCTGCTGAGCTGCCTTCTGCCAAGGCCCTCCCAGGGGCCCAGTGCTCCCATTCAGCCTGCATCCCTCCTCAGTCCTGCTCAGGCAGGTGGAACGTGCGGGCCCCAACCCAGCCCCTTCCCCGCAGAACCAGTGGGGGCTCCTCAGCTGCCCAAAGCCCCTGCAGGGGTGGCTCATTCAGAGACAGAGCAGGCCGACCAGATCTGAGCCCTGTCTGGGGCCTTCGTGGGCGACGCGGCAGATGCCACTGTGTGTCTCCCAGGACTGGAGGCCTCCTCAGCTAGGACTGCTCCAGAGAAGAACTGTCAGGGTCTGGAGGCACAGGCAGCTTCTGCTTCCTAGTCCTTTAAGCTGACTAAAGTCACCACAGTGTTGCCGTGTGGTAGTTACACACCCGCACGGAGACAGGGCGGAGGGGCCGCCTCACAGTGTTCCTCCAAAGAGCATGCACACACATGCACACTTACCCTCAAGCACACGTGCATGTGTGCACACAACTCCCACAGAGGGACCTACACACCACACAGGCGCACACTCTCACACACTAACACGTCAACACCCACACAACCCACAAGCCACTCACAAACACACAGGCACACAGGCAAGCACACTCACACAGGCCAGCATACACGCACACTCCATCGCATCCGACACGCAGGCACACGGACTCACACACACACAGGCACACAGGCACACTCGCACAGGCCAGCATGCACGCACACTCCATTGCATCCGACACACAGGCACACGGGCAAGCACGCTCACACAGGCCGGCATGCACGCACGCTCCATTGCATCCGACACGCAGGCACACGGGCACACTCGCACAGGCCGGCATACACCCACGCTCCAGTGCGTCTGACACGCAGGCACACGGGCAAGCACACTCACACAGGCCGGCATGCACCCACGCTCCATTGCATCCAACACGCAGGCACAGGGGCACACTCGCACAGGCCGGCATGCACCCACGCTCCAGCACGTCTGACACGGAGGCACACAGGCAAGCACACTCACACAGGCTGGCATGCACCCACGCTCCGTTGCATCCGACATGCAGACACACGGGCACACACAAGGAAGGAAGTGGCACGAAAGTCAGGTGCGGAACGCAGGGTCTGGCTCTGGCTTCATGGTCTGGTGGAAGCTGACTCCGAGCCAGGAGCCCCTCAGGGTGGTTGGGCTGTGGATGTTTATGCTCCAAAACGTTACGTGCAATTGGATATGGCCCAACACCAGTCCCAAGTGGACTCATGAGGCTAAGTCAGTATAGAAACACACAGAGGTTTAATGTTCAATGTTGACTTTCTTTGGTTGAATGGTGGGACGCCTCTCTGCTCAGCCGGGGGCACTGAGGGTGGAAAGTTCATGAGGGGCTGCAGGGGCCAGGGAGAGCAGCCCTGCCCCAGGATCCAGGACACAGACGGGGGCCACACATTCAGGTGCCCCTCTACCCCATCGAGGGTGAGAAAAACACACGGGGATGCTATTAACCAGCCTCACAAAGAACAAACAATGCCAAGACTGTATTTTTGTGTGGACGGTTCTGCACCTACAGTGCGTACACAGCACAGCGTGGGGATTCGGGTTCACATCAGCTATGGAAGCAGGTGAGAAGGTGAGGCAGAGGCAGAGCCACCTGGTGGTCCTCCGACGGCCCGTCTGGTCGACCTGTAAGGACACACGGGGTTTGCTGGGAGGAGCACGCTGTGGGTTACTGAGTCACGGTCAAGTTTACCGACACCCCGGGAAGTGAGGCTCCTCATACTCAGATACTGAGTGCCAGTCTCCGGAGAGCCCTTCCACCGAGCAGGTGCTGGGAACACTCCCCGACACCCCTCTTCTCGGAGGTGCACGTTAGGGAGGCTCTGCTCCTGGTGAGACCTCCCAACCGGATAGCACAGCGCACCGACGAGTCTGCTGACGTTGACGTTTGCAGGGTGAAACAATCTCCAATGCAAACCCAGTGTGTGGGTGGCTGGAAAACACACTACTACGTGTGTGTGCACATGTGCACAGCAGGTGCAAGTGTGTGTTAAGTATGTGTGCACGTGTGTTTGTGTGTGATATGCACGTGTTTGTGTGTGTGCGTGTGTGTGATATGCACGTGTTTGGGTGTGTGTGCGTGTGTGTGATATGCACGTTTGTGTGCATGTGTGTGATATGCACGTGTTTGTGTGTGTGCATGTGTGTGATATGCACGTGTTTGGGTGTGTGCGCGTGTGTGATATGCACATGTGTTTGTGTGTGTGCATGTGTGTGATATGCACATGTGTTTGTGTGTGTGTGTGTGGGTGCACATGTGTCACAGACAAGGAGGAAGAGGGAGGGAGGGAAAGCTGTGCACAGTTTCACACCCATGACCCTCTGGACTCCCTCCCACCTAGGGACGGGCCACTTGCTTTCACAGAAGTCTTGCTGTCATCCACATCTGTCCTTTGAGTCAGGGCTTGGTACCCAGATGTTCATGGAGACGAGAAAAAGGGAAAGGGATTTTGTCCATGAGAATCTCCCGTCTGTCAGCCCCTTTTCTTTTTGGAATAAACCTTCGTGTTGCTAAGTGCCTATACTGGAGTGGAATCCAGTCCCAGCGGTGGCTGGTTTTGGAAGTCGAGTCTTCACTAAAGGATGTCTGGGCATTTTCCCAAGCCTTGGGCCCGTGAAAGCCCCCCATTGGCCCTCTGAGGCTGACAGCCATCCCCAAAGTCCAGAGCAGCCCCCAGCATCTGTGGTGCTCTCAGCCCTGCAGGGCTGGGGCTACGACAAGGACAGGGCTGACAGGGCACACTGAGTGGGCAGAGGTGTGCAGGGGCCCTGTGAAGCTGCAGGGGTGGCTCAGACACACGACAGCGGAGGGTCCCGAGGGTTCTGCCCAGAGCGAGAATGCTGGGGACAGACCTGCCGCCGCCACCCCCGGAGTAGAACGCAAGACACACACATTGAACACTGGGAAAGGTCAGGGCAGCCCCCTCCTGCGATCTCGGCCCTGCCCGGCCACACCAGGGGAAGCCAGGACTCCGTGGGCAGCAGGGCATCTCGGGCAGGGCCATGCTGGGGTCTCAGTGGGTCCTTTGATGGAATCCCCTGCTCTGCCTCTAGGGTGCCCCAGGACTGGAGACCACAGGACAGAAACCGGATGACCGTGTGCGGGACCAGCACGCGGAATTGGGATAAGGGGAGTGGGCGTGGCCCGGAGCGTTTCCCCGCTGAGGTCTTTCACAAGGAAGGGGCAGGGGTGTGATCACAAGGAAGGGGCAGGGGTGTGATCACAAGGAAGGGGCAGGGGTGTGATCACAAGGAAGGGGCAGGGGTGTGAACGGCTTCTGAAAGGCGGGGTCACTTCGGTACCCCCAGTGACCTCATGTGGCAGATGGGCCCCCCACTCTGCTCTGAAGCTCCTCCAGGAACACCGTGTCCTCTGCCCCCATCTACACAGTAGTTTCGTTTTTCCAGGGTCCCGTTCGGATGTTGCCGGTCCCGTCGGTGCCAAACGGCAGGCCTTCTAGCAATTTACCCTTGGGCAGCCCGTTCTGGCTGGGGCCACCAAAGGGCAGGGACTGTGTCCTCCGCAGCATCTCCAAGTGGCCGGGCCCGAGCGCTGCCTCCCTGCCCGGCTGCGTGGGGCAGCTGTAGAGGGCAGGGCTCCCATCACTGCCCTCGGGCTGGGTGACCATGGGGAAGGGGTCGCCCTGGGTGCAGCAGGCCAGCGTGTGTGTCCCCGCCGGGCCATCCAGAGAGCTGGGGGGGCTGTCTGTGCGCGAGCTGCGGGGGCTGCCATCCAGGCTGGATGGGATGTGGTAGGCGTACTCGGGCTCCTCTGCTGGGTGCCGGCTAAAGTAGGGCGGCTTAGTTCTGCCCTGAAGGCACCCGTGCAGGTGGGGGTCGTGCCCGAAGGCGCCCTCCTCCTGCAGGTGCACGTGCGCCTCGTCCGCCGTCAGTGGCTCGCAGTGCATCTTGGCGCAGCACGGGGTGGCCGGTGACAGGCAACTGGCGTGGCCCTGCGCGGCCTGCAGGTTGGTCATCTTGCAGGGGCCCGGTGGGTGCGCGAAGCCCCGTGGCTGGCCCAGTCCCGGCGAGTGCAGGCAGGCGGCGCGGCCCAGCGCGGCCCCGTTGGCGTCAAGTGCGGGGTGGGCGTCCTTGCGGGGCGGGCAGCATGCCCACCAGCACTGCCACACGTCCTCACGCTTGGCGCAGTGGTGGATGAGCACGAAGAGTCCCAGGGTCACGCAGAAGGCGCCGTACAGGCAGCTGAAGACCATGTCCAGGAAGTGGCCCTGTGACACCGCCAGCGCCCCGAAGGCCCACGTGGCCGTGAACAGGAACAGCGTGAAGGCGGCGGCGCGCAGCTGTGCCTGGAATGAGTGCTCGTTCTGCAGCACGGAGGCGCCGGGGGCATCGTGTGCGGGTGGGGTGCCTGGCCGGATCCCACGGCCGCCCTCGGGTGTCGCCAGCCGCCGCTGCTCCTCGGGCTGTGTGCGCAGCTCGTACCTGCGCCCTGGGTGGCGCCGCAGCTGCACGTAGGTGCCCAGGAAGTACACACAGGTGACCAGGGTGATGATGGCGGCTGGGCCGTAGAAGGCGCCCAGGCTGGGCTCCCAGGCCATCCAGCAGCTGTGGGGAGACGCACGTCAGTGTCAGCGGGGCCAGCACGGCCAGGACTCAGGACGCCCCCTGCAGAGCAAAGGGCCCTGCACCCACCCGGCCTAGCGAGTGGCTTTGCACAGCTGCGGCTTGGGGGCCTTGGGCGTTTCTAGAGTCGCTGAGAGTGTGGATGGGAACCGGGCCCTATTGGCCCTACCAGCTTGGGAGGTGGGGTAGCCAGGAAAGTGTCCCAGGTGCGGGTAGAGGCAGAGCCAGGCAGGGGGCCAGGTGCAGGGCGGGTCTGGGTGGGCAGGGGCAGGAAGGACAGAGCTGGGTGGGTGGGGCTGGTGTGGGGTGGGTGGGGCCAGGAAGAGGTGAAGTGGGGTGGGCGGGGCTGAGCAGAGGGCAGAGCTGGATGGGAGGGGCCAGGCAGAGGGTGGAGCCTGGTGGGCGTGGCCAGCGTGGGGTGGGCGGGGCCAGGCGGAGGTGGAGCTGGGTGGGCGGGGCCAGGCGGAGGTGGAGCTGGGTGGGCGGGGCCAGGCGGAGGTGGAGCTGGGTGGGCGGGGCCAGGCGGAGGTGGAGCTGGGTGGGCGGGGCAAGGCGGAGGGCAGACGGGCGGGCCATCCTGGGGCCGCAGAAGGAACTGAGGGCCCTGAATGAGAGGTTCCAGGCTGGCTCTGGGCACTGATGGCTGGACCGCCGTTCCTACTCGATGGGGTTTCCCTTCTCAGCTGAGCTCTGTGCTGTTGCCAAATCGCTATTTGTCCCCAGGCCCCTCCCATAGAAGGCAAACCAGGCCTGCCTTGTCCAAAGGCAAAGATTAGGTTGGACTCCCTGGGAGAGGAGGGGGCGCTGCGCACTCCTCGGGGGTGCGAGCTGGGAGGGGCGCAGCTCTCGGCAAGCCCCAGGTCCAGGCCCAGGCCTTGCTGCTTCGTCCTGGGCTTCCCCACCACAGGTGCCTGGGAGGGACCTCAGGCAGAGCCCACCCGCTGCTCCCAGCTCCCGGTTCTGGGTGCCCGGTACTCACTACGCCGTGTCCTCGTCCTCTGTCCCGTAATTCCTGATGTTCGTGGCAGCCGTGACCCCACAGATGATAAAGGGGACCCCTCCGCTGACGAGGTAAAACCTGCCGGGGAGGAAGGCGTTGACCCCCTTGCAGACGCCGCCTGCATCCTCCGGGGTCAGCGCTGTCCCTCCCCCACTCCGCGGGGCAAGGGAGAGCAGCGGGTGCGGGCGGAGCAGGAGGAGACCAAGAACCCCGACCCCCGACCCCCGACCCCCGACCACTGACCGAGCAGCCAGTGCCGGCCTCGCTGGCCTCCCGCGGGCCTCTGCGCCTGGAGAGGGCCCTGACCAGGTCCTTTCACGGGTGGGCCCCGGGAGAGCTCCGTTGGCTGCGGACTTCTCTGCAACTGCAGGGAGCCCCTGGCTACAGGCGGGACTGCTCCCCGGGGCAGCGTGGGGTCACACAGGGAGCTGTGCGTCCCACCGGGTCCCCAGGTCATGGCCCCTCCCCGCGGGTAGTGCGTGGCCAGTGACCAGCAGTGCCCCGTTTTAAACAGTTTTAAGGCCCCGCTCAGCCTCAGGGGAAGAAGGTCGGAGGGCCGAAGTATCTGCTCCCTGTCAGACCGAGGAACCCCGCCTTGGAGGGGCAGAGTCTCATCCTGACAGGCACAGCCCGAGCCCAGGGCAGGGGCTGACCTTCCCCTCTGCAGGGCCTGGCAACGGTGCTGAGGGCGCCCAGGGATCCAAGCGGGATGCAGCGTGTCCCGGACCGGGTGCACTTGCTCACCGCCTCCAGCCCCCACCCGGACCCATGAGACAACCCCTGGCTGCCACCCCTACGGAGCATGGGTGACCTAGGGGCCGGCTCAGAGACCATCCCCCATGGACGCTGTCTCCCCGGCTCCTGCGAACACCTGGGTTGGCCACAGACCCCTGCCCCACACGTTCAGTGGGCTCCAAGGTGCAGTGGTGGGAGGGGGTGGCCTGTGTCTGGTAGTTCTCAGGGACTCCCTAGGAAACCTGTGCTTCCCAGACTCTATATCCCAAGAAGATATCCTTCAAGAATAAAGATGAAATAAAGATACTTTCTGATAAAAATAAAACTAACAGCATTTTCCGTGTATCGACCTGTACTTCAGGACATGTTAGATGAAATTCTTCAGGGTGGAGGGAGAGTAGACACTCCTGCAGGCACCGCACCTGTGGAAAACCCCAACCAGACCTGCACGGTGGGCCTTGGGCCGAGGGTCCGTGCTGCGGACTTCACCAGAACAGCAGGAAGCCCCTGGGCTGCTTGGGGGGACTTGGACTGTGCGGAAGGAAGGAGAAACACCAGAAACGCTGAAGGATAAATAGAAAAGATTTGTCTCCCCCTTCTTAATTTCCTCCCTCTTTCAATGACTGTTTAAAGAGAGAACTTTAGCAGTGCCTTGTGGAGGGCACTGGGGATGGTGCTCTGCCCAGCATCTGCAGGAGGAAAGGTGGGAGGCAGGAAACGGTCCTATATAGTCTCAAGTTTTCTGTAAATATGTTATATGAAGAGAACAATTTTACTCTACATAGGCTGTGGAAAGGTTGCGGATTTTAATCCATTAGAGCAACCATAAGAAACTAGGTAAAAACTAGGCAGGGCACGGTGGCTCACGCCTGTAATCCCTGCTCTTTGAGAGGCTGAGGTGGGCAGATCACGAGGTCAGGAGACCGAGACCATCCTGGCTAACACAGTGAAACCCCGTCTGTACTAAAAAATACAAAAAAAAAAATTAGCCGGGCGTGGTGGCGGGCGCCTGTAGTCCCAGCTACTCGGGAGGCTGAGACAGGAGAATGGCGTGAACCCAGGAGGCGGGGTTTGCAGTGAGCCGAGATCGCGCCACTGCACTCCAGCCTGGGCGACAGAACGAGACTCCGTCTCAAACAAACAAACAAACAAAAACATTAAAACAAATTTTTTAAAAATATTAAAATAATCCAAAAGAAGGAAGTAAAGGAGAAATGGAAGAATTCCAAAGAGCAAAACAATCACTTAAAGTGGTAAAAACGGAAAACAAACAGTAAAATGTAGACTAAATCCAACCAGATCAAAATTCCAATTAATTTTAACAAGCTAAAAGCTCCGATCCAAAGGCAGAGGTTGTCAGAATAGATAGTAAGCTTCTGGAACATGGTGACTAGAATAGAAACACTTTGAGTATAAGACACAAGTAGGTTGAAAGTAACTGGATGGAAAAGGCCATGCAGTGCCAACTGTGAGATTAAGAGAGCTACAGCGGCTACACGGATGCCCGGCAAAGTAGACGATAAGACAGGGAGATAGAGGGGCCCAGGGGACGCAGAAGTGTCCAGGATGGACCCACAGCACACAGGAGTGGTGCAGGACGGACCCACGGCGCACCACCGGCTCCGGGCTCCTTCCCGGTGAGCCGGCAGAGGGCGCGGGAGGCCGCCGCTTTTCTCGCCGCCGCCGCTGGGCAGTCACCGCCGTGGACGTGCAGGCGCGGGGCCGGGGCCGGGGCCGGGGCCGGGGGAAGGGGGTGCTCCGCTGGGTCCAGCATCCACCATCCACCGCCTGACGTGGGCCCCTCGCAACAGCCTCGGCCCACCGGTGTCCGGGGAGTTGTTCCCGCCCGTCTGGCAGCTGGGAACACCCTCTCCTATGGCTCCAAGCCCCAACCAGGGTAGGGGTCCAGCTTGTCCTCCTCCTCTGGGCGCTGACGAATCTGTCACTCAAGCGTCATCTTCTGTTACGTCGAATCCCGTCTAAGCCCCAGGCAGACTCTGGGCGTCGGGGAATGGCCACCCCACCCCTCTGTGCCCAGGTGCCCAGCGTTGGGGCAGCGGCTCGCACGCCAGGGCCACTCGCTGGGACATCTCCGGGTTACGTGATTTCCGCGAGTCAGGCCAACCACTGCCTTTGGGGGAAGGTTTCTAGAAAGGGAGGGCGGATCTGAATCTCGGTGAAATCCTAACAGCTTCCCCTTGGGAGCTATGAACCCGACCCAGAGGTGTCCGGAGGGGCAAAGCGGGAGCTGACTCACGGCAGAGCACATTGCTCAGAGCCCGGGGAAGGTGGCCTGGCCAGGGAGGGTGCAGAGCCGGGGAGGGTGCAGAGCCCAAGAGGGTGGCTTGGCCGGGGAGGTTGCAGAGCCGGGGAGGGTGCAGAGCCCAAGAGGGTGGCCTGGCCGGGGAGGGTGCAGAGCCCAAGAGGGTGGGCTGGCCGGGGAGGGTGCAGAGCCTGGGACCAGCCCTGAGTGCATCACCACGTGACCCAGTGCCAAGTGAGGGAGGAGCGGCCATCAGTGCCGGGGCAGGTAGATGAGCATCGCACAGGAGAACAAGAGCTCGGTCCTATGTCGGCTGAGTAACACCCCCAGACATCCACGTTCTCTTCCCTGAAACCAGTGAAGGTTTCACCTCACGCGTCAAGAGGGACCTTGCACATGGGGTTAAGTGAGTGGCGGTGAATGGTGGAGACTGCCCTGGGTTGTTTGGCTGTACTGACATCACCGGCGTCCTCTTAAAAGGGAGGGCAGAGATCCCAGTGGAGAGAGGACGCAGGGCTGCTGGCTTTCAGGGTGGAGGAGGCCCCAAGCCCAGGAGTGACGGTGGCCGAGGCAGCCCCAGAAGGTGCCGGGGGGGGGGAGGGAGGCAGTCCTCCCCACAACTCGACGTCGGCCCAGCGGGGCCCATTTCGGACCTTACGGCCTCTCGACTGTCGGATGATCCCCCTGAGTTGCTTTAGGCCACTGAGCTTTCACCGTGGCCACAGCAGCCACGGGAAGGCGGTGCGGCCCCAGCTGTGCGGTGAACCCCAGCTACACACAGTTACAGGACGGGCGTGCTGCTGCTCACAGGGGGTGACTGGGGAGCCTCGTGGAGGAGACATGGTGTGGATGTGGCATGAGGACGGGTACCTTAAACCATCCCTAGAAGCACGAGGCACCCCAGTATCACAGACTTTGGGTTCCAAAGCTGACTCAGCGAAAGGGAAAGTCTCTGCCGCTCGGGCTGATGTGAGGAACAAACACAGGCTCCTGCCCGTCAGTGAGGAAGAGTGGGCGGCCCAGAAGAGAGCGGAAGAGACCTGCACACGCTTCACAGAGGCAAGAGAGGACGGCGCAGCCAGCAATGCTCACAGACGGGCGCAGAGGGACGGGCGCAGAGGGACTCGCGGGGCCCCTGCCAGGGATGGGCTTGTGAGGAGTTAGCAGGCTTAGAGCTGAGCCCCGCATGGGTGGGACGAGCCTGCAGACCACCTGAGCCCTCGGAGACCAACGTGCCACAGTCGGCAGGAGGGATAAAGGGATAAAGCCCCGTGGTCTCGCCAGAAGCGGGTCCCGTGCAGCCATGGACATGGGGAGCCCCAGCTACCGACGGTTACAGGATGGGCCTTAAAGAAACACGTGCAGGGAAAGAAATCAGAGAAATCTGCTATGAAACCAGGTGAGACAACAACTCCAGGAACACACAGCTCGAAGCCAGTGCAGCCTGGGGACGCGTGTGCCTGGGGACGCGTGTGCCTGGGGACGCGTGTGCCTGGGGATGCGTGTGCCTGGCTGGTGAACCGGGAGGAAAGACAAGGAGGCCCCAGGGCCAGGCCAGGGAGGCACGGCCAGGGGTGGGGCCGGCCCCAAGGTTCTCGCTTCTGCCCCGCGGGTCGTGACCACAGTTTCCTGGCTGTGCTGGTGTGTCCGGCCAAGACAGCAGGTTCCTGGGCGGTGCTGGTGTGTCTGGCATCTTCCTAAATGTTCCACTGCACACTCAAAAATGATTAAATCTAGAAAGTATTTTTAAAAGGAAAGGAAAGAAAAGAAGAAAGAGACAAGAAACAGGCCTGTGGTGCAGGTGGAGCTTCGCAGTAGAGGGGGCACCTGCAGCTGACCCTGCCCAGCCCCTCGCCCATTAGCCCCTCGGCCCCGTGCCCAGCCTGAGTGCTGCCGGCTCTGTGATCCCTCCTGGCACACTAGCCCGCTGCTGGTTGGAGCTGATGGTCGGAATCAGCACACGCTGGGACACGGGGAAACGGGGCGAGGACGCAGACTGCAGGTGTGGTCCTGCCACGGCTCTGTTCCCGCCATGGCTGATGCTGCACACCTCTCACCGGTTGCAGTGGCACCATCACAGCCTGAGCGAAAAGGTCCTGGGCCCAGGTGCCACCCAGGGCAGCCCTTCTGAGACCAACACTGTGTCCCTGGGCTCAGGTGAGCAGCACTGCCTCTGCCTCCATGCTGCGCCTCTCCTTACACCACGCGCATGCTCACACGTGCACACACGTATGCTTGCATGACACTTCCACACGTACATGCCCCCCCACTCTCACACACTGGAACACACATACCACACACACACTGGCACCCATCACACACACAGGCACACACATACACACAGGCATGCACACTCACACAAGCACACTCACACACACACTGGCACACTGGACATGCACAGGCACTCACACTTGCACGCACGCACACTGGCACACACCACACACAGGCACTCATTCACACACGCACAGGCACACATATATGCACAGGCATGCACACACACAAGCACACTCACACACACACTGGCACACGACACGCACACTCACACTTGCACACACGCACACTGGCACACACCACACACACAAGCACACTCACACGCACACTGGCACACTCCACATGCACAGGCACTCACATGCACACATGCACACTGGCACACACCACACACATGCACACGCACACTGGCACACATCACACACACAGGCACTCACATGCACAAACGCACAGGCACACACATGCACAGGCATGCACACAAACAAGCACACTCACACACACACTGGCACACTGGACATGCACAGGCACTCACACTTGCACACACGCACACTGGCACACACCACACATGCACACACGCACACTGACACACTCCACGCACACGCACACACGCACACTGACACACCACACACATGCACACACGCACACTGACACACACCACACACATGCACACACGTACCCTGGCACATTCCACACACACAGGCACTCACACGTGCACAGGTGCACCTGGGCTTTGCAGGTCCTGAGTTTTTCACAGGTGGAGGCTGTGGGAACCCCGGGTTGAGCAAGTCCATCAGCGCCATTTTTCCAACAGCGTGTGTTCATTTTATGTCTCTGTGTCATATTTTGGTAATTCTGTAAATATTTCAACTTTACCATGATTACTATGGGGAGCTGTGATCAGTGATCTTTGGGGTTTCCATGGTAGTTGTCTTGGGCACCACAAACCACGCCCGTATAAGACGGTGAACTTAGTGGGTAAATGTCCCGTGTGATCTGGTCGCTCCACGGGTTGGCTGTTCCCCATCTCCCTCCTATTCCCCGAGCCACAGAAATATTGAAATTAGGCCAATTAATAACCCTACAATGGCCTCTAAGTGTTCAAATGAAAGGAACAGTTGGACATCTCTTGCTTTATTTATAAAACTAGAAATCATTACGCTTAGTGAGGAAGGCATGTCAAAAGCAGAGATAGGCCAAAAGCTCAGCCTCTTGTGACAAACAGCCACGTTGTGAATGCAAAGGATAAATTATTGAAGAAAATTAAAAGTGCTCCTCCAGCAACGCATGAATGATAAGAAAGTGAAACAGCCTCATGGCTGATGTGGAGAAAGTTTTAATGGTCTGGATGGAAGATCAAATCAGACACAATATTCCCTCAAGCCAAAGCCTAATCCAGAGCAAGACCCTAACTCTCTTTAACCCTATGATGGCTGAGAGAGGTGCAGCAGAAAAAATGCTCCAAGTTAGCAGAAGTCGGTTCATGAAGTTTAAGGACAGAAACTGTCTTCATAACGTAAAAGTGCAGGTGAGGTGAAGCAGCAAGTGCTGATGGAGAAGATGCAGCAAGTTCTCCAGAAGATCTGGCCAAGATAGCGATGAGGGAGGCTGCACTAAACAAGATATATTTTTTTTCTTTTTTTGAGACAGAGTCTCGCTCTGTCGCCCAGGCTGGAGTGCAGTGGCATGATCTTGGCTCACTGCAACCTCCACCTCCCAGGTTCAAGTGATTCTCCTGCCTCAGCCTCCCGAGCAGCTGGGATTACAGGCACCTGCCACCACGCCCAGCTAATTTTTTGTATTTTTTGTTGAGACTGGGTTTTGCCATCTTGGCCAGGCTCATCTCGAACTCCTGACCTCAGGTAATCTGCCTGCCTCGGCCTCCCAAAGTGCTGGGATTACAGGCATGAGCCACCGCGCTTGGCCTAAATAAGAGATTTGCAATGCAGATGAAAGCCTTCTACTGGAAGAAGATGCCAGCTAGGACTTGCATGGCTAGAGAGAAGTCAATGCCTGGCTTCCAAGCTTCCAAGCACAGGCTGACTCTCTTGCTAGGGGCTAACGGAGCCAGGAACTTTGAGTTGAAGCCAATCCTCATTCACCATTCTGAAAATCCCAGGGCCTTTAAGAATGATGCTCAATCTACTCTGCCTGTGCTCCGTTAAGTGGACAACAAAGCCTGGTGACAGCACATCTGTTGACAGCATGGTTTGCTGAATATTTAAAGCCCACTGTTGAGACCTACTGCTCAGAAAGATTCTTTTCAAAATATTGCTGCTAGTTGACAATGCTCCTGGCCACCCAAGAATTAGAAGTGGAGCCTGAAGATGGCACTGAATTGCTACAGTCTCACAGTAAAATGTAACCAGTGAGGAGTTGCTTCTTATGGATGAGCAAAAAAGTGGTTTCTTGGGATGCAATCTGCTCCTGGTGAAGATGCCGTGGACATTACTGAAATGACAACAAAGGATTGAGACTATTTCATACACTGAGTTGACCAAGCCGTGGCAGAGTTTGAGAGGATGACTCCAGTTTTGAAAGAAGTTCCACTGTGGGTAAAGTGCACCAAACAGCACCACGTGCTACAGAGAACTCTTTTGTGAAAAGAAAAGTCTATCAATGTGGCAAATGTCATTGTTGTCTTATTTTAAGAAACTGCCACAGCCGCCCCAGCCTTCTGCCACCACCACCCTGGTCAGCCCCAGCGGCCATCCACATCGCAGTGAGACCCTCCACCCGCAGGAAGATTATGACTTGCTGAAGTCACTAGCATTTTTTTTTTTTTTGGCAATAAAGGACCAGTGGCTGTAAGGTCCGCGGAGACCTCAGGTCATGGTCATGGCCTCCTCTGCCACGCCCGTCTCGGTTTGCACTTTAGCTGAAGCCCTCACCTGTGCTGTGACTTGAGCTGTGCTCCATGTGGGGTGCTTTGCGGGTGTGCGTGCAAGTGTGATGTGAGCATGTGAGTGCGTGTGTGTGTGCAGTGTGCAATGCAAGAGTGTATGTGTGTGGTGTGAGTGCATGTAAGTGCCTCAATGTGCACGTGTGCAGTGCAAGTGTGTGTGTGGTGCGTGTGTGTGATGTAAATGCATGAGTGTGTGTGCACATGTGTGCAATGCATGTGTGTGTGGTGTGTGAGTGTACGTGTGTGAGTGTAAGTGTATGAGTGCATGTGTGTGTGATGTGTGTGTGCACACTGAAGAGGTGGTACAGGTTCAGTTCCAGACCACTGCAATAAAGTGAGTCACACAAATTTTTTGGTTTTCCAGTGCACATGATATGGTTTGGCTCTGTGTCCTCACCCAAATCTCATCTCAGATTGTAATCCCATAATCCCCATGTGTTGAGGGCAGGACCTGGTGGGAGGTGACTGGATCAGGGGGCGGCTTCCCTCATGCTGTTCTCATGATACTGAATGAGTTCTCACGAGACTGAATGTTTTATAGGAGGCTCTTCCCCCTTCACTCTTCCCTTCTCTCTCCTGCCTCCTTGTGAAGAAGGTGCTGCTTCTCCTTCCCCTTCTGCCAGGACTGTAAGTTTCCTGAGGCCTCCCCTTCACCTTCCACCATGACTGTAAGTTTCCTGAGGCCTCCCAGTCATGTGGAACTGTGAGTCAATTAAACTTCTTTCCTTTATAAATTACCCACTCTTGGGTATTTCTTTATGGCAGTGTGAAAATGGACTAATACAGCACATAAAAGTTGTATTTATACTCTACTGTAGTTGACTAAGTGTGCAATAGCATTATGTCTAAAGAAACAACGTACGTACCTTAACTTAAAAATCCTGTGGGCACCGTGACCTGAGGCCTCCATGGACCGTACATCCGCTGGTCCTCAAGGGGTTTTACTCTCTAATGAAAAGGCAGTTTGGGAAATGAGGCAGGAAGAGGCTGGTGGGGCCTCAGTTCCTGAAGATGGTGAGACCAGAGAATCATCTGGAAGCCGGTGCCAGTGCTGATTGGGGACGGTGGTGTCAGTTTGGGGACACGTCCAGCTCCCCGCAGGGCTCACCTGGCTGGCCTGACCAGCTGGCTCATTCCCTCCCAGCCTCCACTGTCAAACACAGCTTTGCCAGTCAACTGGCCGCAGCCCCAGCTGCTGTCCCAGACAGGGGGACGACCAGCACGTGGGCAAAGGGAGGGGCAGGGATGATTGCTGTCTGGCCACTGGCTGGAGCTGGCAACTAGGGTGACAGGGGAGCTGGGCCTGGCAGGGACTCCTCCCAGGATCCCAGAATGAAGTCACCAGATTGCAAGCTGCCTAGCAGCCAGTCTCGTGTCTCTAAGTCACTGCCGGCTGCCCTTGTTATTTCAACCACTGAGGTCACGTGTGCAGAACCCAGAAATACATGGGACTCAGCTGAGGTCAGGGACACAGTCAATCCCCTTCTCCAGGCCCATTCCAGATGCTGAGCTGACAACTGGCAGCCTCCTCTTGGCCGTCCACGGCCTGAGTGCCAGGGGTAGGACCAGGGAGCACCAGCCCTGAGCAGGTGCCCGGGCTAGTGAGGGCCTGATCCTGGGGCCTCCTGGCCCAGGCAGTCTCCCGGGCTCTGCCCTGCCCACGTCCACAGTGCACCGGACCTCCCAGGGGGCAGGTCTGGTGTGGCCACGCTGAGCGCTTGGCCTCTGTGGGGCTCCAGGCTGGATGCACCGTCAGTAGGCTGTTCCGTGGGTGTTTGCTGGGCACCCCGGGCACTCACTCAGGCCAGGCTTTCGGCGCGTGCCTGCTCTGTGTGCACAGGTCTCGGGTCTCGGGCCCAGGCAGTGGGCAGGGGTGGGCTCCGGGTGCTGCCTCTGTGCCTTGGACTGTGTCCCTCTGTCCACTCACAGACAGGTGGCCAGCAGTCCTCGCTCTGGACCAGATAGCATGTGGCTCACAGCTCCTGCCGGGCACTGACCCCTCACTCGGGGTGCTCTGATACTGGCGACCAGCTGGCTCATACCTTCCCCTTCCCCCTTCTGCCTGTGCCTCCATGAGAGCACCTGGGACTGAGCCCTGGACCCCACTACAGAGAGCGTGACCGACCGAGGCCACCTTCCACAAGCTGCTCCAGTGACTGGATGGGGACAGCGATGGTGAGAAGCGTCCCCATCGCCCTTTACCCTCCCCGCCCTCTGTCCCGAACTGGGGGTCAGACCTGCATCTGTGCTGACACTATCCTGGCGTTCCTCATTCGCTTGGGTTCCTGGAGGAGTCTCTGCTCGAGGCGCCTGCCCACCCCTTGCCTGACTCGGAACTGACCAGAGCTGGGGGGTCAGATGAGGAGGAGAGGATGGAGGAAAGAAAGAGGCGCGGCCAAAAGGAAGGAAGCCTGGGGCTCCATCGGCTCCACCTGGCACACAGGTGGCATCCCCACCACTGAGGAAGGGGGGCCCTCCTCGGGCTGCCCGTTTCTGGTTGAGTGTCTGCGTCTCTTCATCGTGAGAGGCCCTGCCACACCTGGGGGGAGAGGACGCCTGTGGGTGGGTTGGGTGTGCTGGGGGGCAGCTGGTGGGCGGCCTTGGGTGTGGTCTGGGTGGGAGAAGGGTTTGGGCAGGGCCCAGGGACGCCCCCCAGACAGGGACTGAGGGAGCTGGAGTAGCCGTGGTGGCCCTGAAGGGACCGTGGGTGGTGGCGGGGGGTGGGGGTGGGGCGCTGACAAAGCCTGGACCACGTAGGAGCTAAGAGCTTTGGGATTGAGGGACAGTGAAGGCGAAGGCACAGGCCCTGCGGGGAGGGCGGCTGGGAGCTTTGGGGTCCCCCACAGGCCGAGGGACTGTTATAGGCGAAGGCACAGGCCCTGCGGATCAGCTCGGTTCCCAGGAGCATTTTCACCACATTTCGTTACTGTGTCTTTCACCCAATCCACACTCGCCCCGTATGGCCTCGCACTGGGCAGCGGCCCAGGGTAGGGGGGCAAGGGGCCTGGGCTCCACGAGGAATGCCCCTGCAGAGCGGCGTGGGTGGGCCAGGCATGCGTCTAGCCCTGGGCTTGGCCTGAAGCCGATGGAAGGTGGGGAGGGGAGAGGAGGAATGAGGGGGAGGGAGAGGGGAATGGGGAGGGAAAAGAGGGAGGGAGAAGGGGAGAGGTGAGCGGGAGGGATAAGTTAGGGAGAGGGTCTTGCTGGGTGGATGCTGGAGCAAAGCGCCAGCTCTCCCCTGGGGCAGGGTCTCTGGAAGGCAGGGAGGGGTTGGGGGCTGTAGTACACCAGGACCTGGCAGTGGTGTCTCAGGGCTGGGTCTGATGTGTGGCCCTGGAGGCTCAGAGGACAAGGGAACGTGGCCCTCTTGAGGACAGTGAGGGTTGGAGGCTTGCAGCCGGTGTGTCAAGGGTCCCAGCAGTGGGTGGTTCAAGGGGCCCGGGAGGGGTGACAACGCCATCGGCCGACCCTCGGCTGTGCTGAGTCCCCACAGTGCCGGCGGGGTCCTGGCCTCCCTCCTGGGGAGCCACCTGTGATTACTCATTTCCCACCAAGTCTTCAAGGAGGTGGCTGGCTAGCACTGCGCGCCCTTCTGCCAAGCATGGGCCAGGCCTGGGGGCTGCCCTTCTCGGGGTACCCCCGATCTACCATGTCCTTTGGGGTCAGGCCTCTAGGCTGAGTCCAGCTGTGGCCTCGTGAGGACTGTTCTTTGGCCAGATCCAGGGCCCGGCTTTCACAGGTGCAGAGGCCTTGTCGGTTTCCCTTTACTCTGGGGTTCCCCGCTCCCTGTGCCTGCCCGTGCCTGCTGCTGACCGCTGGGCAGAGCCTGTGTGCCATTGCCCTGCTGGAGGCGATGTGGACGCCCCCAGCCTGCGCCACCCCTGCCTAGGGGAAGGCCGAGGGGTGAGGAGGGCTCAGGGGCTGAGGGTGGACTCGGGACAGCCCCACTCAGGCGATGGGTGAGGCCCAGGTGCACCTCATCCATCGCCTGAGGCCCAGGTGCACCGCTGAAATCTGACCACTGGGCCCTTCCGGGACCCTCTCGATGAAGCCCCCCAGGCTCCTAGCCACCCCTCCACTGGAAGCACGTCCCCAGGACAGTGGCGCTGCCCCACCAACCAGTCGCACTCATGGAGTTGCGGCCCCTGGGGGCCTTCGATGCACTGAGGTCATTTTTCACAGGAAAGACGGTGGATTCCAGGTGTGGACCCGAGGCTGGCACTGCCCAGGGAGCAGAAGGAGCCAAGGAAACCGCAGCCTCAGGGAGCTGCCTGGATTGGTGGTGCAGGGGCGCAGGGGCGGGCGGAGCAGGACCGGGCAGCAGACAGCTCAGGAGACGGCCCCGGCACCTTCACTGCCCTGGGACACGGGACCCATCTGTGAGATCGTGATCCCTGGCCCGCTTAGCATTCTTTGAGTTAACCGTGACTTCTGAATTCCGAGAAATGAGGTTGAGAATTCCTGCTAGGATCCAAGAGCTATTTATGTCCATTTGCCTAAGTATCTCCGGAAAGTCACCAGTGAGCCTCGGAAGTGCATCCTGGGCTCCTCGGCATTCGATAACCTCTGAGGGTGGATGCAGGAGGACGCCGCGGGTGTCGGGAGGAAGGTAGGCTGGCGAGACAGGAGTCAGGTGGAGAAGGACAGGGCCACTGTCCTGGGCACCAGCTGTACCCTGCAGACGGCACCACAATGCCCAGCTCCAGACATGAGCTGAGGACGCTTCGTGACTGACAAGATGCTTTGAATGCCATAGCACCGCCGCTCTGGTCCGCTTGCAGTGGGTGCCCAAGGATGGGTCTGCAGGATCACTTGTGCTGTGAAGAGCACCTATGTTCCAGGGCGAGGTCTGTGTCCCAGGACGTCAGGCCACATGTGGCCTCGAGGTACCATCCCTGGACCCAGGCATCAGTGGCGGTGTGTCCCGCTCTGCCCTTGAAGCTCCAGTGCCCTCTGCTCCTGCTCAGGGGAGCTAAGTGTGCGGGCACTGGGCTTGGTGCTGTTCCCAGGGGTGGAGAAGGGGTTGTACCACGTGGCACCTCCTCCCTTCCTCAGCCAGCGCTGCTGTCAGTAGACAACAGGACCGGGCAGGAGACGGAGGTACTCATGGTGTCTAGAGTCAGGGGACCGCCAAAGTGTGAGATGCCAGGTCCTGGTGGCCAGGCCAGGGCTCTGGGTAAGTCCCCGTGCCTGTGGGCCCTTGGTTTCCCCATCTGTAAAGCTCACGGCTGGGCTAGAGGGCCAAGTGGGAGGCCCAGGCCCTTCCTGGCCTGACGTCCGAGGGTCCACAGGGACATGGGGAAGGGGCGGGAGGCTGCTTCACAGATCTCAGAGCTGCTCCCTTCCAGGGTTTTCCCCGCACAAAGCTCCCTCGGCTCCCTCCCACCCACCCCCATCCTTGCCCTCTCCCAGTGAACCCACATTCTTGGAAGTGGCAGGCGCCAGGTCGCTTGCTCGCCTGTGACCTCTGCCCGCCCTTAGGCAGCTCATCCTGAGGACTGGCCTCAGGCACGCATTCCAGATGGAACAGGAGGGAGTGGACACCTCCTACTGGCCATTCCCAGGGCCCCAGTGCCCGAGGGCCCCAGCCCAGTGGGGTCCAAGCCAGGCCCAGTGCGTGGCCACGGGCAGGTCCCAAGCCCAAGGCAGTCTCCAGAGTTTGCCCTGTGGCCTAGAGAGGGTTCCCAGCTGAAGGAGCCCCAGGAAATCACTCATCCATGGGGTGGGGTCAAGCATCCCTCAGCGCCTGGCCAGCACTGGGGAGGCTGCGAGGCAGGTGAAGGCGGGAGCAGGCATCCTCGGCAAGCCGGGCCGTGACACGGAATCTAAGTGCCGCGGTGCCATTGGACTTCCAAACCGAAACACGGCCCACAGACCCCAAATAACTGACACAGCTTACAGACCTCAAATAACTGACGCGGCCCGCAGACCTCAAATAACCGACGCGGCTTACAGACCTCAAATAACCGACGCGGCTTACAGACCTCAAATAACCGACGTGGCCCACAGACCTCAAATAACCGACACAGCTTACAGACCCCAAATAACCGAACCGACACGGCCCGCAGACCCCAAATAACTGACACAGCTTATAGACCCCAAATAACTGACGCGGCCCGCAGACCCCAAATAACTGACACAGCTTATAGACCCCAAATAACTGACGCGGCCCGCAGACCCCAAATAACCGACACAGCCCGCAGACCTCAAATAACCGACACAGCTTACAGACCCCAAATAACCGAACTGACGCGGCCCGCAGACCCCAAATAACCGACGTGGCCCGCAGACCTCCAATAACCAACACAGCTTACAGACCCCAAATAACCGAACCAACACGGCCCGCAGACCCCAAATAACCGACATAGCTTACAGACCCCAAATAACCGACGCGGCCCGCAGACCTCAAATAACCGACGCGGCCCGCAGACCCCAAATAACTGACGTGGCCCGTAGACCCCAAATAACCGACATGGCCCACAGACCCCAAATAACGGACGCGGCCCGTAGACCCCAAATAACCGACGTAGCCCGTAGACTCCAAATAACCGACACGGCCCGCAGACCTCAAATAACCGATGCGGCCCACAGACCTCAAATAACCGACGCGGCCTGCAGACCCCAAATAACCAACACTGCTTACAGACCCCAAATAACCGACGCGGCCCGCAGACCCCAAATAACTGACGTGGCCCGTAGACCCCAAATAACCGACATGGCCCGCAGACCCCAAATAACGGACGCGGCCCGTAGACCCCAAATAACCGACACGGCCCGCAGACCCCAAATAACTGACGCAGCCTGCAGACCCCAGATAACCGATGCGGCCCGCAGACCCCAAATAACTGACACAGCTTGGTGCACTTGATCAGAAAGGGTGGCCGTACTGCAAAATTAAGATGTCATTATTCATGGCTAAATGGGGAATCAGCCCCCGAGCACCTATGAAATCACAAAAGGTCTGCTTGTTTCTGGAGTGTCTTCCTTTTGGCTGGCAAAGGGAGCAGAAAATGTGGAAAGTTCTGTCTACTTAGAGGCCCTTCCTCAAAGTGGGCTGGCCAGCAGGATTAGGAGGGAGATGCCCATGGCAGGCAGGTGGTCTGGAGGCATTAGGAGGGAGGTGTCTGTGGTGGGCAGGTGGTCTGGAGGCATTAGGAGGGAGGTGCCTGTGGTGGGCAGGTGGTCTGGAGGGATTAGGAGGGAGGTGCTCACGGCGGGCAGGTGGTCTGGAGGCATTAGGAGGGAGGTGTCTGTGGTGGGCAGGTGGTCTGGAGGGATTAGGAGGGAGGTGCCCGTGGTGGGCAGGTGGTCTGGTGGGATTAGGAGGGAGGTGCCTGTGGTGGGCAGGTGGTCTGGAGGGATTAGGAGGGAGGTGTCTGTGGCGGGCAGGTTGTCTGGTGGGATTAGGAGGGAGGTGCCCGTGGCGGGCAGGTGGTCTGGTGGGATTAGGAGGGATGGTTCCCGGGGGGGCAGGTTGTCTGGTGGGATTAGGAGGGAGGTGTCCGTGGTGGGCAGGTTGTCTGGTGGGATTAGGAGGGAGGTGTCCGTGGTGGGCAGGTTGTCTGGTGGGATTAGGAGGGAGGTGTCCGTGGTGGGCAGGTTGTCTGGTGGGATTAGGAGGGAGGTGTCTGTGGTGGGCAGGTTGTCTGGTGGGATTAGGAGGGAGGTGTCCGTGGTGGGCAGGTTGTCTGGTGGGATTAGGAGGGAGGTGTCCGTGGTGGGCAGGTTGTCTGGTGGGATTAGGAGGGAGGTGTCCGTGGTGGGCAGGTTGTCTGGTGGGATTAGGAGGGAGGTGCCTGTGGTGGGCAGGTGGTCTGGTGGGATTAGGAGGGATGGTTCCCGGGGGGGCAGGTTGTCTGGTGGGATTAGGAGGGAGGTGCCTGTGGTGGGCAGGTTGTCTGGTGGGATTAGGAGGGAGGTGCCTGTGGTGGGCAGGTTGTCTGGAGGGATTAGGAGGGAGGTGCTCACGGCGGGCAGGTGGTCTGGTGGGATTAGGAGAGGAGGCACCCCTGGCGGGCAGGTGGCCAGCAGGATTAGGAGGGGAGCTGCCCATGGCAGGCAGGTGGCTTGGCAGGATTAGGAGGGCAGGTGTCCCTGGTGGGCAGGTGGCCCAGCCTACCCAGAACCTCCCCAGTTCAGCCACATTTCCACTTAACAGATTCAGAAACAACCCTTCAGTGGGCTGTGCTCACATTGGAGCAGGTGCTTGGGGACCTGGGATCACTGAATTATCCAGCAGCACCTGTGTCCAGGGCCCCATGCAGACATCACTCTGCGGCAAAGGGATTGGGCAGGAAACTAAAGACAAGGAAGGGGAAGAGGCTGAATAGAGGTCAAAACAGAATTCCGGAAAATAAATCTGGATTGTGAGATATGGGTATAGAGGAAGCAGGCTAATTGTTCAGACATGGGCATCAGACCACTGGCTTTTGTTTTGTGTACAAAGGGTCAGCTCAGGGTGCATAATATTTGCCCTTATTCTTTTTCTTCCAGTATTTCTTTATATTTCTTACCGACTCTCTCTCTCTCAGGCTTTCTTTCTTCTCACTCATATAGTTAGAAATGGCAGATCCAAGGAGCTTCTCTCTGAACATTCGACCCTGTGCAGCTCAGTGTTGCTCTGCAGAAGGGCCAGCTCTGGGGCGTGGCAGGTGCCTGGGTCAGTGGCTTTCAGCACATTCCCCACGCACTGCCTGATAAGGCTGCTCTGTGTGCAGGGACGCAGGATGTGGCACTACAGCAGCCTGGGCTGTTTGCATGAACCTTATGACTGACGGCAGCACCTGCCTTCCCGCCAGAGTGTGAGGCTCCGTAGCTGTGGCCAGCGGAGCTGGCAGAGCACACAGGAGTGACCTGTCCCAGCAAGAATGCGGAGCTTGAGCCTGAGCGGCCTCCTGGGCAGAAGTGCGGGGCACACTTTGCTGCATTTTGCTGCTGGAGGAAGGAGCAGGTTCCGTGTGGATCCTCCCCACCTGCCGTCTCCCAGGACAGGAGAACTTTGGAGACGGCACCTGGAGTCTTGGACCCTGCTGGATGTCTTTTCCCTCGTTGGCCCTGTGGTGTATCCTTCTGTGGAGACAAACCACACCCAGGAACGCCGCCGCTGCTGAGTCCTGAGTGTATCTTCCAGCCCCTCCCTGAGTGTATCTTTCTGTGGAGACAAACCACACCCAGGAATGCCACCACTGCTGAGTCCCGAGTCCTTCCAGCCCCGCCCTGAGTGTGCAGAGGCCGTGGGGCCTGACACTGCATGACGGGCAGTGTGCTGCTCACCCAAGCCTCAGAACAAAGTATGAAACTGATTGCTTTCCATCGACACATCCAGCCCAGCTGAGCCTGGAGGCCGATTTCACACATATTTACTACATCCCTGCCGTTTGTCTCTTTCTGGTTTCAACATTTAATCAGGAGGGGCTGGATGCCAAGCCTGGAGAATATGAACCAGGAGGGACCTTCCCGTCATTGTCATCGAGGGGAGGAGAGGTCAGGGGACAGTTGCTCTGCAATAGGAGGTGGGCACCGGGCAGAAGGTCGGGGTCTCACTTAAGAGGAAGCTGAGGTGCAGGGAGGAGGCTGGAATGGAGACGGGAGGTAACCATCCCACTGGAGGGACCGACCCTCAGTGCTCAAAGGGCAGGTGAGGCCAGGAAGGGGCAGACAGGAAGGCTCTGAGCCACAGCTGAGCAGCAATGGGGGGTCTGGGGAGTGGTCGTGGGGGCAAGCAGTCAGGCTTCCAGCTGGGGAGAAAAAGTATCCAGGTGGTGTGGAGGTGGCAGAGCAGGAGGCTGAGAAAGGGACCTGGAGGCCCGCTGGGGTCAGGGCAGTCCACAGAGCAGGAAAGATGAGGTCCAGGGAGCGGGGGCTGGGAGAGGAGGAGGGACAGGAAAGGTGGGGAAGACTCCTGGGCCTGGAGGTGTGGCCTGATCTGGGAAAGGGGGTAGAGAGTTTGGCAAAATGTCTAGCACCCAGACACGAATGCTGGGAGAGCAGTGCTGCTGCTGAGCTGCAAAGACATTGTGGGGGTGGAGCTGGTTCCATGGAGGATATGAGGGGCAGGGGTGGGGCCGGGGCCATGGAGGACATGAGGGGAGGGGTGGAGCTGGGGCCAAGTGGAGCTGGTTCCTTTGTGGGACTGATGGACGGGTGGAGCTGGGGCTAAGTGGAGCTGGGACCGTGGAGGACATGAGGGGACGGGTGGAGCTGGGGCCGAGTGGAGCTGGGACCATGGAGGACATGAGGGGAGGGGTGGAGCTGGGGCCAAGTGGAGCTGGGACCATGGAGGACATGAGGGGAGGGGTGGAGCTGGGGCCGAGTGGAGCTGGGACCATGGAGGATGTGAGGGGAGGGGTGGAGCTGGGGCCACATGCACCCAGTATTGAGCTGTCTTGGGATATCTGAGGGAGGCATCAGGAGGCTGCGGCAAATGTGTGTAGTGGTCAGGACTGGTGGGCAGACTGCAAATGGTGTTTTGTGGACTGGCAACAGAGTCTTGCAACAGAGTCTAGTGTCTAGAATCTTGAGAGTATTGGGAGGTGACAGTGGCCACCATGTTGGTCAAAGGTGAGGGTGCCTGAATCCAAGGAGGCACCACTGTGAGGGGTTGGGTGGCTGAGCCGGTGCCTCTGTGGGCCTGGGGGGTCCTGTGTCCAACACCTCTGTCTCCTCCCTGCCAATCCTCTTCCTCCTTCCCTTCTGGTGTCCCTCCCTGCTTCCTTCTCCACGGAGTCACCCTAGCCCCATTTAGCAGTGCCAAGAGTCCATGGACTCCTCGGTTGAGGCTGCACCTGTCCTTCTCCTAAACTCTCCCCTACAAGGCTGAGGGTGACACTTCTGTTGGCCAAAGGCTCACGCCAGGTTCTGTGTGGTTTCTCACCCACAGGAGGCCCCGAGGCAGAGCTCTGGGGCCAGGGACCAGATTCACACACAACCTACAACCATGCCTGCACTGAAGACACCAGCAGGGCAGCAGGTCCTGCACACTCCCAGGTGTGCTCGGGGAGGTCTGTGTGATGCCTGGTCCAGGCCTAACCTTGAGGCACTCCCTGGCCCCTCGTGCCCACATCCACTCCACTCCTCACATGTGGAGAAAGGGAAGAAGGCTGGGCTGGCCAGGGCAGGCCACACAGCAGGATGTGCAGGGTCACCCACTCCCTCACACCCCTCTGCTGTACCCAAATCACAGAAAAGAAATGAAAAAATGTTTTTCATCATTGTAATGAAGATCTCCTTGCAGAGACAAGCCACCCAAAACCACACTGCATTGATCAAGTGGGGACTCCCTTCATTCAGCTTGACACTAAAAGTTGCAGCACAATTTTAGACAGGGTGGTTTTTTCCCTGACTATCTAGAGATCTGTGAGAATTAAACAGCATATTTTAAAACAACCAATGGGCCAGAGAAGAAATCACAAGGAAAAGCAGAAATGACTATGTGGAGATAAATGAAACAAAAAAACCCACGAGACAGCTCAGGGATGCAGGAAAAGCAGCACTCAGAGGAAAATTCATAGCTGTGAACATCCACATAAGAAAAATGAGCTCAAGTCAACCATCTGATTTTATACCACAAGAAACCTGAAAAGAGAAGAGCAAGCTAAATCCAATGCTAACAGAAGAAAGGAAGTAATAAAGACCAGAGCTGAGACAAATAAAATAGACAACAGAAAAATAAAGACCATCAATGAAACTCAAACTGGCTCTTTAAACAGATCAAGAAAATTGGCAAACCTTTAGCTAGACCGACAAAGAAAAAAAAGAGAGACTCATTTTGTATTGGAAGTTGTAGCCAGCACAATTAGGCAAGAAAAAGAAATAAAGCCCTCCAGACTGGAAGGGAAGAAGTAGAATTATCCTTATGTACAGATGGCGTGATAATTATATATACAGGAAATACTAAAGAATTAACAAAACACCAACTAGAGCCAATAAAGGAACTCAGCAAAGCTGCCGGACACAAGGTTGGCACACAGAAATCGGTTGTGTTTTGTTCACAAACAAATAAGCAATCTGAAAGGAAAGTTAAGAAAAGAACCCCATTTATAATAACATCAAAAGAATAAAATCCCTGGGAAAAAAATTCAACCAAGGAGGTGCAAGATGTGTACACTGGAGACAGCAACGCTTTGCTGGAAGAAATTAAAGAGCTAAATAAAAGGAAAGACGTCCTGTGCTCACGAATTGGAAGACGTGGTGCTGTTGAAACGGTGACGCTTCTTAACGTGGCCTTCAGATGCAATCGTGACTCCAGTGGCGCTCAGAGCGGGCGTGGCCCCAGATAAACACTGCCCAGGAGCCCGCGATGGGCACTCTGAGCCGCGGGGGTGAGACTGTGTGCAGAGACATGACCTTCCGCTTTATCTGTGAGGGTCTTTGGCCTCGATGGCCTTCCCCCAGGAAGCATGCTGCACACTCTGTGTGACGTCCATCCACTCGCCCAGGCCTCACCTCGACAGGATCTGGGATGGGTGTCTGCTGCCGTACCCCCGATGCGGGGAAGCCAGCATCTCATGGCTGGTGCCCTTCCTGGGGGCTCTCCAGTCCCCTGCGCCCTGAGGCCAGGCTGTGCCCATCCTGGGCACCCTCCTTGGCCCAGTGCTGCTGTGCTGGGGACGCCCACAGGGATGCATGTGGGTGGATGGAGATGACCAGATCCTGGCACAGCAGGGGCTGAAGAGAGCAGAGGGACCCATCCTGGTGGGGTTGCTGGGCAGGGTCCCAGGCAGGACCACAGCTTGGGCCTGGAAAAGGGTCTCTAAGGGTTCCCAGGAGCTGGAGCCTGCGTGTGACTCATTCGGTCAGCAGGGGCCTCACCGGATGCTGCTGGAATTTGGAGAAAACGCTGTGTGAATGGAGGGGAGTGATGGGCCTGGGACTGAAGCAGGGAAGCTCCAGCCAGCAGGGGCTCCGGCGCCCCCCAGATCCAAAGCGCCCCCCTCAGGCTCCAGTCCTACCGCTCTTGCCCTGGTGTGGGCTCCAGGCCACACACCCATCAGGGCGGGGATCCCCATCAGGCCACTGCCCCTCCACAGACCCAGGGCGGTTCTGAGGGCCTGGCTGTGCAGTGCCTCCTAACCGGGGTGGGAGAGGGTGCCCCCAAATCTCTCCACACAGGCCCACATGCATGGGGGGCTCATGCTGGGACTAAGGGGAGATGAGACCAGGTGAATCCCCATCTAGAAAGTGGCAGAATCCGGTGCAGAGTCCAGGCTTGGGTTGTCCTAGTAACAAGGGCCACACTCCTGCTTGAGGGGAGAGGTGGATGGCGGCTGTGACCTTGGCCCCTGCAGCTGGAACGTTCGGGCCGCAGAGGCTGCTGGCTTCTCGCTGCTGGGCCTCCCTGGACTGGCCCCTCTGTTCCTTGACCTTGCCCTGACCAGAGGGCAGGTTCCTGCCCACGGAGTCCAATCCCTGCAGAGTTGGGGGTCTTGGGGGGTGTCCGCCCCCTCTGCTGACCAGGCTGTCTTGTGGAGAGGGGAGGTCCCCAGCCGAGGTGGGGCATCCCCCCTGCTCACACAGAAAGGGGCTCAGGCGTGTGAAATGCTCACGGACACCAGCGCAGCAACATTTTACATGGCTGTATCTTCCCTGGACTCTGAAGGTTTGGTTTCCAGGAAGCAGAGCAGAGGTGGCCGTTGCATGTGGGCCAACCCCAGCTGTGGGCCTTCAGGATGGCGAGGGCTTTCTCAAAACGTCGGCTGCTCAGGAGCGTCCTGAGTTCACGCAGCTGCTTCTCGGGGACAGCCGTTTTCTTGTTATTTCTTGTTAAACACTTGCAGAGCTGGGCCGGGGACGGGGGCTTACACACGGCTCCTTCATGCACGGCGGCTGAGACTCGGCCACTGCCCATGTGAGTGGGAGCTGGCTGCGCTGCCCTGTCCCGGCGGAGGGTCCGGCAGGAAGTGGTGTGGGCATTCTTTTCAGAGGGCAGGATGGGAACGGCCAGAGAGGGTGTGGGCGACGTGCTGCCTGGAGAGGCGTCTGTGCCCTTCCCTCCCAGACCGCAAGATTCTTGGAACTCAGGAACTAAATTTCTGCTGGCGTGGATAACGTGTGGGCCATGTAGAGTTCTGGGAATGGGGCTGGGGATGCAGGGCCGCTGGGAGGGGCTTCTCTGATGAGGAGGTTTCCTGGTGGAGGAGGGGGAGGTGAGCGGAGGCTCTGGACCAGGGCCTGGAGGGCAGACCGTGAGCACCTTCGGGGTGTGGGGAGAAAGGCCCCGCTCCAGCCTGCTGGCCTCCCTGAGGAGGTGCAGCCCAGTCTCCCAGCACAGTCCCCCAGCAGCCCCAGGCCCAGCCACGGAGAGGGCAGGCCCTCGGCAAAGCCCAAGCTAACACCGCCCACCACTCCTGAGTCTGCACCTGCCTCAGGGGTGCACAGGCTGAGCCCTGGCCAGACACCGGGGGGGCGGCTGGGGAGGCGGAGCGACGAGGCAGGCCAGGAACCAAGGAACACAGCTGGAACACGGCACTGTGTGGACACCCCCTGCCACAATGTCAAGACCTTTCTTACACAGGAAGGGGGCCCAGAGGGCAGGGGGTGGAGGATGGGGGTCTCCAGGCAGCCCCAGGAGGAAGCAGTCGCCTCGGCACCATGGCCGCAAGCAGGGCCTTGCCGTCGCTGGGTCCGCCGGTCAGTGCCGAGCCCCGGGCCCGCTGGCCCCCCAGCACCTGGACAGACGCACGGCTCTGCGGCGCGCATTGGCAGACACCGGATGGAAGAGCGCCGGGGTGTTCCACGGCTGCCAGCCTGGTCTTCAAAACCAGGCAGCTCTTCCATCAATTACAGATGAGGAAACGCATTTTGAGAGTGATTTATACACCCAGGGGACCTGGGGCCTCCCTGGCAGGAGAGGCAAGATAATGAAACCCTACCTCCCCAGCCCCCATCAGCGGCAGAAGCACCACCCAGCCCTGGTTGCTAAGTGGCAACGTGTCTGCGTGGATCTGAAAATCAAACAGTGTCAGAAAATGCTCCGGGTGCAAATGAGTGCTGTTTGCTGGAACAATACAGGACGTGGCTGTATCTGCCTTGAAATGAATTCTTCAGACCGTTTTGGACGGGACAGTGCCGGACAGCCCTTCCGAGGAAGCAGGTGTCCGTGCGCCAGCACCGGGTCACGTCTCCCATGCAACCGGATGAATGTCCTCCAAGACCCCCTGGGACCGCTGGCCACAGAGCAGCCTCTGGCGGGGGTGCCTCACACAGGGTGCTACTCTGGGCAGGCATTCAGGGAGCCCCAGGGAACCCCAGAGGATGGGCCAGGTAGGCACCCAAGGCCTCGAGGCCACGCTCCGAGCCTGGCTTTCGCCAACTGTGTCTGGGATTCAGTCTCAGTTCAGAAAAGGAAACACCAAAGGCGCTGGAGCTCCCTGGCGAGCTCCGGCCTGGTCACGGCCGCGGCCAGACCCCCGTCTAAAGCAGCTGTCCCAGCTCCCTGACCCGGCTTTTTCCTGCTGGTGCAGAGGAGCTCCTGCCACCTCCCAGACGTGGACGTCTGGGTTCCCCTGGCTCTGGACTGAGGGAGAGAGGGAGGGAGGTCTGTGCCATCATGGGCTGTGTCCGCCCCCCTAGGCAGGCCCATGGTTCCCACAAAGGCCACGGTGCATTCCCAGCCTGAGGATGGATGGGGACCAACAGCTGGTGCAGGCCGCCGGGGCGGCGGGGGAGGGCGAGTGTCCCATCCCAGCAACCGGGCCTCACACAGCAGAGACACTGGGGGACCACACCTGCCTCCTGGCCTGAAGGGCCCAGGCCAGGGCCACCTTGAAATGAGTGCCTGAGTGTGTGAGGTTTTCCACCCGCTGACAGTCAGCTGCCTGATGTTACGGAGACCATGAAGCCGAAGCCAAAACCACCAGAGCCCGTTTCCCCAGTGTGGCTGCCCTGCGGGGCATAGAGGGTCTCACGCCAGCAACTCGGTAGCACAGGAGGCTTGTCCAGCCCCCAACACACGCCAGCCCCAGACCAGCCCCAGAGCAGCCGGGCTCCAGCTGCAGATGTGGAGGGCAGGGCACCGCCTGCCTCAGACTCCACCCGGGACCCTCCACCCTCAGGGCCCCCTCTGCCCCACCCCCAGTGACCGGCGCCCCTCCCCTCCGGCGCCCCTCCCCTCCAGCACACCACCCTACCCTCAGATCCGTCGCCCGCTCTCCACCCTCCCTGGGAACACTGACCCTCCCCCATGGACCGGATCATCCTCAGGCCCCTGGTGGCCTGGTGAGAAGGTTTGCCAAGACCCAGAAGGTGCATGCAGCGTCCAGGGCCCAGGTGGCGGGGCCTCGCGCCCATGTGCACTCAGTACCTGAGCAGGGGCTGCCTGGGGTACGGTGGCTGGTCTGTGTCCAGGCACAGAGGGGCCTTCTTGGTCACCTGCTTGTAGATGTTCCTGGCGGTCACTCCTATCCACAGCATGGTGGACAGTGTAGAATAGTGCAGCACGATGCCCACCTGTGGGGGAGCAGCGGTCAGCCAGGCCCTTGGCGGGCACCCACCCCCCAGAGCCCAGCAGCCTCGGCCCGGGCTTGCAACTTCAAGAATGAGAACGGCAGGCGGCCAGCAGCGTCTGTATCCCAGGGCAGGCAGCGGCCGCCCCACAGCCGCCCAGAACTCACAGGGAGACGCTGAGCTGCAGAGACCCTTGAGCGGCTCAGCTTTCCTCCCCTTCTGCACAGAGACGGGAGCAGGGAGTCTGTGGGGACCCATGGGCCTGTGCACTCACGCCCCTCTGCATGCACAACCCGCTGTGGTCCCTGTGGCCCAGGCACGGACACTGTGAGCTGCAGACCAACGTCCCCTGAGCTCAGACCTGGATAGGTGTCCACCAAGGGAGAGGAGGTGAAGTCCTCAGTGGGGTCACGCCAGGATGCTCTTACTGTGGGTAGGATGAGCCCCCCACGGGGACGGCATTCGTGTGGCCCTGCAGGTCGCCGTTCCTCATTCACCAGGATGCTCTTACTGTGGGTGGGATGAGCCCCCCACGGGGCCGGCATTCGTGTGGCCCTGCAGGTCGCCGTTCCTCATTGCTATGGAAACTTCCTGCGTTTGCTTATTACGAGGGCCACACTGCTACCTTTGGAGTAATAACCTGACATTTTGAAATGACAGGTAAAATACTGCTATAATTGGAAAGGACATAAATGTTTAAGGAATACAGAGATTCGCCGCATAAAGCTAACGTCGCACCATTATGATGATTTATCAGATCCAGAGCTCAATTTTCACTGATGAGGAGGCTCTGCAGTAATTGATGAGAATATTGTGGGGTGGGCTGGAAAGATCGGAGGGCTGCGTTTGCAGTTTCAGGTGAGATCCCTGTGCGCCGCTGGGGGCAGGAGACACAGCAGCCCCCGGGGGGCTCCACCCTTTCCCCCGGCCTGGCCACTGAGTGTGGGGTCGTGTCCCATCCCAGTGCCTAGGCCTCATGCAGCCTGGTGGAGACAGGGAGGCCTGGAAACCATGGGGCACCGTGTCGAGGAGTAGGGCAGAGGCAGCCCCCACAGCCCGGCCTCGGGTTCTTTCTTTTCAGGAAGCAGCCGTGGGGCTGTCAGTGTCACTGCCCGGGGCGCTGAGGAGGGTGGCAGAGCTGAGCCTCACCCGTGCCATGTGCATTTGGGGGTCACAAGAAGGTGTACGTGGCAGAGCTCTGAGTCCTGGACACCGACTTCAGGCTGGACAGATGGAGAGGCTGCAGGGAAGCCACCAGCGTCCCACGGTGCTGCACGGCTGCCCCACCCCGCCGGACCCAGGGCCAGCGCCTGTCTCTGTTGAATGTGTCACTTAGCATGCGAATGGGGCTCACGGCCATCTCTTTGTTGCCATAGCAACAGTCCGTCCTCTCCAGCCATCCAGAGCCTGGGACCAGGTTTCACTCAGTGCTGAGCTGTGGCCCCGGTGGGCGGGGCAGGCGGGCAGGAAGGTGGGTGTGACAAGGGCGGGGCAGGCGGGAAGGCGGATCAGCCACCACTGGCCCATATGCAGGCAGGTTGGGCTCCAAGTCTAGTTTTTACTAGACCCTCAGGTCTCCTTCCTCCAGCCGGTAGTGGCTGAATTCTCCTCCTTACCCGGAGGCGGGAATGCGGAACTGGCCTGGCCTCAGCGTTAGATCAATGAGAGGGCTTCTGTTCGCCTCGCAGAGCACGGGGAGCAGACAGTTCATCGGGGAGCTCGGAGAACGTCGCCTTGTGGGCTCCCCGAGTGGCTCTGGAGCTGCAGCCACTGCGGCCCCTGCCTCCGCTTCCCGAGCCTGGCGTCACGCGTCCGGCAGGCACCTCCCACCACCTGCCGTGGGAAAATGCTCCCACGGTTCATTTTCCACACTTGCGTCCTGTTCTGGAACGCGGCTTCACAGTGAGACCATGTGGGTTTGTCTCTGGCAGTGCCCTAGTGCCCACAGCATGGCCTGGCACCTTGCAGGCCCTCAGCACATTTGCTGAGTGAGCGAGTGAGTGGATCGTGCTCCCTGGGAGATCAGGACAGCATCTGGAGATAGGCCACAATCTTTTCTGCTCATTTCCTCCTGATGGCTGTTGCCTTAACAAGATCTCCTCCAAGATTGCAACCCTCTGGAACCTTCCAGACCTGCCTGCTGCAGCCCCAACACCCCAGCATCCGCCCCGAGCTGTCACCGCAGGCCTGGGCCCCAGGAGCTCCGTCCAGGCAAGCAGTGGCAGGTGTTCCCGAAGGCGCGGGCGGGGTTTGCTGAAGGCCCTCGGGGGGCCTCACCCGCGGATCCAGCAGGCTTCATCCCAGTGTGGGGCGTACTTGGTGGCAAAGTGCAGACGTGATGGTGACGGCCTCTCGCAGGCACTTACAGGCGGGACGTCAATGGCGTTTCCCGGGCACTTGCTGTGGTTGTTTCCAGCTTACCAGAGGAATGATTAAGGAGGCAGGAGGTACGTCTGACCTTAGCCACCTTCAGGTGCGTGCCAGCGACTCCTCCGCCGGGGCCATGCTGGGCCCAGGCCCAGGCCCAGGCCGGGGGCACGGCCTCCTGGCAGTCTGGCATGAAGTGTGGTCACACAGACATGACGTCTCCTCTGCGTGCCGGACGCCAGGGCCCTGTGTTTGTGTGAGCGCCTGCCCGGCCCGTCCCAGCCTGGCACACGGAAGTGTAGTGCTGGGAAGGAAGGAAGCCCGTGGCCGTGGCAGGCAGGTGTGGGAGCCTGTGGGGGAGTCTGGGGGGTTCTGTGCACTCAGCTCAGATTCTCCCCAGACACCCCTGCATGAGTCTCCACCACTGCTGTCTGCAGGTGCATGTCAGTGCCAGGTACTATGGGAGGGTTCCAGAAACTGCAGGGTGGACCCCTGGCAAGTTGCCCTGCAGTCCGTGGCAGCCCCCTGGCTGTGTCTGGGCCCTGGAGGTGACTGTACTGGGCTGTGTGGCTGCTGAAGTGGGGTGGCCACTGGGACTGGGCTGGGTGTGCGGGGAGGAGCCGCCCCGGAGCTGTGGCTACAGAGGCTCCGGGCAGGTCCTCTTGTTGGCCATGAGCCACAGCCCAAAGTGGAGGAGGACAGGGCTTAGTTTTGATGTAAGGGTCTCCACCATGAGCTCTGCCAGGAACTGAGTGTGATGTATACGTCCCCCCTTTTAAACCAAGGTCAGGCTGGGCCCCCGGATGTGAGGAGCCCTTCTGTGTGTCGTTCTTTTCAATGCTCGGTGCTCTCCAGCTCTCCCTGCAGTGGGGGAGGAGGGTTCCCCGAGTGACATTTCTGTTTGGCTTCCGGGGGTTGGGGGGTCTGTGCAAAGGACGAGCTTGCCCTCCTGGTGACTCAGGCGGCAGCATCTGCAGGTTCCTCCCTGGACCGGAGTGTGTGCCCCTCCTCGAGCTGCCCCCACCACTCTCTCCGGGAGGGGTGGGCTGTGTCTCCCCACCACTTTCTCTGGGAGGGGCGGGCTGTGTCCCCCCAGCACTTTCTCCTGGAGGGGTGGTCTGTGTCCCCCCAGCACTTTCTCCGGGAGGGGCGGGCTGTGTCCCCCCAGCACTTTCTCCGGGAGGGGCGGGCTGTGTCCCCCCAGCACTTTCTCCTGGAGGGGTGGGCTGTGTCCCCCCAACACTTTCTCCGGGAGGGGCGGGCTGTGTCCCCCCAGCACTTTCTCCGGGAGGGGCAGGCTGTGTCCCTGTTCCCGGGCAGTGCACCTTTTGGGGACAGTAAGTGTCAGGTTAGCGCCGGCCTGGAGGGGGCGGTGCAGTGGAATCAACCCTGGGGTCAAACGTGGAGCATGTGGACTTGCATGGCGTGAAGCCGAGACACCGATGTGCCAGGGTCCGACCCTCTTCCCGGGAAATAGCTGAGCAAACGCTGGAATATTATTTAGTAAACAAGACGACGCTCACGCAGTTCCCCTCTGGGAGGAGCCAACGAGGGCGCCCCGGCACTCACCGCCTGGCACAGGATGGGGTACTTGGTGCGATTGATGCCGCCGGCGAACACAGTGAAGGTCAGGGCCGCGTGGAAGCAGAAATTCAGGAGCGTGTGCCGGCCCTTGCGGCTGATGCGGATGGCGCTGTGGGACGGGAAAGGAGGGTTTCACATGAGCAGAGGCTCTGCAGGGGGAGGCGTGGAAGGGAGCCCCCTGGGGCGCAGGCTCTGTCCCCGGGAAGTCCGGGCTCTCCGTGGGGTCAGGGGCAGCTGTCCGAGGACCCGGTCAGGGGAGAGCAGATGGGTCGTCCGAGTCTGCCCTGAGTGACGGCCACTGGAAAGTTCTGCCTTACGTCACCCTGGCACACTGACGCTGGAAGGGGTTTGCAGAAGCCTGAACAACCTAATCCCTTGGCGGATGAAGACACCGAGGCCCTGAGACTCCAGGACTTGGCCACACACTGTCTCAGAGATAGAGGCCGCACCCCCTGGGTCCCAGCATGGGGTGTCCCTCTGAGCAGGTGTCTGGCACATCAGGAAGAGACCGTGATTAGACTGGCTCAGCGTGACCCCGGCTATAGCCTGGGGCTGAGCCGGCCATGCCCTCCTGTGGCTGTGACCCTTTCCATGACCACCACCATGTCTGGGGCCCGACCCGCCCAGGCTGTGGCCAGCACAGGTATGGCTGCATGGTGGCCACTGTGACTCTGGCCATGGCCTCGCCTCATCCTCTCCCCATAATCACAGCCACTCTGGTCTAAATGTATTTTATCTGCCTCCCCCCGAGTTGGTAGGACGGCACTAACCACCAAGCTGATGATATTTGGAAGCGGGGGCCTCTGGGCAGAGCTGTGGTGATGGGATCAGGGACCTTGAGAAAGAGGCCCCCAGAGTGCCTCACCCTCCACATGCAGGGACACAGGCAGGGACACAGGCAGTGGGTGCCGTCTGTGAGCCTGGAGCTGGCCCTCTCCAGACGCACCAGACACAGCGTCATGGGTGCCTTGATCTGGGACCTCGGCCTCCAGAACTGAGAAGTCAGTTTCTCCTGTCGATAAACCATCGAGGCCCCCGTGTTCTGCTGCAGCAGCCCAAACAGACCAAGATGACAGTTTCGGAACCGCCCAAGCCTCTTCCTGTGATCACAGCCTCGTGTGTGCCCGAGTCTCTGATGAGACTGTGGCCCTGGGCGCCTCTAAGCTCTGTCCGTGACCGAGGCGACCTTGGCCTCAGACATAGCCGAACCCCCGCCCATGACTGGCTGTGGGCATGCCCACCCTGACTGCGGCTGGACACCCTCATGTTCTTGGTGCCTCTCCCAGGCTCTGCAGGCCATAGTGACTGCCCGGGGGAACTGAGCTCCTCAGGGTGCCTGGACGGACACCACACCTATTTCTGGAAGAACTTATTTTGCCCAGTTAAGGACACGGGGGATGCCGTGGAGAAGACCCTGACGGAGGCCTGAGTGGACAGGCGCGGCTTCCCTGAGCTCCATCCACCCTTCGGCTGTGTGATGGGCACCAGGCTGCTGAGCGGGTCTGAGCTAGCTGGTGACCTGAGTTGTACCTTCAAGGACTTCTTGCTACATGAGGGGGCAGTGGCATTGCCCTTCAGGGACTTGCCTTTGAAGGTAAAAGCAGGTTTCTTGGGCACAGGGGGCGCCCTTGCCCATGCCAGGCTCACCTCTGGTGCACGATGTAGGTGACGAAGGAGGCCAGGAGGCAGAGCAGCATGACGGCCGTGCACGCGTACACCACGGGGTGCAGGAACTCCCCTGGGTAGCGGGGCAGGGAGAGCACTGTCTTCAGATCCTGAGGATAAAGCAAAGGAGACGTGTGTGACTGGCTGGTGGGTCTGTGTGGGCGGCGCCGTCGCCTGAGCCTACCCTTGGGGCTCGGCTTCCCCTGCAGCCGCTCCAGGCATTTTCGTGTGGGGTCTCAGGGAAGGGGGGCTGCCTGGGGAGGTACGGTCAGGCTGCGTCTGTGGATGCTCAGGGAGTGCACGGGAGGGGCCCCACGTGGCCACGGAGTGCTGTCTGTCCTCGCCCTCCACTGGCTCTGCTGGCCAAAGGCATCCTTGTGTGGCTCTGAGGCTGGCTCCTGGGGCCATGTATCGGCCGACTGATGCCTGCCTCCAGCCTCCTCTCTTCCCGTGGCCTGCGGGTGGCCAGGTGGGATCTGGATGGGCCTTACAGAGAGGCAGGGAAACCATGGGATGGCCCCAGCCCTGCACTGGGAGCCCCACACTCATCGAAACCCTGCTTGTCAACATCTTCCGGGAGGATTCTGTACGAGCTTCTGCGAGAGGTGGAGAAAGAGTGGAGACTGTTCGGCACCAACAGACCTGGACCGGAGGCCGCAAACTCCACCTGCTTCTCGGCCCAAGAAAAGGGTTCAGGGTCAGAGTTCAAAGGGGAATGTGTGTTCTCTGTGGCAGAGTAGACTGGGGGAAAATCGACCCAGCTGGAAAGGCTTGGAGCTGATGGAGCTTCATCTTTTCTTCATCAGGTGAGTGAGGTGAGCTCACCGGGGAAGCACAGAGGGGTGCACAGGCTGGGGAGGGGGCTTCAGGGGCATCAGCCCAGAAACATGCGTGCACAGGCCCAGGAGGGGGCCTCGGGGCACCAGCCTGCACTCAGCTCTGTCTCAGGCTTCCAGCCTCCAGACTGTGGGAAACATGTCTGTGCTTCAGGGCCCCACTGTGTAGGGTTTAGTTATGAACCTCAGGCAGGCGAGCAGGGTGGGTGCCATGTTCCGGTAAGAACCCTGTGGGTGGGTGCCAGCAGGGGTGAGGGCTGCAGCCGCCTGGCCCCTCCCCAGCCCCCTGGTGATCGCTGCACCTGTGCCAGGCTCCAGCCACTCTGACCACGCCATGGATGCTGCCCTGGGCATCGGGGCAGGAGGAGGCAGCCGGCCGGGCCTCTGGGATGGCTCCGGCTGAGTGAGGCGGGAAGTGGAGAGGGACCCTCCTGTGCAGGAAGGGCCATGGGCAGAGGCAGTGTCACCTGTGTCGGGATGCAGGCAGCCAGCGGGCCCGAGAGCTCCTGCTTCCCTCCTGAGGCCACACTTCTTGTCCGTCCAGCCAAGACGAGGCCCTGGCTGGCTAGAGAGTGTCCACCGTGGACAGAGGGTGCTCTGGGGAGCCAAGGGACTGGCTGACAGTCAAAGCCCGAAATAGGGCCCCTGCCCCAGGGTTCGAACAGCACTGGCCAGGCGGGCACCGGAGGGGCCCTGCATCCCGGGACGAGGAGCCTGGACCTGTGCGAGGGCGAAGGCACCTGGGAGAGGAGCGGGCGTCGCTGTGGGGCCGCAGAGCTGGAGTGACAGCAGACACTTTGCTTTCCGGGGAGTGTTTAGAATCTGCCCATTTCTTCCTGGACACCAGGACCCCACAGAGAGACAGCGCCCTGTGGTTCAGGCTTGGCTCTGAGGCCCACCCTGGACAGAGGCCCCTGAGGGTTTTCGGGGGAGTCAGGGCCCAGGAGAGCCCCACCCTCACTCTGCCCCTCTGTAAAGAGGTGAGCTGGGTGGGCCTCTGTCCAGATTCTCCTGAGTGCCCCAGAGCCCGAAGCGTCAGTTGCCTCCTGCAACAGTCGTGGGGTGAGTGTCCGGTCCGAGCTCCAGCTGGGGCTCCTGCTTCCCCCAGAGATCAGCCCAGGGACAGCCCGGCCAACTGTGGACATTCGCACGTCCCTCCTTGGTGTTCTGGCTACTGGAGTGCTTGCCATCAGGAGACGATGCATGGGGGCTCTGGCGTGGCTCGGGCGGTGCCAGGCTGGTTGTCCCACGTTTGCTGGTTTAGTAGGCGCCCACTTCCTGCCACGTGCAAACAGCTCCAAAGTCACAGAAAAGCATGTTTTCCCGGCCAAATCCCGACATCAGGTTATCCAGTGAGTTATCTGCTGCTGGGAGGTGGAGAATGCCCCATGTGGGTAGAAGAACTGAAGTTTTAACAGGGCGTGAGCGACGCCCCAGATTCTTGTCCCCAGGATTCTTCCACGAGAGTCAATGGCTTTTCCTCCAAGACATTGACCCAGGGTCTAAAATAAACCTGAACGCTCTACACAGTTCCGACGAGCCATTGTTGCAAACCCAGATCCGCGAGAGAAGCCAAGAGAGTGGGGTCCACTCTGTGTCCAGCCCTCTCCGAGTCTATCGGAGCATTTCCTCAGTGAGTCGCCTGGAACAAGGACTTCGTTCTCATCTGTTGTGTTGAAGAGCCTGGGGTGGTCTGCCCCGGGCCCTCACGCGTCCTCTCACGGCCTCCCTGGGGCTGCTGTGGCCGCCGCGCCTTCCTGCAGGACTCAGACTCCTGCTCAGCTACGGGGGCGAGGGGCGGTGCCACTGTGGGCGGAGGCGCAGATGGCAGCCAGGAAAGTGTGTGCCCTGATGTCTGGTGCCTGCGAGCCGCGTCCTGTCCCGCTGCCTCCATCCTCAGGGCCAGAAGGAGACTTAGCCTCCCGTTTGTGGCTTTTAGTCACAAACACAAACCCCTTCATGTTAAGCCCAATCAGAGCTGCTTTTCATGCAAGAGGCAAACGTCTCAGGGCGCGAGTGCAAGGTGCAGGCTGCGCTGGGAGGAGGCCGCCCAAGCTCCAGTGACAGCGAGGGCCACGCCGCCTTGTGTGGGGCTTCTCGTCTGAAGGCCAAGCTGTGAGGTTTCACACGGACTGAGGCGGCAAGGGCAGGCGTGGACGCCTGGAGCTGCCGCGTGAGCTGGAGGCCTGGGCCATGGTCCTCACCTGTGCAATGATCCGTGTGTCAACAAGATGTTTTATAAGAAACAGATGTGTGATTTGGTTTGGTTTCTTTTCTTTTTCTTGTCTCCAAATTACAGTTATCAACAGTGCCTGTCTACATTTTCAGAGGTGACATTTAAAACTCAAAGTGGGTCATGTGCAGTGGAGACGTGTGTTGTCTTTTAAAGTTTGCACATGCACCGATTCTTCTTTGCAAGTGTTCCCCAGGCCTGCTGGTCTGATCTGTGGCTGAACAGAGCCTGGCTGACAGGGGTGAGCCAGCAAGTCAGAAGCAGAGTTCCTGGACCCTCGGCTCGCAATGCAGCCAGGCTCCTGGGGGGTGAAGAACACGGTTCCGAGGACCCAAGGGGGCTGGGAAGGGGCGGATGAAGGTGGCCCCGACCTTCTTGGCCCAGATGAAATGGCCGGAATGCCAGCTTGGTTCTGTGCCCGCAGGATGGCCCAGGTTGCTCTAGAAGGCACCCAGAGATGTCTCTGCTTCCCTGGGGAAGGCGGGCATCCATCTCCCATCTGCCGGCCTCGGAGCCAACAGTCCCGCCAGCGTGTGAGCCCGGCGTGCGTGGGACTCGTGCTCTGGCTTATTTGTGTCTCCTCTTTCTTTAGTCATAACTTCCTCCTCTGTTTTCCCTCATTTTAATTGGAGGTCTCCTCTTTGGTGTGTTCTGCAAATCAAGTGGGTCAGGGTGTTAAAGACAAAAACAAAGGAGGAAAGATGAGAAGGAAGCAGTCGGTCAAGTTATGTGTGAATTTTCTGATCAAAACTTAACCTTTCTGCAGCAGTGAGAGGTGGGAAAGTGACCTCTTCAAACCTGGGGAATGCCAGCTGCCTGAAGGAATCTTCCTCCCTGCGGGTGAGGTGTCCGGGGCCAGGTCTGCAGCTCCGACTGGCTGAGGAACCTTCTTTCCTGCACAGTGAGGTGTCCGGGGCTAGGTCTGCAGCTCCAACTGGCTGAGGAACCTTCTTTCCTACACAGTGAGGTGTCCGGGGCCAGGTCTGCAGCTCCGACTGGCTGAGGAACCTTCTTTCCTGCACGGTGAGGTGTCCGGGGCCAGGTCTGCAGCTCCAACTGGCTGAGGAAGGAACACATATCCTCCCAGGTGCTTCCAGTCCTCCTTCTCCTTCTTCCAGGTTCAGGCTCCCTTCATTTCCTTCCTTCCTTCCTTCCTTCCTTCCTTCCTTCCTTCCCTCCCTCCCTCTCTTCCTTCCTTCCCTCCCTTCCCTCCCTCTCTTCCTTCCTTCCTTCCTTCCTTCCTTCCTTCCTTCCTTCCTTCCTCCCTCCCTATTTCTCCTTCTTCATTCAGGTGCTTCTTCCTGGTTCTTCCTGTTTCTCTTTCTTGTTTTTTCTGGTTCTCCCTGTTTTACTTCCTGGTTCTGTGCCAATGAACACTGATTTCCTGAGAGCCTGATGTATTCCCTTGTCTGCCTTTTAAATAATAATTGCATCTACTGATCTGTCAACTTTTCATGGATGTGTTCCAGGGGAAAGGTGGAAGGTAGAGGAGAAGAATTTATTCCTCCAGAACACAGATGACCCATAGTCGGCATTACGTTTGTAAGGTGCGTTATGATTTTCTTCTTGGAGGAGTAGATGGGCTAGTGAAGTTTTGAAGAGATTTGGGAAAAAAGTGTTAAAATATCATAGACGCTTTCTTTCTAGACTGGTAGTTACTTGCTTAAAGTTCTTAATTTTCGGGAAGATGTGAGGTGGGATGACAAACTCTCCATCTGTGAGATGAAGGAAGTAGACTGTAGCCATTTTTAGTAATTTAGATATTAGACTAAAAAACAACTAGCTGAAAAGAACTCAGTATAGCTCTGAAATGTTCGTACGCGCGACCGACCATCCTTACGCCCTGTGAGAGGCCCTGCGTCCCGGGCCCCTCCCACCTCCTGAATGCCCATTCCTGGCAGAGGCCAAGGGGTAAAATTTGAGCAGAGATAAACCCACCTCATGTGGGCTCACGTACTTCCTAACAACTCAGAGCTCCGAGTCTCCCACAACCTGCCTTTGGGCCAGGACCCGATCCTGGTTCTCTTCAGGGCGGACTTCACATGGGTCCGGCCTCGGGGAGCAGCTGCAGGCTCCTCCTCACTCTCGGCCTCCGAGACTCCCCTTCCTGGGGGCACCGCCAGGAGGCTGGCCTTGACCTTGGGCCTGTCACCCTCCGGTTGGAGGTCTTCACCCTTTGGCTACCCGCCTCGTCTCCTTGGAGGTTTCGAAGGCACTCTGTCCTTTCAGAAGCTGGGGAAGGAAGTGTTAGACCCAAGGAGCTCCCTACACACACCAGGTCTCTGGGGTCCCCCAGCCCAAGCTTGTCCTCGCACTCAATCCCGGCATTGAGAACATGCAGGGTGCAGCAAACAGCGCCTCTGATGACCAAGAGTCAGCCCTGAATTGAGAGCTGGAAGGGGCTCGGTTGAGTCCCCTTTGAGAGCCTCCACCCTACTCACAGAAAGCTGGCAGCTCACAGATGACCACATAGAAACACAGATGCTAACCAGGCAATGGTGCCATCGGCACAGGGCCTGAACCCTGAAGGGACGATGAGCTCATGCTCCCAGCTGCACCTAAATATTGCAATTGTGGAATGAAAGTAGCCACAGAGGGCCAGACGACATCTTCACACCACACCATATCCCACAGCAACCACACTGCACCAGCCACACCGCCCATCCCACGGCAACCACACTGCACCAGCCACACCGCCCATCCCACGGCAACCACACTGCACCAGCCACACCATCCAACCCTGCAGGTGTTTCCCCATAGGTGCCACACCCAGCGCAGCCCCAGGCCTCCCAGTTGGCAGGATCTGTGGCTTTTCAGCCTCAAATTCAGGCCCTCGAGAACAACTGTTCTCTGAGTTAAGTGTGAGGACTGCAAGTTACAGGGTGCGAAGTGACACCTATTTCATTTCGGAGCCTGCTGGAACGTAAGTCCTGATAGCACCCCTTGCGGAGACAGGCAAGTTCACATTTGCTTTTGCTCGTTAACAGTGGTGACGGAGACACAGCTTGCAGAAGGAGGTGCCCCAGCTTTAACCACTGGACAGGTGGCCTGCAGGTCCTCCAGAGGGGAGCAAACTGTCCATCCTGTAGAGCACCATGGGCCGACAAACCAGCCTTTTGAGAGGACGGCCTGGCCCAGCCAAGCTGCTGGACAGCAGCTCAGAATCCAGGGCTGACTCATGCCTTTGTGCCTGGCCAGGAGCGATGCCACCAAAGAATCTGACCTGTGACCTGTGCCCTATGCCCTTACACTTGGGAGCTCAGCAGGCAGCTTGCCCCTGGCAGGCGTCAGGAGCCCCCCAGAGCACAGCAGTGGGGCAGGCAGAGTCAGGGCCACCCTGCCCTGGCCACGGCCTCCAGGCTTCCTTCTCAAGACCCCATGGCCATGGGGTGAGCCTGCCCAGGTATCTACGCTGTGAACTTGGAGACACGTGCTGTGAATTACGCTGTCACACTACGCTGTGAACTTGGAGACACATGCAGAAAAATGCTGCACCAGACTGATGCAGCACGGGAGGGCAACTCCTCACACTTTCAGAGATTTTCTCAGGTGCAAATGTTACTTGTTGTGAATAAAAACAGTGAGCTGCTGAAATGCCACACTCTCCAGGCAGATCGAGCTCAGCAGGCTTTCACAGTCTTGGGTGAGCAGGAGCTCTGGGCTGCCAGGCCGGCTGGGACCGGGTGGCCCCGGGCCGAGGAGGTGGTAGCAGGAAGCTCCACCAGGAGCCAGGAGCTGAGAGGAGAGTGCACGAACAGGCTCAGCCTGCGAGGGGTGGTGCCCTTCTTGGATTGGGGAGGCCCCCGCACAGTTGTTCGCAGAAGGGCCAAGGGTTAGAGAGGAGGAGGCGAGGAAGGGGATGAGAGGGACCCCCGGGCTGCGGCAGCACCCCCACCTTCAGAAGCCCTTCTCCGTTCACTGTCCTCTGTCAATGACAGTTTTCCATTTTGCAAATAAGGGTCTCAATTTGAGGCTGAAAAGCCACAGATCCTGCCAACTGGGAGGCCTGGGGCTGCGCTGGGTGTGGTACCTGCGGGGCAACAGCGATGGTTCCTGAGGCTGGTGGGAGCCTGGGGGCAGGCAGGAGCCCTGGGGCTGGCCTGCTGCCCCCTGAGGTGCTGCTGGTGCTGGAGACGCAACCTTGTCAGGTGTCTGAAAGGTAAGTGCGGAGACCTCAGCCAGCCTCAGAGGTGAAGCAGCCACTGGAAGACGATACTGAATGTTGGCAAAGGCATCTCTCTTGCTTGGACATTTCGAACGGAACAAGAAGAAAATGAGCAAGTGACTCAGACCGATGGCTCCTTATGCAGCGAACACTGGGTCTGCTCCGAAGCACGCCAGCCGGCGTCTGTGGCGGCCGCACATTCTAGAGGCCATTGGCATTCTCTGCACGTGCCCTGGGTCCTCACCGCCTGTCAGCTGTCCCTTACCAGCACACACAATGCATTGTTCACTCAGCTGTCAGCCCTTCCGGAACCCAGACATTCAGCAACTGCAGCAAAAGCTTGCTGGTGCCTCAGGGAGGGACCCACGATGGGCTCGGCTAGCCGATCCAGCCAGCTGCCAGCCACGAGCCCCTTCCCGCTGAAACACCCTTCCCGTGCCTGCCGTGTGCGCGGCCGCCTTCTCTCCGCCACAGCCTCCACTGCTGAAGCCCACCTACGTCTGTCCGCACTGCCTTTCATCAACTTTCTAATGGGAAGGGGCCGGCAGGGTGGCGTGGAGGAGGCCGGTGACCAGGGTGGAGGGGCTTGGGGTGGCAGGGACCCCAGCCCAGGCACAGACCAGGTTTTCACAGGGCACGGATGCCAGCTTTGCGGGAGGGACGTCGCCTCCATTGATTAAATGATTCCACATTGCCATATGCCTGCAACTCATTAGTATGATCAGCACCCAGCACGCGGGGAGCAGAGGTGCCCAGACACGCGGCCTGTCCCCGGCCCCCACTCCACAGAGCCTCCCACCCCGGCACTGAGCCCGGAAGCCCGGTCACCAGCTCGCCATTCCACAACTTTTCCAGCCTGGGAGTCCCCATACGGGTGGCCGCCCCCCCGCAGCGGCCTAGCCCCCAGCTGCAGGACCCCCGGGACCCCCGTACTCACCATGAGCGCTGCAAAGTTGCGGAAGCGTGAGCGCCGCTGGAGGAGGCGTCCAGGGGGAGGCGATCAGGTGGCGCCCTGCTCCCCGCCAGCCTCCATGGCCTCTGGAAGGTCAAAGTCCCAGACGGCGGCCAGGAGGTCGCGCTCCCGGGCCCCTGGCCTCAGGGTGACCGCGGCGGGGCGGGCGCAGTCCGGGAGCTGCTCCCATCTGTGAAGACAGCGGCGGTCAGCGGGGCGGGCGGAGGGTCCCCGCGGAGGGCAGCTCGCAGCCCCGACCCCGCCAGGGAGCAGCCGCGGCCCCTGTCGCTCCCTCCCCTCCGCGGGCGGCCTGGGGGCTGCGCCTGGGGCTGGCGGAGGCGGTGCCGGTGGGGACCGGTGGGGGGCTCGGACCGAACGCGCCAGCGGCAGATGCGTCTCCTTCTCCATATTTAAAAATCAATCTGCGCCCCACTCCCGGCTCCGGAGCCAAACTCAACCATCTCGGGCTGCACAAAGCCAGAGGCGCGCCGGGGGGTTTGCACCGGGAACCGGCACCGAGTGACCCGCCCGCCCCAGCCCGGCCGCGGCGCCTGCTCTGCCTGGATGTGGCTCGAGCTCCGGGCCGGGCGCGCGGGGCGGGGGCCCTGGATTATCCGTGGCGCCTCCCGCCCCAGCGGAGCCGAAAGTTACTCGGAGCTGCTTTCCTCGCGGCCAGTGTCACCTCGGGGCGCGAGCTTTTCTGCCGAGCCGCGGCCCCGCGCGTCCCTCCCGCCGCCCAGACCCGCGCGTCCTTCCCACCTGCTGTGGCCGAAGCGGCTGCCGGGGCGGCCGGGCCGCGCTCCCGGAGACAGACGCGCTGCGCTCCCCCCGCCGGGGACCCGCTCTCCATTCGCGAGGGCAGCGGCCGAGCTGGGACCGAGTTATCAACAGATTGCGGGGCTGCGGCGCCGGCCGGTGAGTCACAGCCCCGCGCACGAGCGGCCCAGCCCGGCCAGCAGCGCCGCCGCCTCTGCGCGCACCTCCCGCGGCGACAGCGGGGACCCGGGGCCGGAGGCAGGCGCGTAACCATGGGGACCGGGGCGGGCGATGGCGGCGGGCGGGCTCCTGCCGCAGGGTGGGGATGGCTCTTCCAGCCGGGCGGCCGCCGTCACACTGCAGAGCGTATTTAAAGAGACACCTCGCTCCGCGCTCGCTCCCCAGCACCAGACCCTCGCCCGAAAACGCCGCCGGGCGGACTGCACGACCCTGTGTTATTCCCAAAGACAATCTCCATCCGTGGAGAAGCTGCAGGAACAGAAATATACACAAGAAAATGGATTTGGAAGGAATTTTCCATCCTTTATTTAACATTCTCAAGTCCAGATATGCCAGAACCGAGGTGCACCTGTCGTGAACCCGTCTGAGTGTGAGTCAGCAGGGCAGCCGCAGCCGGTGTAGACAGACAGGGCCTGTGGCTGTGCAGAAAGCGTCCCTGTCCCCCTACCCCAACCCTCCTGCATCCTGGGCCACAGAGCTGGGCATCCAGAGCCAAGGCGAGTGTGGAGGCCAGGGTGCCAGGGGCGGCGCAGCCCAGCCTCCCACCCGCAGCGAGGTTTGGGCTCTGCACACATCCCACAGGTCCCTATCCTGCCCCAAGGGGCCTCCTACCCGACAAGGTGGGTCCAAGTCCACTCCAGTTTTCGTCACAAACTCCGTTTTCTGGGGCACGTGCTGGCCTGGTGGCAGCCTCAGCAAGAGTCTCAGGAACTGCCCTGGGGGACTCCACACCCCTCCACCTGTTCCCCCTTTGGCCCTGGGTGACCCCACACCCCTCCACCTGTTCCCCCTTTGGCCCTGGGTGACCCCACACCCCTCCACCTGTTCCCTCCTTGGCCTCCACCCTTGCATGGCTACTTCTGCCCCAGGTTCTGTGACACTGGCGCCTGTTCAGGGGGTCCCCAGGCCCTGCTGCCATGGATTTTGAGGGGCCTGAAGGATGTACTATTGGGAGGTTGTCATGAAGACTCACAGAGGCAGAATTAGATGCAGGGGTGACAGCGTTCCGCTTCCCCGGCCTCTCATTATGGGGCTTTTGAGCGGGATGTGCTCAGGGCCCCACTGCCCCATCTAGCTGGTGTTCCCAGAGCCCCTCTGTGGGGACACTGTGCTGGTCCCTGAACTCCAGCTGAGGGACACAGGGTCCAGGCAGGCGACGGTCTAGTTCCCAGCTGGAGACGCTCTAGGCACCCCAGGACCTGGCCGCCCTGACTCCCTGGACACCGTTCCCTTGGAGCCTCGGAGCCCCCCCTGGTGTCCCCTGGGTGATGGTCCTGGACAAGAGGGCTGGGAAGAAGCGGGCAGCAAGGGGAGGATTCTGCCCCAGACGTCCCCAGGCCGGGGGTCCCCATGGGCTCTGCCCTGACGTCTTACTCCTGCACCCAGCGGCTCCCACCACAGAGACTGCTCCAGGTGAGGGTACCACACTGAGCACAGGTCAGCCTGTGTCTCCCGGGAGGCTCCTGGCACATCACAGTTGGGGCCCAGAGGAGGCCCCGGCCGGTGGGGGGAGTGGCCCTGGCTTGTCTCTTTCCCTGCACACGGACTGGAGCCCTGCCCTGAGTCCCACGGGGACTTTGCGGGGGAACTTCTCGAAGGTGCTGTGGGGGCAGAGGGAGGTGGTGGAGCCAGCCAGGCTCTGGGAGGCCCCAGAGAAGCTCCCACTGCCCACCTCAGTCCTAGCTGGTTTTGGGCCCTGGGCTGGGCCCCCACAGGCTCCAAAGGGAAAGGTTGTCCAAGGGAAAGCCCTGGAGGCCGCTGGTATCCGGGTAGGACACACAGAAGGCTACCAGGTGCTGTGGGGGCCCTGGGGTCCGGCACTTGAGGCAGACAGGTCCACTGGCTTGCGAATGTCCTGCTGCCCCCGCACGTGGTGGTCAGGACCCGGGAGGGCTGCCCCTCCCCCCCCATTCCACACCTAGTGATAACCTAGGTGAAGGAGAGAGAGCCAGGGGGAGCTGGCACTGCCACGTGTTCCAGAGCTGCCCTTGGGCAGAGTCTGTGGGGCTCGGCCTTGTGAGGGGTGGGGGCACCGGGTGTCTCCTGCTCACTCACAGCTGCCCCCCAGGGCCCCTCCCCCGCTGCTCTGCGAGCCCCTCCCTGGAGCTGCCCTTGGAGGGCACCTGCTTCAGGTCTCATCTCCAGGGTGGTGCTGGGGACCGGGCACTGTCTCCTGAACAGTCCCACATGGTGGCCTGGGCGGCACGCCTGTGGGATGGGGAAACCGAGGCACAGACAGTCACGTGCTCTTCCAGTTGCAGGTTAGACCCCACTTGCGGTTGTGTGTTCCAGAAGTCTCCGGGCGCTGTGTGGCAGGATGAGGAGCTGCCCCCCTGGAGGATCACGCAGGCCTCTGGGTGGCATTCAGCAGGTGAGCCGGCGGCCGTGTGCCCGGCAGCCCGGGGATGTCAGCACTTGCCCTGCCACCAGAGGTCACTGCCCCGGGCCCTGGGCCCCCGGCCCTCTGCTCACTGTTCATCAGCAAAGCGTCTGCTTTCTGGACTGCAGGGTTGGCTGCGGCACCGGCTGACCACAGGGCCCACCTTTCCAGTCCCGGCAGGAGAGAAGCGTCTCAACCATGTTGCAGGCACACGGGTGAGGGTGCTGCCTGCCTCCCTGACTCTTACCTCCCCAAGAGAGGAAAACAAAAGAAAAAAAGATAAGACCAGGAAATGGAAATAAGACAAAGAAGAATGAAATTTTAAAATCCGAACAAACCCAAACATGCTGTTTCAAAACGTAAGTCCATGAAGAGTCTCGTGGTGAGAAAGACAGAATTCCTAGCCAGGAAAATGCCCCGTGCTTGCCCCTTGGAGGCAGGTGCTCACCACGGCAGGGTCTATCTAGGTGTTTATTAAGGTGTCTCACCACGTATCGCCCGGATTCACCAGAGATGCAGAGGCGGAGGATACGTTCCTGTTTACATTGATACATAGTTACATAGGTGAAGAGCTTTACAGTGAGGAAGCGGCTCACGCGGCCATGAGGGACCCAGGCAGGAGCTGCTGTTGCTGCCCCAGGTGCGATTCCTTCCTCCTCAGGGAGGCTCAGCTCCCCGCTGCAGCCAGGTGGGCCCAGGCAGGCCTCCTTGGCCTACAGCGCAGACGGCCAAGTGCTGGTCACGGCCATTGCATCTACACCACCCCTTTCTCAGCAGCAACTCCACGAGTGCTCGATGGGAAACTGCAGACAGCAGCCTTGCCAAGCGGATGCCCAGGGCCGACCACCGCAGCCCCTCCAGCCACGTTCTCCATCAGGGCAGCCTCCTGCTGGCTTCGGCACTGCAGGTAGCACACCAGCGAGGGGTGGGCCTGTGTGCCACGAAGCGTCATCCATGGACGTGCCACGAAGGGTTATTCTTCTTTTGACTTTTTCTGATGGTTTAAAACTGTAAGAACACACAGCTCACAGTCCACACGGAAGCAGGCATGTGGCTCCTGCCTCACTGTGGGAGGAAAGATGTTCTCAAAAGAAATGGCTGGGTTTGCGGAGGGGTTTGTGGAGGGCCGGGCAGTCTGAACACAGCCCAGCTGGCCTTGGTGGAGGTGGGCCTGGCACAGGGGGGTGGGAGCAGTTCTTCCTGACGCAAATCCTAACGCCTTCAACACTGACCTTCCAAAGAAACAGCTGCTGGACGCCGCCCGACAGCAACGAGAGCCCCACTCCTGAGGCGCGCGACTCTCGAGGGCTTTGTTGTTTATTTGGCACCCGAGGCCCAGGCTCACAGGGTCTCGGGTGCATGGGACCCCCCAGCCCTTCCCACTGCTCTGCGATTCTTCCTCCCTTCTGGAAAGGTCAGTTTGGGGTTCTATTCTGGGAGGGGCCAGGCCGCCACCTGGCCTCATTAACTGGGCAGGCCACTGGGACCTCCTCCGAAATGCTGGGGCCATGGCCGAAGACTTGCCTCCCGCCAGGAGCCTTCAGCCCTCTTAGTAGTGGATGTGGGCTTCCTCCCTCTGAGGGGACGTCCTGATGGACACGAGATGTGGGGCGCCCGTGGGTGGCCGCCTGCTCCTGCCACAGTCCCCCTTGGGGCCTGAGCTGCGGCTGCTGCCTCCGTAGGGAAGGAACAATGGGGGATGGGCCCGCCCCTACCCAGAGAGAGTGGGCCGTGTTGCCTGCAAGGCCTCAGCCAGGGGACCACGTTTCTCTGCATCTTGTGGCTTTGGGTTCTGCAGGCTGTTTGTGGGAGAACGGGAAACAGTCCCAGAGATGACGCTGCCTCATGCAGGTTAACAGAGTTGGAGGTCAGGCCGACGCCTGAGGCTCAGGACGCTGATGGGTGCCTTCCCTCGCCAGGGGTGAGCCCCCAGCCCCGTCTTCCCTCGCCAGGGTGAGCCCCTCCCCAGCCCCGAGTTTGGAGGGGCCGTGGCTGCCGGGGACTCGCGTGAGGAGCTTGCTGTAAATACGGAGCTCTGGAGCAACAGTGGCCTCACGCCACTGGCATCTCGGGCAGGACCTGCCTCTTTTTGGAACACTTTCGAGATCTTTGCGTTTGTTCGTTTCCAGCCATTTGGTGGAGACTCTGAGAGCCTGAACTTAGAAGCCCGCCGAGAGGGGAAATGGCGGCCTCCGGGGAGCGGGCAGCCTGGCCGCAGAGCGCGCGGGACCCAGGGCCACCGTCCTCCCGAGACAGCGGCAGCAGCCGCCACTCACCGTGCGGAATTAAAAACGGCTCTCTGGTTGCCACGGCAACCAGCCGTCTCCCCCCAGCGTCAGTTTGAATTTGTGCAGACCATTCCTAGCCAAGATTCAAGCCAACAGATTCGTGCTTACCCTGAGGTGAAGCCTCGTTTGAGAACCAAATAATAAAATTAACAAACCTAAAATCTCCTCACTGCTGCCGCCTCTTTAATAAGCACTCAGCAGAGCCCCCGAGAGGACACAGGGCCAGCACAGTCTCCCTCCTCTGAGGCGGGAGGCCCCCGGGGAAGCTCACGTGGCTCCCACTGACCACCACGTGTGGCAAACAGGCCCTTTGGCGCTTGTGGGCCCCCCTGCAGAATGAGCCCCTTGGGTGGGTTTTACGTTGGAAGGCCTCACCGCACAGGGCCTGCGTCCAGGGTGCCTCGGCCAGGCCTCTGCGTCCAGCGCAAGGCCCTGGCACACGCATCCAGGCTTACAGGGGGACGGCACAGGGTTCTGTCGGCCTGTACTGTGGGGCGGACTCTGCGTGTCAGGGGTCCGGCTGTGTGAGGGATGTGCTCTGTCTCAGCATCCTATGCCCACCTCAGGCCAAGGCCGTGGGTCTCGTAGGCCTCTACCCGCTGGGCCTCAGATACCTTCTCCTCCTTGGAAAAGGCATAAAGGCCTCCCCTCCCCAAGTCGCGAACCTTGGTTTTGCTGAAGGCTTGTGGAGGGTATTGAAAGAAGGCAGGAGTAGGCTCTGAGTGGGTGTTCACGGGAAGGGAGGCCCTATGCAAAGCCCCGATCCTACAAGGTTCTGGGGTCCCCGGTGTGGCCTGGGGCCCCCACAGCTCCTGTTGGCTCCTGCCGGTGGCCACAGAGGATCCACGTGGCCTCCTCTCTCACTGAGCCCACCCGGGACCCAGGCAGAGAGCACCTGGGGAAGTCTGGGATCAGGTGGGGAGGGCTGGATGGGTGTGGGATTCTGCTCATTCTGCAGGCCAGGGAGCCAGGCAGGTGTCGGGGGCAGGGGCTGTGAGGGGCAGGAGTGCACTTGGCTGTTGGGGCAATGGCTATGCTGTAGCTTTGCTCACACACTGGGGGTGACATGCCTTCACCCGTTCTCCCCGAGGCCCCACAGGCCCCACCCCAGACATGGCTTTCCGACGTCCTCAGCTGCGCATTGATGGATAAATCCTCTGCAGCCCAGGAGCTCCACCAGCCTCTGTCTGGACACTTGAGTGGGGGAGGGGAGCGGATGTGGCCAGGCCACAGTAGTTGGGAACCCACAGTGTCCCCGCCAGCCAGTGGCTGCACCCGGCACAAAATCCTCGTGTAGAGCTGCATCCGAGCACAGCCCCTGCTGCTGGCTGCCTGGTGCCCGGGTCTGGTTGTAGCGCCCGGTGCTGCCGAGGGAGCCCTGGCTCCAGGGGGTCCTGCCAGAGGGCGTGTTGATAATCAGAACACGGCTTCTGTGGGTGGACGACCTCCAGGAGCCCACAAGCACGCAGCCTTCCCTCCTGGTGTCCTCCTCCACCCCCGATGGCCCTGGACTCACAAGGGCAGCCCTGGTGAGGCCCGAGCCCTCTACAAGGAGTCAGGGTTCAGCAGACCAAGGAGGGCTCCCCTTCGGTGCACCCCAAGCACTGTGGCTGCTCCAGGCAGGCTCACGAGTGTTCGATGTGAGTCTCTGTCCACCCCTCCCAGGGCTGACACGTGGCCTGGGCACCCGGCCACAGACGTGGGGCGAGGACACTTATAAACTCTGCCACAGAAACCACCACATGCAGCCCGGAATTGTAATGAGGGCTCATCACAGGGAACCACAGAGCCACACTGCCGATCTTAACAGCGACATGCATGCGCTCCTGCCCGTTAACGTCCATGAATTCAGACGGTGAAGCCCACGGCCACCAAACGCCATCTTCGCCAAGATGCGGGAGCACCGTGAAACCCCCGATTTCATGCAGATGATTCCTTCCCGACTCGGAAGTTAATGTGGGTCCCCGGGAAGATTTGTGAACACAGAGCTTTTACATCTAGGTCCAAGGCTCTGGCTTCCCTTCATCAGAGCGGCGCATCCCGCCCAGCTGGCTCCAAGACCATCTACCCTGATCTCAACCTGGGACAGGTCCGAGGCTCCAGCTTCCCTGTATCAGAGCAGTGCGTCCCGCCCAGCTGGCTCCCAGGTCTACCCTGATCTCAACGTGGGACAGGTCCGCGGCTCCGGCTTCCCTGTATCAGAGTGCTGCTGCCTGCACAGCTGGCTCCCAGGTCTACCCTGATCTCAACGTGGGACAGGTCCGCGGCTCCGGCTTCCCTGTATCAGAGTGCTGCTGCCTGCACAGCTGTCTCCCAGGTCTACCCTGATCTCAACGTGGGATAAAGGCTGAAACAGAAACAGCCAAATGTCCAGATGGTTTTACATTTTTGGGACTATTCCGGTTTCCAGACCTGAATAATCAGCCACATGACCTGGTTTTCACAAAAGCCTCCATCCTGGGGGTCAGGAGCTGCCTCTTGGAGCCTGGTGGTCCCTCCAGGGCCAAGTCCATCGTTGGGGTCTTCCCAGGAGTGGGGGTGGCTCTGGGGCCTTTCTTGGTCCTGTCCCTGCTCTGTCAGGGCTGGGACGCCATCCCCGTCTGGCCAGCCATCCCTGGGCCGTGGTCACAAGAAGGACGGGGATCCAGCCCCCACCGCACCCCTCGGGGTCCTGCTTAGGCAAGAGGGCGGGTCCAGTGAGGAGGAAGCAGGCGGCCCCACAATCCTGTCTCCGTACCACCAAGGAGGGATCAAGCACGCGTTCCCTCCCGACCACACCCTCGCCTGCCTCCGGCTCACCCACGGGGCCTCACTGTCCTGACATTCATGAAGCCTTCCCTGCCTTACCCACAGCCCTGGAGCATCTTCGAGGGTCAGCCCAGGTGCCGTCCCTGGGGCGTCTGGCCTGGAGGGCCATGAGCAGGCCCATGGTGCAGCCAGCCCCTCCCTGGGGACCAGAGCCGGCAGCGGCTTGGGAGCTGTCCCTGGTGCTGCCTGGAGTAGACCTGGTACCTGAGGTCCTGCCCACCCACTGGCCCAGCCTTTGTCCAGCTCAAGCCCCCGCCCTTCCGTGGGACCCGCTCCGTCTGATCACACCTGCCGCCTGGTGCTGCCCGGCCCTGCCTGGGTCGGCTGCGCTGCCCTCCGTGGCTGGCCCAGCTGCCTCAGCCTGGTTCCTGCCAAGGCTTCTGGCAACCGGGCCAAAGCAATTTTACCAAATTAGATGTGGTCGGAAGCAAGTCGTTCCACCTGGCAATTTTGTTAAAATAATTATTTGTTTGAAAATTAATATTCCTGAGTCGCTGGTTTTTCTAGGATTAGCAGTTTTGGCACACCGCGGGGCAGTGTGTCTCACGCTGCGGGGCAGTTTCTCTCACGCCACGGGGCAGTTTCTCACACACACGCCGCGGGGCAGTTTCTCACACACACGCCGCGGGGCAGTTTCTCACACACACGCCGCGGGGCAGTTTCTCACACGCCGCGGGGCAGTTTCTCACACACCGTGGGGCAGTTTCTCACACACACGCCGCGGGGCAGTTTCTCACACACACGCCGCGGGGCAGTTTCTCACACGCCGAGGGGCAGTTTCTCACACACCGCGGGGCAGTTTCTCACACGCCGCGGGGCAGTTTCTCACACACACGCCGCGGGGCAGTTTCTCACACACACGCCGAGGGGCAGTTTCTCACACGCCAAGGGGCAGTTTCTCACACGCCGCGGGGCAGTTTCTCACACGCACGCCGCGGGGCAGTTTCTCACACACCGCGGGACAGTTTCTCACACACCGCAGGGCAGTTTCTCACACGCCGCGGGGCAGTTTCTCACACACACGCCGCGGGGCAGTTTCTCACACGCCGAGGGGCAGTTTCTCACACGCCGCGGGGCAGTTTCTCACACCCACGCCGCGGGGCAGTTTCTCACACGCACGCCGCGGGGCAGTTTCTCACACACCGCGGGACAGTTTCTCACACACCGCGGGGCAGTTTCTCACACGCCGCGGGGCAGTTTCTCACACACACGCCGCGGGGCAGTTTCTCACACGCCGAGGGGCAGTTTCTCACACGCCGAGGGGCAGTTTCTCACACGCCGCGGGGCAGTTTCTCACACACACTCCGCGGGGCAGTTTCTCACACACACGCCGAGGGGCAGTTTCTCACACACACGCCGAGGGGCAGTTTCTCACACACACGCCGAGGGGCAGTTTCTCACACACACGCCGCGGGGCAGTTTCTCACACACACGCCAAGGGGCAGTTTCTCACACACACGCCGCGGGGCAGTTTCTCACACACACGCCAAGGGGCAGTTTCTCACACACACGCCAAGGGGCAGTTTCTCACACACACGCCGCGGGGCAGTTTCTCACACCCACGCCGCGGGGCAGTTTCTCACACGCACGCCGCGGGGCAGTTTCTCACACACCGCGGGACAGTTTCTCACACACCGCGGGACAGTTTCTCACACACCGCGGGGCAGTTTCTCACACGCCGCGGGGCAGTTTCTCACACACACGCCGCGGGGCAGTTTCTCACACGCCGCGGGGCAGTTTCTCACACGCACGCCGCGGGGCAGTTTCTCACACACCGCGGGACAGTTTCTCACACACCGCGGGACAGTTTCTCACACACCGCGGGGCAGTTTCTCACACGCCGCGGGGCAGTTTCTCACACACACGCCGCGGGGCAGTTTCTCACACGCCGCGGGGCAGTTTCTCACACGCCGAGGGGCAGTTTCTCACACACCGCGGGGCAGTTTCTCACACACCGCGGGGCAGTTTCTCACACACACGCCGCGGGGCAGTTTCTCACACACACGCCAAGGGGCAGTTTCTCACACACACGCCAAGGGGCAGTTTCTCACACACACGCCGAGGGGCAGTTTCTCACACACACGCCGCGGGGCAGTTTCTCACACACACGCCAAGGGGCAGTTTCTCACACGCCAAGGGGCAGTTTCTCACACACACGCCGCGGGGCAGTTTCTCACACACACGCCAAGGGGCAGTTTCTCACACACACGCCAAGGGGCAGTTTCTCACACACCGTGGGGCAGTTTCTCACACACCGCGGGGCAGTTTCTCACACACCGCGGGGCAGTTTCTCACACACACGCCGCGGGGCAGTTTCTCACACACACGCCGAGGGGCAGTTTCTCACACGCCAAGGGGCAGTTTCTCACACACACGCCGCGGGGCAGTTTCTCACACACACGCCAAGGGGCAGTTTCTCACACGCCGAGGGGCAGTTTCTCACACGCCGCGGGGCAGTTTCTCACACGCCGAGGGGCAGTTTCTCACACACCGCAGGGCAGTTTCTCACACACCGCGGGGCAGTTTCTCACACACACGCCGCGGGGCAGTTTCTCACACACACGCCGAGGGGCAGTTTCTCACACGCCAAGGGGCAGTTTCTCACACGCTGCGGGGCAGTTTCTCACACACACGCCAAGGGGCAGTTTCTCACACGCCGCGGGGCAGTTTCTCACACACACGCCGAGGGGCAGTTTCTCACACACCGCGGGGCAGTTTCTCACACACACGCCGAGGGGCAGTTTCTCACACGCCGCGGGGCAGTTTCTCACACACACACCGCGGGGCAGTTTCTCACACACCGTGGGGCAGTTTCTCACACGCCGCGGGGCAGTTTCTCACACACACACCGCGGGGCAGTTTCTCACACGCCGAGGGGCAGTTTCTCACACGCCGCGGGGCAGTTTCTCACACGCCACGGGGCAGTTTTTCACACACCGTAGGGCAGTTTTTCAGTTCTTTGTGTCTTAAGACATTGCTTTCTCTCCTTTCAAAATATCTTTGAGCCTAAAAATAATCTTTTTATTTAAAAATTTATAATAATCTTTGAGCCAGTGATTCCTGCTTTGAGCTGTTGGTAATAGCCGAAGCCCAGAACAAGCTAATACCTGAAGTGGGGGCAGGGACTCACGCCCTCCGTGGGGACCACTCCCTGCATTGTGGAAAGGGGAGAAGCCAGTGGCTCGCAGAGCCATGGACAGATGGTTGCGGTGTGTGCCCGGGGCCTCGAGGGCATTCGTCAGAGCCTCACAAGCCCCTCTCCCCAAACAAGGCTCCCGTACAAGCAGCAAGTGGACCTTCCTGGGCTGGGCTGGGTGGGGGGTACACCACCGGGAGGCCCTGCTCTCAAGAATTGCTCTGGGGGGTGATAAGCACTTGAACCGACTGCATCTGTGGGTAGCAGCTGGTGCCACAGAGACGGGGAGACCAGGTCAGGGGCCCTGGGGCTTGGTGTTGAGCACGACGGCTCCATCTGGGCTGGGCAGGTGGCCACGGCAGCGCAGGCATCCTCCCTGGAAGATGCGGAGAGTTTGGGAACCACATCATCACCCAGGAGGCAGGGGAACCCGCAGAGCCTGAGACACGGGCACCAGCACATGCGGCCGCAGAGCCCGGCACCCTCGGCTCCTAAAGGCGCCACCCAGGAGCAAACACCCTGCTGACAAGGGGTTGGTTTCAGGTGGATCACATCCTCCCCAGAAGCTGGCATGTTTATATATTTTGGAAGTCTATGAAAGCCAAAATCCTCATTAATTTCAAAATATAGTTCACAAACTCCAAATATTTGACCAGTGCGTCCATATGCTCAGCCATCATCATAGCCACAGAGCAGCTGGCGTGAGACTCGCAGGACGAGGCGTGAGGCAGAGGCAGAGCCGGAGGCGAAGGCCGGTCCACAGTGACCGGTTTCACGTGCCCTGCAAGGGCTGTGGGCAGGAGGACCCAGAGGGGTGAGTGAGGTGCAGGGACAGGGCTGAGAGGGGGTGAGGTGCCCCCGTGTCCCTCGGAGGTGGTGGATCCTGCTCAGATCCTGCTCCCGGCCCATAGCCCACGCACCCCGCATTGCTGCGTCCTCCTCCTGGACCCTGTGGCCCACTGTGCCTGCATCTGCAGGATCCACGCTGTGGGTGGTCTGCTCCTATTTGCCCCTCACCTGTGCCTTGCCCTGAGGGTGCCCAAGGTGGGGGAAGAAGGGTCCAAGGCTGCCCAGGACGTCAGGAGTGGTGTCCAGGCCAGTCCCAGACCTCTGGCCTGTGATGCTGGGGGAGTGAGGGGCAGGCGCAGCCCTCGGTGGAGAAAAGGCAGCATCTTCCCGTGTGGGCCACCCCCAGAGGACCCTGCCTGTGGCCCCACGGATGCCAGGGGTCCCCCACTGGGGCATGAGGAGCCAGCATTGCACTCACCTTATCACACAGCGCAACCCTGTCACTCCTAAACTACGGATAAAACAAGACTTCCTCATCCGCAGGTTAAAAAAAGATTCCTGACACAGCAATTTTCTCCAAATGCAATTTGGACTCAGCCAGATCCACTAAGCCAGTCTTTCAAGTTGACTTTAAAATTCCTCCCCCAAATCTCTGCCCTCCGTTTTCACTCCTCAAAGAGTCAGTAGGTTTAGCAGTATCTCCCCACGCTGGTTGTGCCATGCCCAGGACACCCCGAGGGCCACAGGACCCAGGTAGTGGGTGTGTGGCCAGCAGGAAGGACACAAGGACCAGGCCCCAGCCTCCTGCCAGCCCTGCTGCCCGTGGGCCGCCCCAGCCCCAGCTGCTTCCTGGACCAGACCTGAGCGTCCACTCCTCCCAGGGCAATGCTGCAGGGAAACACGCTCGCTGCTTGGCCCGTGGGTGCTGTCTTCCTGACCGAGGGCGCCCACGTGTGATTTCACGTGACCCCAGCTTGCCTGCCAGGTGGACAGGGACTGCGACCGCTCCTGGCTGGGCCTGCTCCTCCCTCCATGCAGCTTGGCGTGGCCTGGGGCGGCCCTGCCACCGCCACTCTGCCCTCTCCTACCTGCCCAGCAAGGGTGCTCGCCTGGAGAAAATGGCTGGTTCCTGTGTGGACTTGGGGCTCCCTGACTGGGCTGTGCTGTGTGGGAGGTGAAGGGGCTGTGTGCTCTGCGGAGTTTAGACGGAAGCCTCAGCAGGGCTGGACATGGTGCTGTCAGCCAAGCCTCGGCACAGAGGTCACAGAGGTCAGCTGCTGGGCCTCGGCAGGGGGTGCTGTGGGCTGCAGAGCTCGGGGCCTGTGGCTGTTCCCTGCTGTGACCACAGGCCAGGGCTGGGGCCTGAGGCTTCTGCGGTGGCCCTGTGAAGAGCAGGAGCCTCTGCTCCACCCCCAGGGAGCTCATGACAGAGATCGGAAGGGAGGTTCCTGAGGGGCGGCTGCTTCTGAGTGCATGGCCGGGTCCTAGGTCTGCATCCTCAGACCGACTCCCAGCTTCACCCTGAGCCAAGGTCCCCACGGGCTGCTGGCACCTGTGGTCCCCACCACACTCCTCACTCCTAGTTTGCCCAGTTAAACAATGAATAGCCCAGTCTCAGTGAACACTCTGGGCAAACACTCTGTGGTCTCTAAAGCCCACAGCCCCTGCAAGGAGCCCTGGGCACAATGGTGATGCCCAGCTGGATCAGGAAGAGTGTGCACAATGGTGATGCCCAGCTGGATCAGGAAGAGTGTGTCGGGGCCGGGGGCCAGCAGCACCAGAAATCCGGGCCACTGCTGCTGACATCATCTCGGGAGGACTCTGGAGCCACTGACCACGCGGGATTGTGCAGGCGTCTACAGGGACCACGGACCATGGGGGCCTGTGTAGGTGTCTACAGGGACCACGGACCATGGGGGATCATGCAGGTGTCTACAGGGACCACGGACCATGGGGTCCTGTGCAGGTGTCTACAGGGACGGCAGACCACGGGGGATCATGCAGACGTCTACAGGGACCATGGACCAGGGGTATCATGCAGGCGTCTACAGGGACCATGGACCGGGGGGGCTGTGCAGGTGTCTACAGGGACCCCAGACCACGGGGGATCATGCAGGCGTCTACAGTGACCACGGACCAGGGGGACCTGTGCAGGCGTCTACAGGGCCACTGAAAGAAAAAGAGATGAGGGGATTGGCCTTCTGACCCCTGCTGGGTCAGTGGACTTGGCAACAGCCATTGTGGGAAGAGAGACTCCACCACCTCTGGGCGGTCAGTACCTCAGACACAGCCACAACCTTGTAAGACACGCAGGGGCTGGGCATGGTGGCTCACGCTGTAATCCCAGCACTTTGGGGGTCCGAGGTAAGAGGATCTTTAGAGCTCAGGAGTTCGAGACCAGCCTGGGCAACATGGCGAAAGCCCATCTCCACCACAAATACCAAATGTAGCTGAGTGTGGTGGTGTGTGCCTGTAATCACAGCTACTCAGGAGGCCGAAGCGGGAGGATCACCTGAGCCCGGGAGGTTGAGGCTGCGGTGAGCTGAGATCACGCGACTGCACTCCAGCCAGGGCAACAGAGTGAGACCTGGTCTTTTAAAAAAGGAAAAAAAAAAAAAAAAAAAAGACAAGGGGCCACAAGACCCTGTAAACAACACCGTGGGCACCACCCCTGAGTCCACAGGGGGAACTTTGGCCGGAGGATGCCGGCCGGCGTTTCTTCAGCAAAGAGTATTCGGGGAGACAAAGGCGGCTGGCAGAGGCCGGCAGGTCCAGACGGAGGGCGGGACATCAGCCAGCCACACCTGGGGCCTGTGCTGGTCCTGATTTTACAAATAAATTGTACAAAGTGTAAGAAAACCCAGAAAATGGGAACCTAGGCTTAATACTTGATCAAACAGGAATTTTATTGCTAATTTTTGAAGAAATCACAGCTGTTATCTTTTAGCAATGCGTACAGGGAGGCGTCAGTGAGATGAGGCTGGCTGTGGGGACGGTAGCGTCACCGCCTCATGACACTCTTTCTGCCACTTTACTCACACACCGTGCACGCGTGTGCACACACGTCGCCCTTTATCAGGACTAGCAGGGGGACCTGTGAACAAATGCCTGCACGGGGTGTGGGTGAAGGCCCTGCCGTTGGTCTCGGCGACTCCTCTGTAACTGGGACCTCCAGGGAGACCTGGGCTCTGGCACCCACTTGTCCTTGAGGCCGTAAGGCCACCTGGGGCCACCGGGCCAGCGTTGCAGCATCAGCCCAGATCCCAGAAGGCAATGGGGGCTCCTGCTGCCCAGGGTCCTCACCAGCCTGGAGCCTCCGGCCGTGGGCCCACCGACCAAGCTCACGGCCTGGCCCCGGGGGCTCGTGGACCCCCAGCAGCCCTGGGCACCCAGCTCCAGCGTTTCCTCACAGACGAGCATGGCAGCTCCGGGACTTGGCTTGCGTGCGCTGGGCGGTGGGGTGCCAGGTGGGTGAGAGGATTGCAAGACGGAGGTAAAAATAACACTGTTCCCAGAAGCAATTTCCCCAAACGAGTCGGCGGCCTCTGGTAATTTGTTGCCTAGGAAAGTCGGGAACAAATAAAGACGCCCTGTTTTCTGAGCAGCTGCCTTCCCATCTGCACGGCCGCTGGGCTCCTCTCTGAGCAGGTCAATAAATCCAGGTCCCAAGAACCCTGAGGGGCGCCCAGGACGGTGCCGGTGCCGTGCCGGAAGGGGTGGGAACAGTTAAGTGGGTCGCGCCCACTTAACTTTAAAGACTGTGTTACAGGAGAAACAGACTGAGATAGATGATATTAAATTGGAAATGAAATTAAAAAGCTTGATGTGTGAATTCTGTGAATGCACCACTTACGGTTCGTCAGTTCTCAGCGAGGTAGAGTCACCCGTGCGAGCTCGGCACTTGGCATCCAAACTGGGGCGCTCCAGTGATGGGGCAAACCAGGCAGGGCCAGGCAGTCCCCCGGGCAGGACAGACCCGGTGGCCCCTGCCCAGACCCGCCCTCCAGCCGGACCTCCTGTGGTGAGTGCAGGTCCGTCAGCATCCGTGGCAGCTGCAGGCCTCCCGGTCACAGCCTCGGGCTCCCTGGGGGATACGCCGCTTTTGTGTGGCCAGGCTCCGCCCTGAGCCGACTCTTCCTCCAGTGAAGAGGCTCCCGGGTGTCCTTGGTCACCAGGACCTGCAGGCCCTTCCCCGGGCAGATGTCCCACCTGTGGGCGGCCCTCTGGAGTCCAGGCTTCTGCCCCTTCCTCAGCAGGAATCTCCGGCATCCCGCTTCCAGGCTATGGCCTGGGAGGACGTTCTCAGGCCCATGGTGCTGTCTGGGCCTCACTCTCCCCACGGCTGCCCCAGTCTCCTGGAAGGGCCTCATCTGCAGGCCCCTGGCGCCACCAGCCTCACCTGAGTCCCTGCCTGGATGGTGTTGCCACCAGCAGGCAGCCACTCGGGTGGAGACGGGAAGCCCAGGAAGAGCCTGTCTCTGCAAATAGCCACTTCTGAAGACCCACGCCCATGAGGGCTCGCCCTCGGCCGTTCTCCCACCCTGAGGTGCCCGGAGGCATGTGACGTCTGGCAGGGGCATCTGCTGCCCAGAGAGCAGCTGTGGAGTCCCTCCTTCTCCAGGGCTGGGGCCAGGCCTGCATCGCCCTGCCCTGTGCTCCACCCCACAGCTTCCCGAGGCCCCCAGGGCTGCCCTCCCTCTGCCAGTGATCCAGAGCCCCCTTAGACCCCCAGCTGGGAGGCCACATCCTGGGGAAGGAGTGTGTGGCTGGACACTCTCAGCCACAGCCAGCCAGTGACCCTGAGCAATAGCAGTAGCCAGGCTAAGGAATCCGCTGTGCCTGGCCCCTGGGGTGAGAGTCAGTTGGTTCATTTTAAAGTCACTGGTTCATGACATCTACTGAGGGCTCAGGGTGTGTGAGGCTGGGGGGCCACAGGCGACTGAGTCTGACCCTGGGGGAGCAACAGAACAGTGGGGAGGCCCGAGGAGGGGAGAAAGGGAGGGAGGGAGGGAGGGAAGAAGGGAGAGAGGGAAGGAGGGAGAGAGGGAGAGAGGGAGGGAGAGGGAGAGAGGGAGGGAGAGGGAGGGAGGAAGAGAGAAAAGGAGGGAGGGAGAGAGAAAGGGAGGGAGGCAGAGAGAAAGGGAGGGAGGCAGAGAGAAAGGGAGGGAGGGAGAGAGGGAGGGAGAGCAGGAGGGACAGGGTTCAGCTCTGTGCTGGAAGCCCCCCAGCTCCTGTGCTCTCTCCTCCCTGGCTGCGAGGCTTCTTGGTGTGAGTTCACCTCGGAAGGGCCTCTGCACGCAGGCTTTGGGGCTTGGGTCCTGGGGGAAGCTGCCACAGATCCCAGCAGCACCTTTGCTCCGGGAAAGCTGACGTTGATGAGGGCCTCGATGGGCCGGTACGTCCATCTGCCCCGGGTGTGGCCCCCAGCGGTTGGGCCCCGGCTGTCTGGTGACTGTGGTGTCCGGCCCCCTCGGCAGTGTGCACCGTGCGCCATCTGTGCCTGGTGGTGATGGACGTTGCCCAGAGAAGCACATCTGGATTTCAGCCGCGAGTGGTTCCCGTGGCCTCGCATCTGCCGGGCAGGTGCCCCTTCCTGGGTCCACTGCGCCCCCCTTAGAGGCTGGGGTGTCTTCACTCAGATCCGAGATTGCAGAACAATGGAGGAGTTGATCTCTGAAATTGCTCCTTGGGCCTCCTAATAGGTGACTAGGTGACTGGCCTGTGCGGATGGGCGAAGTCCCACGGAGGATGTGAGCCGGGTGGGCGGCCCCAGAGGAGAGACAGGCACAGAAATAGCTGTGGCTCAAGTCACCAGGGACAGGCACTCGCCTGAGGCAAAGGAAGGGAGGAGCAAGCAGGCAGGGTGTCCTGGAGGAGGCGGCTTTGAAAGATGAATAGGAACCAAGAGGAGAGGAGAGAAGTCGTGGGAAGGGCCCAGGGCAGAGTGACGAGGAACGCCAGCGAGTCAGTGAGTGGTGAGGGCCTCAGGGCCAGCTCCTCCGAGCCTCAAAGGCCAGCGGGCAGAGATAGAGAGAGAAATGAGGTCAGAACAGAGCTTCTGGTCGGGCGCAGGGCCTCACACCTGTGATCCCGGCACTGTGGGAGGCAGAGGTGGGAGGATCACTTGAGTCCAGGAGTTCTAGGCCAGCCTGGGCAACATAGCAAGACGCCATGTTTACATAATAAAAGATGGAAAGATTCGCCAGGCGTGGTCGTGTCTACCTCTATTAGCAGCTACTCCGGAGGCTGAGGTAGGAGGATCTCTTGAGCCCAGGAGGTTGAGGCTGCAGTGAGCTGTGATCGCCCCACTGCACTCAGCCTGGGTGAGAGGGTGAGATCCTGTCTCTAGAAGAAGAAAAGCTGTGCTCTCAAAGATTCCCCAGTGCAGGGTGAGCTGCTGGTGGAGAGGAGCCTGGGGCTGCGGGGAGACCTCCTCGGCACAGGGAGGTCAAACATCCCAGGGCGTGGCTTCACCTCTGCCCCCTGACTCTGCAACCCAGGGCCCCCCGACTCTGCAACCCAGGTCCCCCCGACTCTGTACCCCATGGCCCCCTGACTCTGCACCCCAGGGCCCCCTGACTCTGCACCCTGTGGCCCCCTGACTCTGCACCCTATGCCCCCTGACTGCACCCCAGGGCCCCCTGACTCTGCACCCTACGCCCCCTGACTCTGCACCCCCGGGCCCCCTGACTCTGCACCCTATGGCCCCCAGTCTCTGCACCCTACGGTCCCTGACTCTGCAGTATGGCCCCCTGACTCTGCACCCTGCGCCCCCGACTCTGCACCCCAGGGCCCCCTGACTCTTCACCCTATGCCCCCTGACTCTGCACCCTGCGCCCCCGACTCTGCACCCCAGGGCCCCTGACTCTGCACCCTATGCCCCCTGACTCTGCACCCTATGGCCCCCTGACTCTGCACCTTACAGCCCCCTAACTCTGCACCCTACGCCCCCGACTCTGCACCCTACGGCCCCCTGACTCTGCACCCTACGGCCCCTTGACTCTGCACCCCAGGGCCCCCTGGCTCTGCACACTACGGCCCCCTGCCCTCCCACGCCTGCCCTGGGCAGAGGCGGGCGAGGTTCCTCACACTGCTCCAGGAAAACATGGACATCCTCTGTAAACACAACAGAACGCCAAGTACATCTCCCAGTGCTTCTAGAAAAACGTCGGCCGCCTTCCCACCCCTTCCTTCGCTCCATTGAGGTCACTCATGGGACAGGGTTGGTGTGAGCACCCCAGAGGCCTGCCTGAGACCTGCTGACGGCCCCTCGGCCTCCCCGCCAGCTTCCCAGCTGTGGGTCCCAGGGTCTGAGGCCTCCCACAGCAGCTGGCAGGAGCTGGAACCAGGCCCGGGGCGGCCGATCCGCGGGGGTTGGGCCAGCGAAGGGCACGATGAGGTTTCTCCAAAGGTCCTTGTGCGCCATGACCACACGGAGCCCTTGGGGCCGGCCTCACTCAAGACATAAGTGAATGTGTTTATTGGTTTTGGTCTGAAACAGATGAAAAGCCACCAAAGGGTTTTGCAATAATTAAAACCCAGCCACGCCGGCCGCAGGTGCTGTTTGAGAGGCGGCATCCACAGAGAGGAGCTCTCTCCTGTCTCCCCACAGAGCCCGAATCTGCTTCTGCATGAGAGACAGGAGGCTGTAATTGCAGAGTTAATTAAAAGAATAAAGTGATGACAGCCCCAGGGGCTGCAGAGAACTCAGGGAAATGGCAGATTTGGGACTCAGGGCCCAGGCTCAGCTGCACAGTTGGGGCCACAGGCCGGGATTTGGCCCCCACACACCCAGGGGGAGGCTTCTCTGAGCACTGGAGCTGCCCAGAGCACCGGGTGTGCCGGGAGCCCGGGCAGATGGCGGGGCCAACCCTCATCTCAGGGCCAGTCCTGGTGGCAGCCAACGGGGACCTCACACCAGCGTGATCTGAACAGGGTCAGCACTTGCCAGCCACCTTCGGGTGATGTGGGGCAGACCCCTGGGTGGCTGTTCCCAGGACACAGAGAGCTGACAACCCACGGAGCAAAGAGACCCCTTCGTGCACCCCAGCGCCGGCTCACTCTCAGCCGAGTTCTCAGGGCTTCTGCTGCGCCATGCTGTGGCCAGGGGAGGGCGGGGCCTCTCGTCTGTGTGACCATGGATGCTTGGACTGGATACTTGCCCAGGTACAGGTGCCCTGCCCCTTGGTGCAGAACATTCTGGAACCTCTCCCAGCTTTCAGCCAATGGGCTAAGAAGCCGCACAGCCCTCCCATTGCAGAGCAAACCCACAGCCAGCCAAGGTGTGAGGTGCAGCCAGCGTCGTGGGGCCAAGTGGAGCCATTTTGTGAAGGCCAAGAAGGTCCAGTGTCCACCTGCCAGGCTGTGCAGGAGACCAGGGTGCCCCTGGCCTCTGCCCCAATGGCTTGATGCCGCTGCCTCCCTCCACCCAACCATCTGTCCCTGAGCGAGCCTGGCCCAGGGTCATGGCCAGCACTTGATGAGTGAAGGCGGCTGGGGGTGGGAGCAGGGGGCTCCGGGAGCAGGCTTTCTAGCACACATGACACGTGTCTGCTGCTGTGGCCAGCACAGTGCTGGGGATGGGGGTGGGGCAGGCAGGCAGGGGCTCACAGCTCTGCTCTTCACTGTCCCAGGAGGAAGGTCCAGCATCTCCCAGGTGGTCCCACTGCAGCACATCCCAAGCTAGGACGGGGAGAAGCGGCCCAGTCCCCACCCCCTGGCCCGCACCAGGCCACAGCACCCTGAAGTGTGGGGCAAAGCCTCCCGCTGTGTATCCGCGTGCCCATGTGTCCATGCGTCTGCCTGTCTGTGTGTGTCTGTCTTTCACACACACCCACGCTGACCGGCTCCTGCAGGCTCTGGGAACCGCAGGCATTTCGGGACTGTTCTGTCACTGCCTTTTGCATCCTTATTCAGTAATGGCCATTTTTAGAAACAGCACTAAACCTTTCATTTCTTTACATAAAACCAGAATAATTTTCACAAAGTAGTTGAGGAAGTCCCAAACACATTTGTTTTGTTAACCTAATTTGTATATTTATGATACTTAACCTCATTTAAGAGAAAGTTACTGAGAAAACATTTGTTCTCACAGTTTTCTCCTCCCTTTCTCAGTGGTTTCCATGAAGCGAGCTGCTCTGGCGTCTGAACCCAGCGTCTGCGCCTGCACAGTGCGGTCTTCTGAGCCCAGCTGCTGCCGCGGAGTCCCCCCCTCTAGAGTCCGGCCTGAGCTCTGATCCAGGAGGAGGGAACGGAAAACCCTCCTCCAGCTCCTCTGCTTCTTTGTTACTTATCAGCTAATGTTTCTTTGCGGGGAGCTTAAAACATGATTTTGTTCCTAATATTTCATCCAGTTTTGGAATTTCTATAGAACAACTTCTTTATGATGTGGATCCGTAAATGTCCGCCCCGTGTGTCAGTATTCACAGGCATAATGAATTCCGGGGAAAAATAAATGCTTAAGGCTGGACCGCTGCTCCTTGGAACCAGCCTTCCTCTTTTTTTGAAGGTGAAACCATCCTGTGTTCCTTTCCCTCTGTTGCCCTGTCCATTCTCCAGCCATCTGTTTGTTCGTTCTTCCTCTTCTTGTCCATGCCTGCCAACCACCACCCACCTATCCCTGCACCCACCCATCCACCCACTCATCCATCCATCCCCCACCTACCCCTCCACCCCTCCACCCCTCCACCTCTCCACCCATCCACCCTCCACCCATCCACCATCCACCATCCACCCATCCACCCATCCACCCACTCATCCATCCATCCCCCACCTACCCCTCCACCCCTCCACCCCTCCACCTCTCCACCCATCCACCCTCCACCCATCCACCATCCACCATCCACCCATCCACCCATCCACCCACTCATTCATCCAACATCCATCCATCCATCCACCAACCATCCACCCATCCACCCTCCCCCATCCACCATCCACCCATCCACCCATCCATCCACCCATCCACCATCCACCATCCACCATCCACCCATCCACCCATCCACCCACTCATTCATCCAACATCCATCCATCCATCCACCAACCATCCACCCATCCACCCTCCCCCATCCACCATCCACCCATCCACCCATCCATCCACCCATCCACCATCCACCATCCACCATCCACCCATCCACCCACTCATTCATCCAACATCCATCCATCCATCCACCAACCATCCATCCATCCATCCTCCCCCATCCACCCACCCATCCATCCACCCATCCACCCTCCCCCATCCACCATCCATCCATCCACCCATCCACCCACTCATTCATCCAACATCCATCCATCCATCCATTCCCCACCTACCCCTCCACCCCTCCTCCCCTCCACCCTCCACCCATCCACCCACTCATTCATCCACCCATCCACCCTCCACCCATCCACCATCCACCCATCCACCCACTCATCCATCCACCCATCCACCCTCCATCCATCCACCATCTATCCACCCATCCACCCTCCCCCATCCACCCACTCATCCACCCACTCATCCATCCATCCATCCATCCACCCACCCATCCACCCACTCATCCACCCACTCATCCATCCATCCATCCATCCACCCACCCATCCACCCACTCATCCACCCACTCATCCATCCATCCATCCATCCATCCACCCATCCATCCATCCATCCATCCACCCTCTCATCCATCCACCCGTCCACCCTCCATCCATCCACCATCTATCCATCCCTCCATCCACCCATCCACCCACCCATCCACTCACTCATCCATCCATCCTCCATCCATCCCCCACCTACCCCTCCACCCATTCACCATCCATCCACCCATCCACCAACTCATCCATCCACCCATCCACCCATCCACCCTCCATCTATCCATCCATCATCAATCCATCCACCCATCCACAATCCACCCACCCATCCACCATCCATCCACCATCCATCCATCCACCCATCCACCCACTCATCCATCCATCCTCCATCCATCCCCCACCTACCCCTCCACCCATCCACCATCCATCCACCATCCATCCACCATCCATCCATCCATCCATCCATCCATTCATCCACCCTCCATCCATCCATCATCCATCCATCCATACATCCACCCACCCACCCACCCACCCATCTATCCATCCCCCACCCACCCATATGTCTCCATTTCCCATCTACCCACCTGCCCACCCACCCTTTTACAAGGACCCTCTCCCTGTGGACAGGGGAAACATACAGAGCTGCAGCTGGGAGGGGGAAGAGCAGAGGAGTGGCCAGCCCGAGGAGGGGAGGGTCCCTGAAGCCTGGGAGTCAGGGTACAGATTGGCAGGAGACAGGTTGAAAAGGCAAGTGGGGCTGGGTACACAATGTAACAACAGAAAGAAAATCACTAAGAACCTAGACACTAAGCAGCTTGACCTACCATCTTGACCTACTTGACACACGCTGGACCCTGCACACAGCGGAATGCCACCTTCTCAAGTGCGTGTGTGTGTTCACCCAGCGGAACGCCACCTTCTCGAGCGCATGTGTGTGTTCACCCAGCGGAACGCCACCTTCTAGAGTGGGTGTGTGTGTTCACCCAGCAGAACGCCGCCTTCTCGAGTGGATGTGTGTGTTCACCCAGCGGAACGCCACCTTCTAGAGTGGGTGTGTGTGTTCACCCAGCAGAACGCCGCCTTCTCGAGTGTGTGTGTGTGTTCGCCCAGCTGGAGTGCCACCTTCTCCAGTGTGTGTGTGTTCGCCCAGTGGAACATCGCCTTCTTGAGTGGGTGTGTGTGTTCACCCAGCGGAACGTCGCCTTCTCAAGTGGGTGTGTGTGTTCGCCCAGCTGGTGTGCCACCTTCTCGAGTGTGTGTGTGTGTTCGTCCAGCAGAACGCCGCCTTCTCGAGTGTGTGTGCGTGTTCGCCCAGCAGAACGCCGCCTTCTCGAGTGGGTGTGTGTGTTCGCCCAGCTGGAGTGCCACCTTCTCGAGTGTGTGTGTGTGTTCGCCCAGCAGAACGCCGCCTTCTCGAGTGGGTGTGTGTGTTCGCCCAGCTGGAGTGCCGCCTTCTCGAGTGTGTGTGTGTGTTCGCCCAGCAGAACGCCGCCTTCTCGAGTGGGTGTGTGTGTTCGCCCAGCGGAACGTCGCCTTCTCGAGTGGATGTGTGTGTTTGCCCAGCGGAACGTCGCCTTCTCGAGTGGGTGTGTGTGTTCGCCCAGCTGGAGTGCCGCCTTCTCGAGTGGGTGTGTGTGTTCGCCCAGCGGAACGTCGCCTTCTCGAGTGGGTGTGTGTGTTCGCCCAGCTGGTGTGCCGCCTTCTCGAGTGTGTGTGTGTGTTCGCCCAGCAGAACGCCGCCTTCTCGAGTGTGTGTGTGTGTTCACCCAGCAGAACGCCGCCTTCTCGAGTGGGTGTGTGTGTTCGCCCAGCTGGAGTGCCACCTTCTCGAGTGTGTGTGTGTGTTCGCCCAGCAGAACGCTGCCTTCTCGAGTGGGTGTGTGTGTTCGCCCAGCTGGAGTGCCGCCTTCTCGAGTGTGTGTGTGTGTTCGCCCAGCAGAACGCCGCCTTCTCGAGTGGGTGTGTGTGTTCGCCCAGCGGAATGTCGCCTTCTCGAGTGGATGTGTGTGTTTGCCCAGCGGAACGTCGCCTTCTCGAGTGGGTGTGTGTGTTCGCCCAGCTGGTGTGCCACCTTCTCGAGTGTGTGTGTGTGTTCGCCCAGCAGAACGCCGCCTTCTCGAGTGTGTGTGTGTGTTCGCCCAGCAGAACGCCGCCTTCTCGAGTGGATGTGTGTGTTCGCCCAGCTGGAGTGCCACCTTCTCGAGTGTGTGTGTGTGTTCGCCCAGCAGAACGCTGCCTTCTCGAGTGGGTGTGTGTGTTCGCCCAGCTGGAGTGCCGCCTTCTCGAGTGTGTGTGTGTGTTCGCCCAGCAGAACGCCGCCTTCTCGAGTGGGTGTGTGTGTTCGCCCAGCGGAATGTCGCCTTCTCGAGTGGATGTGTGTGTTTGCCCAGCGGAACGTCGCCTTCTCGAGTGGGTGTGTGTGTTCGCCCAGCTGGAGTGCCGCCTTCTCGAGTGGGTGTGTGTGTTCGCCCAGCGGAACGTCGCCTTCTCGAGTGGATGTGTGTGTTTGCCCAGCGGAATGTCGCCTTCTCGAGTGGGTGTGTGTGTTCGCCCAGCTGGAGTGCCACCTTCTCCAGTGTGTGTGTGTTTGCCCAGCTGGAGTGCCGCCTTCTCGAGTGTGTGTGTTTGTTCGCCCAGCTGGAGTGCTGCCTTCTCAAGTGTGTGTGTGTGTTCGCCCAGCTGGAGTGCCACCTTCTCGAGTGTGTGTGTGTGTTCGCCCAGCGGAACGCCGCCTTCTCGAGTGGGTGTGTGTGTTTGCCCAGCGGAATGTCGCCTTCTCGAGTGGGTGTGTGTGTTCGCCCCGCGGAGCGCCACCTTCTCCAGTGGGCGTATGTGTTCGCCCAGCGGAACGTCACCTTCTCGAGTGGGTGTGTGTGTTCACCCAGCGGAATGCTGCCTTCTCGAGTGTGTGTGTGTGTTCGCCCAGCGGAACGCCGCCTTCTCGAGGGCGAACACCCCAGGTTGGAGGTGGGACCCCGCTTGCTTCCAAGACGACCTTAGAAAGAGGATGAGAGGCGCCTTCTACTTGCAAACACCGAGACTTCCTCTAACGCAGCAGGAACTGAGATACGTGCTGCTGACGAAATGGACAGGAAACGGCCGGGAATTGACCCGCACACACAGTGGGATTGGGGAGGGAGGGGCCCGCAACCCAGGGCCCTGGACCCACGCCGAGTCCCATGGAAAAAGGGCTGAGCCCCACTCCACACCACCCTGGCACTGGCCTGAGGCGCTTGCAGATCTAATGGGAAAGACAAGAGAGAAGCTTCTGGGGAAACCGAGAGACGACTCATCTTTGAGGACTCGCAAAGACAAAGATTTTTAAAAAGAAGGCATAAAAAGAACTGTTTGTAAAGAAACATCAGGAATATTGGACTTCATTAAAATTAGGAATTTTTGATTATTAAAAGGCACCATGATGAGTTACAAAGTAAGCCGTGGCTTTGGGAAAGGTTGTCTGCAGGGCGTGTTGCCATGTGTGTCCGGGTCCAGAAAGCCTGGAGAACTCTATCTCGAGAGAAAGATGACGGATGATCCAGGTAAAACGGCAGCTGAGTCAACAGGTTCTTCCCAGGAGCGGACGGTGGTGGCCAGCAGGCACGTGACACGTTACTTAACGTGTTGAATCACTGAGGAAACGTGGAATGAAAGCACAATGGTGCCGCCAACACCCTCCCCCACGCAGCTAAAATGGAAAGGACCGACGCGCCCCCTACGCGGGTGCGGAGCCCCCGGAACTGGCTATTTTCATGCGGTGTGTGCTGGGACACCCATTTTGGAAAACAGCGTTTGGTGGTGTCTACTGGTGCTAAGCTATGTATATCCCATGACCCGAATTCTAATCCTGGGAAATCACCCAAGAAAAATGAGTACGTATGTCTGCTAAGGAAAGGGACATGAATGTTCTTATCAGTATTTTTCCTAAAAGCCAACATTTGGAAGTGACCTGAATGCTCAGTGTTGGAATGAATGCTTTGGGGCGTACGCACATGGGGAGTGCCACACAGCAATGGAAAAGGGGCCGCCACGGGGAGGGGTTCCACCCCCAGGAGGGCCTGCGACACGGGACCCATTCATGTGACACTCCAGGGTGACCCTGGGCAGGCCCAGGTCTGACGCTTCTGCCTGTGGGCCAGGTGGCTAAAAACGGGAAGTGTGAAGCCCCAGCCACCTGCACGCCGAAGGTGCAGCTCTGCTGCTGCTGAGTCCAGCCCAGCAGCCACGGCTGTGGGAAAACCCTCCCCAAATCAGGGTCTGGCCCACCCCTCCAAATGGGCTCCTGGATGAGGATGGGTGCCTGGAAGCTGGAAGAGAAACAGCGTGAGGCAGAGAGAGGCTCAGTGGCCCTGCCAAGCCACCCATAGGCCGTTCTGGCCAGTGGGGCCACCTTGCTGTCTGTGAGGAGGGGGTGAGGCCAGGTGGCGGGCCATTCGACTTTCAGCAGGAAACCCCGTCTCTGCAGCCGGCACCCGGGTGGAGGCGAGGGTCACGGTGGAGGCCTCGGATTCAGGATTCAGCATGAAGGGGAGCGTGGCCCACCTCGAGCCACAGAACATTCTTGGACAGAACTTTTGTTGGTGCCCTAAATCTAAACAGCTAAATAAGAATATTTTTTAAGCAGCAGCATATTTAACCTTTAGAGATGATTGAGCTCTTAATGGGGTTCAGCTGTGAGACTGGACTCTGACGTGGGCTTTGTTTCTGAGAGCCTTTGTCTTCCCCTGTGCACGGAGCACGCAGCTGCCCCAACACGGAACATCACCTGTGCACTCACTGCACGCCGGGCAGGGCGGCTGGTCAAGGGGCCTGAGCCTGGAGACGAGTGTGGAGCCTGGAGCACCTGCAGGGCCCTCACCTGGCTTAGGAGGGCACAGAGGAAGGAAGCGTGGGTGCCTATGGGTGGCCCCCGCCGGGAGGGCACAGGACTGACAGGGGAGGCTGGTGTCCTGAGACTTGAGGAGGGGAAAGGCCTGACCCAACCGTGGAGGCCTGGGGTGCTGGCTGGGGGGCTTGAGATTGACCTGGCTGGCAACTGGGGGTCATTAGGGGCAGCTGAGAGGGGGCGGCAGGCTCAGCTTTGTGCTGGGAGTCCCAGGGACAGGGCCACACATGGCGTGCCTGGCAAGAGGCAGGCGGTGTGACTCGATCGGCCATGGACCACCCTGTCAGTGTGCCCAGAGGTCGAGGACCTTGGCCTGTGTTGCAGACCCGGCCAGCCGGCCACAGGTGGTCCCACCCTCAGTGAAGGGGCAGGCCCTCCCCAGCCTGCAGCAGGCTGGTCTGGGCTGCAGGGTAAGCCGGATCAGCTGCACTCTCTCGGCGCCTGTGGGCTCCCCAGCGAGGCTCCCTGCCCAGCCCTCGGCCCTCGGCCCTCGGGGAGGCCAGTGGTGGGCAGACTGGGAGCTGCAGCCATCCCTGGGGCTCATGGGGAGGGTTTCCCTGAGGCGGTGGCGTCGGGGGTCCTGCTTGCCCACCCTCCTGACCCGTGGCCTTGCTGGGCCTCTGGAACGGCCAGTTTGGTGCCAGCTGTGGAGCTTTCTTTCGTCTGGAAGTCACCAGAACCATCCGCTACCGAGCCCACCTGCTGTCTGTGCAAAGGTGTTGCATGGGGAGTCTCCGAAGAGGCCGTGCAAGTCTCCCTGCACTGGGCCCGACTGGGGCGGGGCGGGTGTGAACCTGCCGGAAGTTACTGCCGGGTGTCTCCTGGCTCCCAATCCTAATTTCCTGCTTGGTGGGCACCGCAGGCTGTCAGGCTGGGGAGGGGTCCTCCTGCCACCCAGGCTGGCCGCCCACCTGCCCACATAGACGGAGACCAGGAGCCTGGGGCGGAGGAACGACCTTGAAGCCCCAGCTCGTGTACATTAGGGGGTGTCTTTACTACACTGTGTAGCGTGAAAGACGGAAAGTGAATGTGGTGTGTTCGTTTCTCTGGAAGTGAGCTGGCACGGCGGGCAGGTGACTTTGGAAGACCTCTGTTTCCCTGCACATAAAATCGAGCAGGTCCCCGGCCCCGGCCACACACACAGAGCCGGATTGTTCCTTCAGGATGAGGAGCAAAGATCTGGGCAGAGGCTGTGTGTGTGGGCAGCAGCCACCAGAAGTCCCTCAGGGTGGACTGGATGCCCCCAGACCCGTGTCCCTCAGGGAGGGCCCTGAGACCCAGGCTGAGTGGGGGGTGGGCAGCTGCCAAATTCGGGTGGAGTCCCCCCGCCCTGCCCCCTTGGCACCTGGAGGTGCTCAACACAGTAAGGACACATGTGGAAGCGCGGAGCCCTGGCTACAATCTGGGAGTCCAGCCCCTCTGGACAGAAGGCCCAGCTCCCTCCACTTTCCCCAGGTAATTTAAAATCACTATGTTCACCTGGGGCTGAGAGAGCTCTATATCTTAGGGAAAGGTAAATCCCACTTTAAATTCCACTAAGCATTTGGGAAGAAATAAAAAGAAAAGACATGGAAATGGAGGCCGGGCGTGGTGGCTCACACCTGTAACCCCAGCAGTTTGGGAGGCCAAGGTGGGTGGACACTTGAGTCCAGGAGCTCGAGACCAGCCTGGGCAGCATAGCAAGTCCCCAGCTCTACAAAACATAAAAAATTATACTCAGGAGGCTGAGGCAGGTGGATCACTTGAGCGTGGGAGGTCGAGGCTGCAGTGAGCTGAGATTGCGACACTACACTCCAGCCTGGGCCACAGAGCAAGACCCTGACTCAAGAAAAGGAAAAAGAAATGGAAATAAAGGTAACGGGTGCTGCTGACTCCAGACAAGACTTGGGACATCCCACGGTGACGACACAAAGTGACAGGAGCAGGAGTGGCCCCTCTGTGTAAAGGGCTGGTGAAGAGGCAGTGGGTGAGGCTGGATGACATTTTGAGTTCAATCAGCAATTTAATCGATGATATTAACAGAGCCATGATATGCAAGGGAGGAGGGCTGACCACACACATCAAAGTCCTCCACCTCCCACCCCCCAAAAGGCTGGTGATGGGGTGACAGTGTCAGTCAAGGCTGCAGGCCCCACGCCCTGAGGAGGCCGGGAGGGGCACCCCGGGAGTGCCGGCTTTAGCAGTGTCCAGCCTCTGATGGCAAAACACAGAAAAGGTGCATGGAAGACACAGGAGCTTAGGGGGCAAAAGGAAGCTCCTTCCCCAAGCAAACAAAACCCACAGAAGCCAAACCCTTCATAAGAGCACGAGGGTTGGATGATGTTAGAACCACAAACCAAAACCAAGATGTGAGCAGGAAAGAGAAGTCAGAGAAAGAAGGAGCTCTCTGAAATAAAAAATTAAACTGTGGGAGTGAGAAACGTCCTGTGGAGGGGCTGGGAGGAAATCCCAGGAAATTCCCAGAAAGGAGAGGGCGAGGCTGCTGCAGCGCTGACCCAGGGGCCACCACCCAGGCAAGCAAAGGAACGGAGGGGAGGGAGGAAGTGAGGACGGGAACTTCCACACCCGAGGGCATGAAGAGCCCCCCCAAGGAAAACCACCAACCCACAGGCACCACCACAAACGGCAGAGGAGACTCCAGAGGAGGCAAGGGAGCACCTGCAGGCCCCTCACCTGCCTGGTCCCTCACCTGCACATACTCTCACCTGCAGGGCCCTCACCTGCCCAGTCCCTCACCTGCACATACCCTCACCTGCCCGGTCCCTCACCTGCACATACTCTCACCTGCAGGGCCCTCACCTGCCCAGTCCCTCACCTGCACATACCCTCACCTGCGGGGCCCCTCACCTGCCCGGTCCCTCACCTGCACATACCCTCACCTGCCCGGTCCCTCACCTGCACATACTCTCACCTGCCCGGTCCCTCACCTGCACATACCCTCACCTGCCTGGTCCCTCACCTGCACATACCCTCACCTGCCCGGTCCCTCACCTGCACATACCCTCACCTGCCCGGTCCCTCACCTGCACATACCCTCACCTGCGGGGCCCCTCACCTGCACATACTCTCACCTGCCCGGTCCCTCACCTGCACATACACTCACCTGCACATACCCTCACCTGCCCGGTCCCTCACCTGCACATACCCTCACCTGCCCGGTCCCTCACCTGCACATATCCTCACCTGCCCGGTCCCTCACCTGCACATACCCTCACCTGCCCAGTCCCTCACCTGCACATACCCTCACCTGCGGGGCCCCTCACCTGCCAGGTCCCTTACCTGCACATACCCTCACCTGCCCGGTCCCTCACCTGCGGGGCCCCTCACCTGCCCGGTCCTTCACCTGCACATACTCTCACCTGCCCTGGGGCCACAGGCACCAGAGCCTGGCTTCTTATCTAGGGGCATGAGGTTCTGAGAACCAATCCATTAAGTTTGTGGCAGAACGAGGACTGTGTGACTTGTAAGGACACAGAAAATGTATCTCCTGATACACCATTTCTCAGAAAGTGCCTTGGGTGATTCCTGATGAATAGGACTAAAAGTCGCTCTTCCCAGGCCCTGGATAAACAAAGTCAAAATCAAGGCACAGCCCACAGGTGGGAGCCAGGGAGGAGCCTGTGGGGGGTGGAGGGGGATTTGCACTCACTCAGCCTTGCCCTCCTCTCCAGGAAGTGCACACCTGCCCTGCCCTCCTCCCTGTGAAGGGCATGGGTTGGGGTGAAATCACCTGCTCCCTCCTCTGCTCAATGCTCCAGGTTGGAAGGGGCCGTGGGGCCCCTGTGCTGGTCACCTGATGCTCGGCCCCTCCTGCATCCGAACTGCACCTCCACCCGCCGGTCGCTGCTGACCTCAGCCCTTCAAAGCTGTCCTCCAGTTGGTCTGGGGCTGCCTCATCCTGCTGGGGTTCCTCCTCCCGCCCTCCTCACCTGCCTCTGCACCTGCCACAGGGCATCACCACTTGCGGGTGAAGCCAGCCTCCTGGGAGGGAGGCCCTGAGCTGATGGGTTGTCCACCGGTGCAGGCGCACAGGCTGGGCTCACACAGGCCCCAGGAGTCTGTGGCAATGCCCTGGAGTCCCCGGAGCCTGGCACTGTCTGGATATCCATGACGGCCACTCCTCTCCTCGGGCCTGAGCCTGCCCCACCCCGGAAGGGCTGCCCCCCGGGTCCCCTGTGGCTGGGCATCCAGACCCACTCTCCCCTTCATGTCTGATGTGCCCCCTGCCCCCAGGCACGTGCAGGAAGAAGCACAGAACGTGGCTGGCACCCGCCCTGAGGCCCGGCTCTGTTCCCATCTTCTCTTTTCCTAAAGAGCGGCAAGGGAGCCTGTGACCCGTGGCCACGTGGCTGCCCCCTTGGACCCGCGGCCGCTGGGTGATGGATTCCTGGCTGGCCAGAGGTTTCTTGGCCATGTGGCCTGGACAGCTGCCCCTCCCTTCATCTCGGGCCTCAAAGTCTCCAAGTGACGTGCAAAGGCAGTGGAAAATTATTTCGGACAAGGTTTTCACCAAGGTCGATATCATTTATTTTATTCCTTCTAAATTAGCCCTTTCAGCTGAAAACCTTTTGCAAGGATGTCCTAGACAGATGGAGACAGATGATGTTCTCACCCTCCACCCCCTGCAGGCTTCTCTCCCATCCTCTTTTCCTGTGTCCTGGGCTCCAGCACAGGTGCTGGGGCCTGGTGTGGACGATGAGCTTGTGGACGGCCAGTGTGCGGGCAGTAGGTCCCCATGACATAGCCTTCTCTGTGGGGGCCATTCTCATGACCTTGGGTCCTGGGCCTGTGGCCCCCAGTCCCCCGGCTCCCCAGCTGTGAGGCCATGCCCAGGCCATCTCTGAGAGAGTCTGCCGGTCTGACGGCCGGTGCTTATCAGGGGGGCTCTGAGGGGCCAGAGCTCACTGGGCAGCCTGCAGCCTCAGGCCTGTGCCCTGGGGGCCACGTCCATTCTGCTTTCGGAAGCTCCCAGGACCCTTACATCTAACAAAGAGCCTCATGTGTGGCTTTGGCCCACGCAGCGGGGGAGGCCAGAGAGCCTCCTCATGGCTCGACGTGGAGACCACAGCCCCTCTCAGCTCCAACAGCACCTGCACCCACAGGTCCTGTGTGGCCAGCTCACCTCCCAAGCTGGATGCAGACCCTCTCCTCACCACTGTTCCCAGACCCCTCTCACCCCACTCTCCAGAACCCCATCCACTCCCCTCCCTCTGAGAGGGCCTGGACCTGCCTGCATGGGGCCAGCCTTGCTGTCCCTTGGCCACAGCAGCTGAGCCTGCCCAGCCATGGAAGATGCCATCCTGGGTTCTCTGTCTCTCCTTTAGCCTCCTGGCTTAATTACATAGGCTGGACGGTGCTCTCAGCCCTCAGGAAGCCACATCGTGGCAGCTCTCAGCTCCACATTCCTGCAGGGGCCTCTTGTTTCCTCAGTGAGGTCATTCAGGAGTGGCAGGTCCTCTCCCAGGGGGTCTCACTGCACAAAAAGCAGTTTCTATGAGGATTACACAGAGATGCAGAGCAAATGCTGTCCCCCACATGCCAGCACAGGAGACCACAGCCTGTCCTGGGGGCACTTAGAAACCAGGGAGACCCTGGCCGTGCACGGTGGCTCACGCCTGTAATCCCAGCACTTTGGGGGGCCGAGGCAGGTGGATCACCTGAGGTCAGGAGTTTGAGACCAGCCTGGCCAACATGGTGAAACCCCATCTCTACTAAAAATATAAAAAATTAGCTGGGTGTGGTGATGGGCACCTGTAATCCCAGCTACTTGGGAGGCTGAGGCAGAATTGCTTGAACCCAGGAGGTGGAGGTTGCAGGGAGCCGAGATCGCGCCATCGCACTCCATCCTGAGCAACAGAGCAAGACTCTGTCTCAAACAAACAAACACAAAAACAAAACAAAACAAAACAAAACAAACAAAAAAAAAAAAGAAAAGAAAGGAAAAAAGAGAAACCAGGGAGATCCAGGGAGTCACAGCAAAGGCCCAGGGCAGAGGGGAGGTTTCCTTCTTCTGCCCTGCCCTGCTTACCCCCCAACCCCAGGAGGCTTCCTCAGGAAGCTACACCTGCTGTGCACACGCGGTCAGGACTGAAGGTCTGAAAAGGATTCCAGTGCTTAGCCGTGTGGCTGTTGCCTGGGAACATGGGACCAAGGTCAACCTCTCTGTGGACTTGTCCAGGTGCTAGAAGCCAGGTGAGCAGCAGAAACCTTTCTCCTCACAGACGCTCAGCGTGCCCTCTCTGCGGCATCTGGAATAAATCAGACTCTTGTGTCATTAATGTGACCGTGGGGTGTGTGGCTGTGGGAAGCTCCATCTGAGACCCCATCTGTCCATCCAAAACCCCATCTGTCTATTCAAGATGCTGTCTCCCTATCTGACACCACATCTTTCTGAAAACCCATCCGATCATCTCACTCATTTGTTCATATATGACCACACATGTCCCTCCAAGATTCCATCTGCCTACCTGAGACCCCATTAAGCCATGAGTGACCACATCTGTGCACCAAAGACTCCATCTGCTCATCTGAAGCCTCAGTGCCCATTCCTGGTCCTCTCTGTCCACCTGAGATCCTGTCTGTTCATCTGAGACGCCATCTGTCCATTTGAGACCCTATCTGTCTGTCCAAGAACCCATCTGCCCATGTGACCCCCTGATCTGTCATCTATGACTTCATCTGTTTATCTGAGATACCATCTGTTCATCTGAGACCCTATTTGTCATCTGTGACCCCATCTGTCCAGTTAAAACCCCAGCTGCTCATTCATAACCCCATATACCTACGCGAGAGCCCACTGTTCACCCGTGATCCCATCTGCCCATCATTGACCCAGTCGGCCCACTTGACACTTGTCTGTTCATCTGAGACCCCATCTGTCTGAGAACTCATATGTCCATCCCACTCCATCTGTTCATCTGAGACTGACCACTGAGATCCCATCAGCTCATCTGTGACCCCATCTGTTCATCTGAGATCCCATCAACTCATCTGAGATCTCATCAGTTCATCTGTGATCTCATCAGCTCATCTGTGACCCCATCTGTTCATCTGAGATCCCATCAACTCATCTGAGATCTCATCAGTTCATCTGTGATCTCATCAGCTCATCTGTGTCCCCATCTGCCCATCTAAGATCCCATCAGCTCATCCGTGTCCCCATCTGTTCATCTGAGATCCCATCAGCTCATCCATGTGCCCATCTGCCCGTCTGAGATCTCATCAGCTCATCCGTGTCCCCATCTGCCCGTCTGAGATCCCATCAGCTCATCCATGTCCCCATCTGCCCGTCTGAGATCCCATCAGTTCATCCATGTCCCCATCTGTTCATCTGAGATCCCATCAGCTCATCCGTGTCCCCATCTGTTAATCTGAGATCCCATCAGCTCATCCGTGTCCCCATCTGTTAATCTGAGATCCCATCAGCTCATCCGTGTCCCCATCTGTTCATCTGAGATCCTACCAGCTCATCCGTGTCCCCATCTGCCCATTTGAGATTCCATCAGCTCATCCGTGTCCCCATCTGTTCATCTGAGATCCCATCAGCTCATCCGTGTCCCCATCTGCCCGTCTGAGATCCCATCAGCTCATCCATGTCCCCATCTGCCCGTCTGAGATCGCATCAGCTCATCCATGTCCCCATCTGCCCGTCTGAGATCCCATCAGCTCATCCATGTCCCCATCTGTTCATCGGAGATCCCATCTGCTCGTCTGTGACCCCATCTGCCCATCTGAGATCCCATCAGCTCATCCGTGACTCTATCTTTTCATCTGAGATCCCATCAGCTCATCCGTGACTCTATCTGTTCATCTGAGATCCCTTCAGTTCATCTGTGACCCTATCTGTTCATCTGAGATCCCATCTGCCCATCTGAGATCTCATCAGCTCATCCATGACCCCATCTGCACATCTGCACATCCTATCAGCTCATCTCTGACCCCATTTGCTCATCTTAGACACCATCTGCCCATCTGAGATCTCATTAGTTCATCCATGATCTCATCTGTTTATTTGTGACCCCATCTGCCCACCTGAGACCCCATCCACCCATCTGAGAGCCCATCTGCTCCCCTGTGCTGGGGCAAATAACCCCAAGGCTGGATGCTCGAGTCAGGTCCCAAGCATGAGCTGCCTTCCCTGATTCATCTGCCTGTGCAAGGCCCTGGGGTTCATGGCTGGGCCCAGGTCTGCTCACAGGTCATGAGGTCATGGCTGGGTCCTGTGTGGGGTCACGGGGTCATGACGAGCTGGGACCACGGCCCAGGGTGACACCTGTCTCCTCTCTGACACAACATGCTTCAAACAGTTAGAAGGGGGCAGCCAGGTGACCTCAAGGCAGGGTAACACCTCAAGTTTCTTGGGGGTCTCTGAAGGTGGGAGGGGCTGTCAGCCATGCAGATTCCTGGGGCCCTTCCTTGGCCGCTGCTTCTGCAAGGCTGGGGTGAGGCCTAGAATGTGTGCTGCAAATGGGCCCCTGGTGGCTCTAGGCAGGCTCTTGATCTGGCTCGTTAGGTGCTGGGCTGGGGTTCAAAGCAGAGGCAGAAACCAGACCCTCCAGCCTGAGGGCTGAGGGCGCGTCTGGCTCTGCCCACCACATCTCAGGAGAGGAAAGGGCCCCACGCTGCTGGGGGCTTCCCACCTGAGTGGGGAGGAGCTGGGTGCTGGTGAGGCCCCTAAGGCAGCTAGAATGGCAGGCCCAGGACACTGGCCTCGGACGCTCCCGGGGGAGCAGTGTGAATATCACACAGGTTCTCTGCGATGTGGCACCCCCGTGAGCTGCCTTGCCCACCGGGAGCCTGATGTGTAAATGCACAGCCCCAGGCTGGCCGGGAGAGAACCCCAGCTCCCGTCTGACACCCCCAAGACACAGCACCAGCGGCTGGGCCCGCCCGCTCCAGCAACCGGGGCTCTCAGGCAGCAGGTTGGGGGCAGAGCGTGTGATATGGTTTGGCTCTGTGTCCCCACCCAAACCTTACCTGGAATTGTATTATAATAATCCACACGTGTCAAGGGAGAACCCAGGTGGAGGTCATTGAATCGTGGGGATGGTCTCCCCCATGCTGTTCTCACCATGGTGAGTGAGTCTCATGAGAGCTGATGGTTTTATAAGCGTCTGGCATTTCGCCGGCTGGTTCTCGTTTTGTCTCCTGCCACCCTGTGAAGAGGCACCTACTGCCATGACTGTGAATTTCCTGAGGCCTCCCCAGCCCTGCAGAACTGTGAGTCAATTAAACCTCTTTCCTTTATAAATCACCCAGTCTTAGGTATTTCTTATAGCAGTGTGAGAATGGACGAATACAGAGTGTGTCCTGGTTGGGGCAGGGCGGTCTCGGTGTGAGAACAGATGAACACAGCGTGTGTCCTGGGGGCGGGTAGGGTGGTCTCGGTGTGAAATGGATGAATACAGTGTGTGTCCTGGTTGGGCCTCCAACAAGGAGGCCTCCTCAGGGAGCTGCTGGGCCTCTGTCTGTAGCCTGGGGGAGTCAGTGCTCCGTCCTGGGAAGTCCAGCGGTTAGATTTTAGTTGCAGGTCCTGCCACACGGGAACACACTTCAGGGCTGGGCAGGGCTCTCGTCAGCTTTCCTCTTTTCCTCTGAAAACCGTGATGGAGAAAGTGATTTCAAATAACCTGGAATAATCTTGCTCTAATTTAGCACGCACTGTTAGGCTGGCAATTTCTTAAGAGGAACATGATTTGGTTCCACGTGAAATCTGCATTTGAATGAGGAGATAACTTACTCTGACCTCGGTGCTGGAGTCGGCACAGCGAGGCGGCCAACCTCCCAGCAGGACCCGCATCCCCACCCATCCCTGTTTCCAGGCCTGCTGGACTTCCGTGGTCAGTGTTGATGCGGGGCCACTGCTGTGAGTCTGGAGAGGACAAACGAGTGTGGAAGGGGCTTGGTGTTCTGTTCCCTAGAACGGAGCCATGGAGCTGCTGAGCCTGTAGAACGGAGCCATGGAGCTGCTGAGCCTGGTCCCAGAGGCAGTGTGGGGATCCAGATGCCAGTGCCCAGGACAGCACATCAGGACAGGAATCCTGACACCAGCCCCCGGGACCCCACATCAGTGTGGAGATTCAGACACCAGTGCCTGGGACCCCCACATCAGGACAGGAATCCTGACACCAGAGCCTGGGACCCCACATCAGGACAGGAATCCTGACACCAGCGCCTGGGACCCCCAAATCAGTGCGGGGATTCAGACACCAGTGCCCGGGACCCCATATCAGTGCAGGAATTTAGACACCAGCACTGGGACCCCAGCTGAATTGCCGTCCAGCCTGATAAAAGCATATGGGGGCGGCCTGCAACCTGGCAAGGCTGCTGCCTTTCCAGCTCCAAGCATCTGCCCCCTGCCCTCCTCCTCATCAGAAAGCATTGGGTGGCAGAAAGTCCCAGCCCAGCAGCCGGCTCCAGGCTGGGGAGGGAACCTGCAGCCCGGCCCCGCCTGTCCTGCGGAGCAGCTGTCAGTGGGGACCTCCCCCACCCAGAGCCACCGCCCTCCCTGCCTCGGAGGCCAGGCCCTCGGTCAGGCCAACAGCCCTGGCCCCACAGCAAGCGCATCGTGTCCTGGTCGATCTGTCCATCAAGTTTTTGTTCTCTGGGGACTTAGACCAGATTGAACTGGGAGTGCCAGCCCCTCTTCCTGTCCACCTGAGGCTCACAGCTGCCTGCTGGTGTGGAGGTGGGGGCTTAGGGCCCTTTGCACGGATGGGAACTCCCTCATTTCATGTGGTGGGGGTGGGCAGCTCTGTGGACAGAGGCCCTGAGAGCTGCTCGGGAGCGCTGACTGCCTCGCCCATGCCCTGAGGCTGTGCCCGCTGGTGCTGGGAGGAGCCCTGCCCCATCCACGATCTCTCCGAGCCATCACGGCCCCGGAAGCTGGGCTGAATGGGTCTCCAGGAAGGGCCAGGGAGGGTGGCTAAGCCTCTGCAGCATGGCCGGCCTTTGGGACCACCTGTCCACCCAGGGCCGGTTTCCTGGAGCTGGGGCTCAGCCACCCTCCCTGGCCCTGCTGGCTTGGGGAGATCGTGGATGGGGCCAGGCCTCTCCCAGCGCCAACAGGCACTGAGCTGGGAGGTGCAGCCTCGGGAGGCGGGCCCATGGTGGGGTCCTCGCTTCCTGGTCTGCTGAGGGCCCTCCAAACCGCACATGGCCCCTCTGGGGCTTGCAGAGCCTATACCGAGAGGACTCTCAGGAGAGGAACCCAGAGCTGGAGAAGAGAGTCCAGGCCAGACCCTGGAACCAGTGCTGCTGGTAGGTCCGCAAGGCGGTGGAGGCAGAGACTCAAGGAGAAACCTGCAGCAGGGCCCCCACCCCTGCTGTGGGGCAAGGTCCCTGCCAGGCTGGGCCGGCCTGAGGTGCCTCAGAAGGGCCTTTGTGCCAGGCACTGTCTGCCGTGTTGGAGGAGCTGGGCCGTTCCGTGGCTGTGGCCAACATGACCCTCACCATCAGTCAAGGGAAGAAGGACGTGAACAAGTCTCTCCAGGGTACATTGAGGTTAACACGCTGGCTTCTCCCTTCCCCTCGGCCCCCAGGGAGCTCAGGGGTGAATGAAGGCCCAGTCAGTCCCTGGGTTAGCTGGTTTGCCTATTGATTCAGAAGGATGAACGGGGCTGACGGGCGGCGGGCAGAGCCGGTAACTTCACAACCACCTGCGTTTGCACAGCAGAGCCGTGTGAATGAGCATCTGCTCCACGCCTCCCGGGAAGAGGCTGGACACTGGCATTCCTGGCGCAGAGGAAACCAACAGACTCTGGATCTGCTTTGGGAGGTGGACACGGAGGTTCTCACTCTGGGTAGAACTGGGGAGACAGGAGAGAGAATGCTCCTCTTTCCTGCTGCAGTCCCGTGTGAGTCCAGCCCCCGGGTTACAGGAGACGGGCTTCAGCGCGTGGTGATGGGGGCCTGGGGGCTTGGCTCCATGGCTGCTGCTCCCTGCGTGGGTGGGGTGGGGGTCCCGGGTGGGGTGTGGGGTCAGGGCTGCGGAGCTATGGAAAGTCTAGAGTCTGTGGAGCAAGCTCCGGAGTGGGGTGTCTGTTGCAGGCATGGCCCCGTCTTCTTCCTGTGTGACCCCCTCTCTGTGGATGCCCCTTGCTCCTCTGGACCCCGCTGTCCCCTCTCTGCTCACACATTTGACACCGGGGGTCCTGTCCTCTCTCACCCCATGCCCTGCGCCCAGGAGCATCCGGCTGAGGGAGGTGGGCAGCGGTGTCCTCCCCTCCTCTGCCTGCTGTTCTGGGAAAGCAGCTGGGGAAGGGCCTGTTTCTTGTCTGTCAGAACTGGAGGAAACCACCACATCAATGGATGATGAGAAAGGACAAGTAGACATGTTCAGGAGTATTTAAGCTGCTGTGAAGACGGGAATGTGAACGGCAGAGCTTTTGCATTTTCAGGACACAGGGAGGCTCTGTGTCCCTGGTGGGGTCGGCAGGGGTGAGGTCCAAGCCCACGTGTCCCACAGCTTCCTCCTGCTGCCTCCACCCTCCGGGCCACAGAGCTGCACCTGCAGGTGGGACCTGCAATCCGGAGCCTGGGCCCCTGTGGAGGCCGGGGCCTCTCTGCTGCCAGCTCTGCACCAGCAGCACCTCTATGGGGGGCACAGGTCGTGCGGTGCAGGGTGGGGTTCCCAGCAGCTGCCAAGAGCACTTCAGATGCCTGTACTCTGAGCCCGGGTCACGGGGCAGGAGCAGAGTCCCTGCTGCCTCTGAGCTGAATCAGGAACCGTCTCAGCTCAGGCTTCCTGGTGTGCAGTCGACATTCGGAACTTAGAGAAGAAAGTTCCCGCTCTGGCCCTGGTGAGCTCCTTCCTCTCTCCTGTCCACACGTGAGTGGCCTCTTAATCATTTGCCCGATGTTAGAAACAACTGAACAGAGCCAGTGGCTGGGTGCAGGGTGGCCTTGAGCAGGCCAGGGAGGGACAAGGCAGGAACAGGCCCCCGGGTCTGTGCTCCCTGCTGGGGGTTCAAATGCATCTAGCAGCTGGAGCTGACGCTTCCGAACTGTGGGCAAAAGGCCTCACTGAGCGACAGAGGCCACACCGGGAAGATGTCGCTGCTGCGGGTGGCGTGATGTCACTGACAGATGGCCCCGTCGATAAATATCAACATCAGCATCACAGTCTCTAGAGTTGGTTCTGCACTGACAGGCGGAGAGCCACGGTGCGTGCAGAGGCCGCTGCTCGCACAGCCGCACCTGAGAAGCCTGAGACGTAGCTGACGGGGCTACGCGCAGGCAGGAGCCGTGCTGCCGGCACCGTTGGCCGGTGACACTGGAGGGGGGCGGCTGAAGTGCGCGGTCGGCCTCTGCAGGGAGAGGACGTTACTTCGGGTGCAGGAGGCCACATGCTGGTCACGCGTCAGAATCTGAGAGCCTCGCACGGGCCGGGGGTGGGGGATGCTGGGCCCTGCAGTCCTGGAGCTGTGGCCAGGCGTCCATACCCCGGTCCTGACAGTGGGCAGTGGGGGCCCGAGGGCCGGGTGTGCACTGGGCAGGCTCTATCCCGAAGGACTCCAGGCGTGGACCACGTCAGAGCCGAGGTGGGGGCTGGCCAGAGCCAGCTGCAGGAAGGCAGCATCACAAGGTGGCTTCTGAGGCCCTGAGTAGAAAATAATCAAAATTCAGAACTGACAGAGACGGAGCGATGCACACAGGCCTCAGCGGATCGTGCTTCCCTGTGCTCCTGCATGGGGAGGCTTCCGGAAAGGTGTGACTGGAGGGGACACCTGCGGGGGCACCTGGAAAGGATGCCTGGGGGGACGCCTGGGAGGACACGTCGGGGGGACACTGAGACTCTTGGGTGGTGACAGCTGCTCCCCAAGAACTGCCCAACTCTGCCCAGGACGCCCTGGTCAAATCCTTTGGGATCGAGCTCTGAAGGAGAAAACCATCTCTGTGCTTGTGACACGGAAATAGTTGCATCGTTCTCAAATCTGTGACTCCTTGATCCAACCAAACCCTCGCTTTGGGGCTTTCCCAGCCACTGGTCTCTGAGGCGAGCCGAGCTCTCCAGACTTCTTCTCCAGGGAACAACAGAAGCTCCAGTTTGCTGGAGCTGCCCCCTTCCTGGTGACCGATTCCTGAGCCAGCCCCAAATCAGCCTCGTGCAGTACCCCCTGCATTCCGTTAGCCTGGGCACTGAACAATAATGCATGGAAGGCTTTTTTAAAAATTAATTTCAAGCTTCATTCCTTGATTTGAACTTAATTTGCTAAAGCAGTTTTCATTTGAAGATGCTCTCCTCCCATGAAAAAAGCAAAACCAAAAAAAAAAAAAAAAAGAGCTAATTTATCTCTGACATGAATAGAGCTTTGAAGAGTCCAGCGACTCAGCTGGGAGATGGGACAGGGCGGGAGGTGCAGGAGGAGCCTCCGAGTCCCTGATTGGGATGCACCTTATAGGCCACAGTGGCAGGGACCTCGACGCATGGAATTGCGTCTTCACTTCAATGGCAACTTTAATTAGTGCACATTTAGCTGGCAGTTTGGGAGCAGATTCAATTAAGTGCTCCGCCGGTTCTGAAGAGGCCTCATGCTGCTGAGAGTGCCAGGCATGGAGTTAGAATCAGGTGAAGGAGCTGTTTTCCTCGTTCGGGGGCCCAGGACCACCAGCATGGGGGCTATGCTACGGGCGGGGGAGAGCAGATGCCCCGTTCCGAGGTCCAAGAGCCTTTGGCGGTGGAGCAGGTCATGGAAGGGACTTGCTGTGAGAACCACCTGAGCAGCCCCAGCTGGCCCCCAGGCGGCTGTCATCAGAGTTTGAATTTCACTCCTCAAGATAACGCCCAAGCAGGCTGGACTTGCAGGAGACAGCTCCAGGAAGTCAGGAGGGCAGAACCCGGGTGGCTGGGCTGAGCACCAAGGCTGGAGACCACGCATGGGCGACTGTGACTGCCTGGCGGGAATCTTTCAGGAGACTCCTGCTTAAAAGAACAGCGAATGCCCCACTGTGTCCTGCGGCTTTGTCTTCCTTTTACTTTTGAAGCTTAACACATCCCTGCAGAGTAATCTAGAATGTCCTGGCATGTACGATTGCTCCAGGAAGCGAACACCTGCCAGGCGCCAAGTCCCTTGGGGCCGTCCTCGGGTGGGGAGCAGCGAGGCGCTTTCATGTGGAGCCTGTGGCGACTTTCTGTCTTGGGGAGGAGAGGAGTCACATGCACACCCGCTGTATACACTCACACATGCACACACAGATGCACACATGCATGCACACACAGGCACACACATGCACGCATGTGCACACATACACACACATGCATGTGCACACACATTCACATGCACACTCATGCACACATGCACACACGTATGCACACATACACTCAGATGCACACATGCAGTCACCTGCACTCACCCACGTGCGCACATGTGCGCACACATGCACACACATGCACACGCTCCCATGCATGTACACACACACTCACCTGCACTCACACACATGCACGCACACATTGTGATCGTCTTGCTCCCCCCAGAGGGCAGCTGAATGTAGTTTCTGAGTGAGTGGACCTTGGATGTTGGCTACCAGGGCCAGGCCTGGAGCTCCCGGTGAGCAGGACAGGGCTGCATGCAGAGAGGAAGCTTTCATGTGTTTTCTGAGCAGCAGGAAGGTGGGTGTTACCACAGCTCAGGGCACCTCAGTGTCTGGGCATGGACCAGCCCTGTGTCCTCAGTATCTCGGCGTCGACCAGCCCCGTGTCCTCAGTGTCTGGGCGTGGACCAGCCCCGTGTCCTCAGTGTCTGGGCGTGGAACAGCCCCGTGTCCTCAGTGTCTCGGTGTGGACCAGCCCTGTGTCCTCAGTATCTAGGTGTGGATGAGCCCCGTGTCCTCAGTGTCTCGGCATGGACCAGCCTCATGTCCTCAATCCACGGCTTGACTCCTCGTGTCACAGCTGATGTTTTCTCCCCACATTTCTGGGGCCTTAAGAGGTTCATGTGTTCGCCCCCAGGCCACTCAGAGAGCAAGGGACACAGGACATGATGAATCTTGATCTGATTCCGAGTCATCAGTCCGTGATGATTTCACAAATCCGGGACAGGACCACGGAGCAGGAGCAGACCAGGAGCTGGGGAGCAGTGACCTGACAGTGTGAGGGACGGCAAACCCTGGACAGGGCCACGGGGTGGGGGCAGATCAGGAGCTGGGGAGCAGTGAGCCGGTGGCCTGAGGGACAGCCAGATGCCCTGCGGTCAGAACGAGGGGCCCCTGCCTGGAGGACAAAGAGACATGGGGGCGGGGAAGGCAAGATCCAGGGCCAGGCCCAATTGTGAGTTGTTCTGACAAACGGGCGTTTCCAGCCAGCACAGGGGAGGCGCCACCCTGCACAGCCAAGCGTGGCTGCCGTGGCCTGGTGAGATCAGATCCGGGGCAGCGCCTTTCCAGCCCTGTCGGGCTGCAGCCTCCCTCTGGGCCGGCGGGGACCTGACTGTCCAGCTGAGCTGCCCGTCCCTCCCCTGCTGCCCCCATTTCCCGCCGTCCTTCCACTGACCGCCCTGAAAGTTCAGTGGGAAAGGGGAGCCGGGCTTTCCCCTCCTGGGCCCCTCCTGTGTGCAGCCTTGGCCTCACGTGTGACGATGGCTCAGCCTCCCCCGGCCTCAGATTCTGAGGCTCTAAAGCTGTCTCACGGCAAAATTTTAGAACATTGCCAGGAGAGAACATATCTTTTTCTCATTATGAAAAGCCAAAAAGTCACTGTTGAAGAATTTCATCCATTAAAAGTTTGCATTTGAATAAAATGAGCTTCTGTGTCTCATCTGGGCTTAGAGAAGCTGGGAGCTGGGAGCGGGAGCTCTTCCCTACCAAGGAGCTTGTGGCCGAATACTCAGATGGGCTTTCTCCGGAAAAGGCGCCTGAGAAGGACGACTGGAGGTCAGCGCCTATGATGACTGACCCCAACTCCCAGGGGCCTCAGGATGAGGCTCCCTGTGTGCACCCAGCTCCTACCTGGGATCAAGGTGTCTCCGGCCCGTTCATGCCTCCACCCTGCTGGACAGCGCCCACCTCCACCCACCCGAGGCAGGGTGAGTCCCCCTGTGTTGTGCTGTGGTGGGTGGGGCAGGCATAAGGCCCCAGTCCCTGGGGCAGGGTGGTGTTAGGATGCTGCTGTGGGGCTCAGCTTCAGGCCCCAGGGAGGGGAGGCAGGGGAGGGAAGCAGGGGGCCTGGGGGTCTCCAGTCCCCACGTTCACAAGGAAGGTCACAGCCCCCACCGCCTGGCTGCTGTCCCTGACCCCAGACTCCCTCAGGTCTTCCAGCTCCACCTCCCCAACCCACCCACTGGCCAAGGAGACCTCAGGGCAGGTGGGGCAGCCTGGACAGCACCCGGAGGATGGTCAGCTGTGTTGATCAACGCCCACGTGAGCGTGGGCCGTGACTTCCCACCAGGTCCCTGAGTGGAGGAGTTCTGCGACGCTGCAGCCTCATGCCTGCTCCTTGGGCCAAACCTGACCTTCCCCAGGCCTCTCCAAGGTGTCTGGGCTCCAGGGTCACAGGGTCAGTGCGCATGACATGTGGCCCAGAACTCAGTGCAGTGCAGTGTCCCGGCCCAGGGGGAGCTTCCAGGCACAGAGGTGTCCAGGCAGGGAAGTTTCCAGGCAGGAGGGCATCCAGGCAGGGAAGTTTCCAGGCAGGGAAGCTTCCAGGCAGGAGGGTGTCCAGGCAGGGAAGTTTCCAGGCAGGAGGGCGTCCAGGCAGGGAAGCTTTCAGGCAGGAGGGCATCCAGACACAGGGGCATCCAGGCAAGGGGGTGTCCAGACACAGGGATGTCCATTCAAGGTGTGTCCAGGCAGGGGGGCATCCATCCAGGCCGGTCTCAAGGATGCTGACGTCCAGGCTTTGTCCCCTGCCTGCCGCAGAGCTGGACAGCACGCTTCCCTGTCCTGAACCCGGACAGAAGATTTCACTTTGACTCCAGAGGGCTCCAGTTGAGCTGGAGGTGTTTAGAGAGCTGCCAAAGCTCCCCCTCAAATTTCTCTCAGGGGTTCGAGGAGCTGCAGGGGACAGCGATCTGTGTCAGCATCGGGGAGCCGTGGAGCCGCCATCTCCCTCGCGACCCAGCTCCGGCCGTGGCCCGGGATTGATGACACGCTCAGTGAGAGGGAAAATTACATTTTCAGGATGTCTGCCAGGGCTCGCTTTGATAAATGTTTAAAAATGTGCTAATATGCTCTATTTAGCCATCTTTATTACAGTCACTGTCAGGGAATCGGCTCAGTACCCTTCCTCCAGAGCGCAGCTCCACGGCACTGAGGTCTTTCAGAGCTGAGCAGCCCACCTGCCCCCCAGGGGAACTTGGCTCCCTCCAAGGTGGGAAAAGTCCCTTGTGAGCCTCCAGCCGCTCTGGGTAGAACTCAGCCCCTCGGGCCCCCAAGGTGTGGCCAACTGTTGGGCTGTGCTCAGGGTGCAGGTCACTCCACATAAACTGGACGGCCCCACAGCAAGAGCCTCTGGGGCAATGTCACAGGAGACCTTGGAGGGTCAAGGGGATGCTGGTGTCATCCTCACCGAGGCCGGCTGGATGCTGGCTTAGAAACCGCCAGGCAAAGAGGCAGTCAGGTCGGAGGAAACAGTGTTCTCATCTGACCCGGAGCTCCTGGTGCTTGTCCACATGAATGTGGTGTGGCCTCGTTAGACAGGGCCACAGGCCACAGGGCCACGGAAAACAGGGCCACCAACGGTGGGGAGCCTGGTGCAGACGGCAACGTTTCCTTCTGTGTCTTCACAGCTCTGCACCCAAACATCTCACACAGGGAGTCTCAGAGCTCAGAGTCCCCATATGAGGACAGGCTGCATCATGTGGGACACCCTGCGTGTCCCCACAGACCCTGCCCATCCCCACGGACCCCAGCCTTCCCGGACCCAGCCTTACCGGACTCTGCCTTCCCAGACCCTGCCTTCCCGGACCCATCCCGGACCCAGCCTTCCCGGACCCATCCCGGACTCTGCCTTCCCGGACCCTGCCTTCCCGGACCCAGCCTTCCCGGACCCATCCCGGACTCTGCCTTCCCGGACCCTGCCTTCCCGGACCCAGCCTTCCCGGACCCATCCCGGACTCTGCCTTCCCGGACCCTGCCTTCCTGGACCCTGCCTTCCCGGACTCAGCCTTCCCGGACCCTGCCTTCCCGGACTCTGCCTTCCCGGACCCATCCCGGACCCATCCCGGACTCTGCCTTCCCGGACCCTGCCTTACCGGACTCTGCCTTCCCGGACCCTGCCTTCCCGGACTCAGCCTTCCCGGACTCAGCCTTCCCGGACCCTGCCTTCCCGGACCCATCCCGGACCCTGCCTTCCCGGACCCTGCCTTCCCGGACTCAGCCTTCCCGGACCCTGCCTTCCCGGACCCATCCCGGACCCTGCCTTCCCGGACCCAGCCTTCCCGGACTCAGCCTTCCCGGACCCTGCCTTCCCGGACCCTGCCTTCCCGGACTCAGCCTTCCCGGACTCAGCCTTCCCGGACCCTGCCTTCCCGGACCCATCCCGGACCCTGCCTTCCCGGACCCTGCCTTCCCGGACCCAGCCTTCCCGGACCCTGCCTTCCTGGACCCATCCCGGACCCTGCCTTCCCGGACCCTGCCTTCCCGGACCCAGCCTTCCCGGACCCTGCCTTCCTGGACCCATCCCGGACCCTGCCTTCCTGGACTCTGCCTTCCCGGACCCTGCCTTCCTGGACCCTGCCTTCCCAGACTCCTGCCAGGTGCCCTGCTAGAAAGCTGCCGGCCCTTGGGGAGTTGGAGGTGAGGGTTTCACAGGGTGCACGTGTCCAGGACCAGGCGTGGTGGGTGGGGTGGGCTGCCGTGAAGGAGCCCCTCCCAGGAGGATGGGTCTAGGGTCCCCCCACCCCTGAAGGGAGCTGGACCCGGGGCTGAGGGTTGGCAATGCTGGCCCCGTTCCCTTTCTTGATCCCTGAGAAGGCCAGAGAGAATGGCCCAGCCCTGATCCTTGCTCCGCTGGTTTGTGAGGAAGTGAACCTCCTTTTTCTTTTCTTTTGTTTTTCATGAGACAGAGTCTCTGTCACCCAGGCTGGAGTGCAGTGGTGCCATCTCAGCTCACTGCAGTTTCTGGGCATGAGGACTCCTCCTTCCACACCTTCCCTTGAAGCTGGGACCACAGGCGGGCACCACGACGCCCAGCTAATCTTTCTACTATTTCTAGAAATGGGGTCTCCCTGTGTTGCCCAGGCTGGTCTCAAACTCCTGGGCTCAAGTGATTCACCTGCCTCAGTCTCCCAAAGTGCCAGGATTACAGGTGTGAGCCACGGTGCCTGGCCTGGGGCTCCTTTCAGACCTGGATTTGCCATGTCTCCTCCCCCAGTGGATGTCACAATGTCCACTTCCGGAGAAGAGCCCTGCCCCGCTCCCTTCCCCACCTCACCCACAGCCCCCCGCCCCCGGCCCCCTTTCCGCCACCCCGCCCCTGCCCCGCCCACAGCCCCCCCCCCTGCCACCTGCCCCACCTCACCCACAGACGCCGCCCCCTGCCCCACCTCACCCTCAGCCCCCCTGCACGGAGCCACTCGTGTCCTGGGTCCCTCTCGCCTCCACTCAGCAGCCTCATGGCCTCCTGCGCCTCGTGCCCCTCCTGTCCTGAGGGTGCCTCTGGCCTCACTGCATCCCACATCCTCGGGGACAGCTGGCTGGTGTCAGCTGCATGAAAGCGGATGCAGTTTCCAGGCTGCTCAGGCCAGGTGGGAAGATGCTAAGTCCTGCAGCCGCCTGGCCTGACTCGCCTTGAGCCGGCCTGCCCCAGGTTTTTTATGAGCAGCTGCCGTCATTACAGCTGGAATTCTTCCAGAAGGTGTGAGAATGCCAGAGCCAGGTGGCAGCAGTGACCTCTGGGCTTGAGCCCTTGGCCAGAAAGGGCATAGCCCCTGGGCAGAGGACACCAGCTGCTTCCCACAAACGCTGAGGACCGACCCTGAAGGCAGGGACCTTCAGAGGGACACGGCCTGCTTCCACCCCAAGTCTCAAGTCCAGCGGCTGCCCGGGGCAGGGTCCATGCACCTTGGGGAGTCTGCGTCCCTGCAGCCTCCGGGGCAGGACTGAGGCACCCGCTGAGGACACAGAAGCCGGCACCTGACCGGCTCCTCCAGCTCCAGCCCCAGAGGCTTCCGTGATCAATCACAATATGCAAATCGCTCATTTATGAAATCTCATCACACCAGGGCAGCCTGATTCATTATTCAACACTCCAGGTGTGTGCACGGAATCCCTAATGACCCCGCGAGCCAAGGGCTTTTGATAACAGACCCCTGTTCCAGGTGGCGCCGCGTCTCTACTGCCTCAGCGGGGCTTGGGGCTTCCGTGATCTCATCTCAACTCCACACAGACTTTGTTGAGTCCCGGGGTGTCGGAGGAGCCTGGGTGCTGCTGGCTGGGGAGGCCGTCGGGCAGACGAGCCCCGGGGGCAGCACGGAGGCGGACCAGGAAGCCCCTCTGCTCAGCAGCCTCTGCACACGGTGTTCCAGCGTCCACACGGGCTGGCGAGGGGCCTCACAGCTGCTCCACAGATGGGACCCTTAGCCCATTCCCCAGTCCCAGGCCTGGGAAGTGCTGGCCCTGGGGGGCTCTCCTGAGGTCTGCTCCAATCTCAGGGCTGCAGAAGGGAGCCCCCAACCCACCTCACCCAGTCCCCAGGTCCCGGAGATCTGCAGAGTCTCAAAGCCACAGGGCTCTGTTCCTCAGACTGTCCTGCAAACGGCTGAGCCTCTCTGCACCTCCACCCAGTGATGAGAACAGGGTCCTGCAAGGAAAACAGCGGGGCTCAGGGGAGCGTGCGCATGCACCGAGCAGGTTCAGAGACTCCACGTCCGGCAGAGCAGCCTCCCGGCCCAGCTCCAGCCTCCCCCCGGCGGCTCCTGGTCTCCTGGACAGGCTGCAGGGAGTGGCTGCTGCTCCAGGTCAGAGGGGCTTCCAGGGACCAGGCGGGCAGAGGGGGCTGTGCTCTTCTCTTTCCCGTTTCTGCTGACCCCTGGGGCTGTGGGGTTGGAGGGACACCAGTGTCTCCAAGGGGCTGGCACCAAGTCATGACGGGGTCATAGGTCACTGTGGGAAGCGGGAAGGTGAGAGCAGTGTGGGGCGACGTCCGCAGCTGCAGAGGGTCCCAGCCTCGGCCTCCCCGACACCCCCAGCGGCAAATTCCCTTATAAGGACACTTGAGCCTGGATTAGGGCTGCTCCCACAACCCAGGATGATCTTGCCTCAAAAGACCCTTTTTCCAAACCCGAGTGCTTCTGGGGTTAAGATGGAGACATGTCTCTTTAGGGATCGTTACTCAATGTGCTACACTCTTCAGTCCCAGGGACCCACTGCTCAGACCCAGGAGAGAGGTGACCCAGGAGGGAGGTGGAAGAAGTTGGTGCAGTGAGTGGGGCGGGGACGCTGCAGCCAGGAGCAGACAGGAGGACGAGGTCTGTGTGAAGGGCCCTCCTCGTGAGCACCCGGGCCTGGGAGCTGGGGCTGCAAGAGAAGCAGGATCCAGCATGGGAACAGGCCTCTCTCTGGAGACCCCAAATGCGGGCTTCACACCGGAGATGGTGTGAGCCTCTGGGAGGTGGTGGACCGGCTGCATGCAGGGCTGGCCTCCAGGGAAACACTTCGGGACTCAGGGCAGCCGAGGCCAGGCGAGAGAGCCGCTGGTGTTTCAGGGGAGGCGTCGGGGACACAGCCGTGGTCCATGGGGCTCACCCCTGAGATCCAGACTCCAGGGACTTCTTTTCAGACCTTCCCAGTCTCTGCAGAGTCAGGCAGCTGCGAGAGGCTGCGGCTTTCTGCATTCCCCGTAAGGGAAGGATCCTTAAACGGTGAGCCTGTGTGTGGGGGCAGCGTCAGTGCTGACGAGGCAGGGTGGACCCCACACTCCCGGATCATGTGACGACCCAGTCAACGCGCGGAGGCCTGGAGGCAGTGCAGCCCTCCCACTCCCCAAACAGACAGGTTCAACGTTGCTGGTGTAATTTACTTTGTTACATTTTCACTATTTATTTGGAATTTATTTTGGAGCTAAGGACATGAGGATTTTCTCAGGAAAGGAAAACAATCTAGTTTGCGTTACCTTAAGTTTTTTTCTACTAACTTTCCTAATTTTGGAGTGGGGCGGACAGGCTTAATTCCATAATGTCTTCTATATCAATGTAATTTAAAGTATTATATCCTGGCAGAAATGGAAAGTGTATCGTAAAAGGTTTTCCTAATGTTGACAAAAAAAAAAAGCCCAATTCTGTAAAATATTGAAAGCGGTTTATTCTGAGCCAATATGATTGATCGTGGCCTGAGCTACAGTCTCAAGAGGCCTTGGGAATGTGTCCGAGGTAGGTGGGTCACAGCTTAGTTTTATACCTTTCAGGGAGATGGAAGTTACAGGCAAAGACGTCAGTCAGTCCATGGAAGGTTCAGGTAGGACATGGGGGCTTGCACCCAGATTCAAAGATTTTCTGGTTGGCAGTTGGTTGAAAGAGTTAAGCTTTGTCTAAGAACTTAAAAAGTCAGGGGACAGAAAAGCTTGGCTTGGTATAAAGTGGGCTGTAGACGCCAAGGTTGTTGTTAAGTAGCTGAGGCCTCCAGGTGGGAAACAGCCTTCAGAGAGAACGGGGGGTGGAAGTCTCTTTTCCAAATTTAAAAGGTGTCGGGCCAGGCGCGGTGGCTCACGCCTGTAATCCCAGCACTTTGGAAGGCCGAGGCGGGCGGATTACGAGGTCAGGAGATCGAGACCATCCTGGCTAACACGGTGAAACCCCGTCTCTACTAAAAAATATATATATAAAAAAAAATTAGCCGGGCGTGGTGGCGGGCGCCTGTAGTCCCAGCTACTCAGGAGGCTGAGGCAGGAGAATGGTGTGAACCCGGGAGGCGGAGCTTGCTGTGAGCCGAGACTGAGCCACTGTACTGCAGCCTGGGCGACAGAGCGAGACTCCGTCTCAAAAAAAAAAATTAATTAAAAATAAATAAATAAAAGGTGTCCGACTCCTAGTTAATCCTCTGTAGGTCTGGGAAAGACCTAGAAAGGGAAGGAGACCCTCTAAGATGCAATGTTCCCCCACAGCAGACAGGCCCATTTCTAAACGTGTCAAAGGCATACATTGTGGTGAGCACCCTGTGCGTGTCCTCAGGGCCTGCTGTCTGCCGTCCGTGTGGGAGGCTGCACCAGAGTCAGGCTGGGAGTCTGTCTGTCCATCCTAACATCTCTATTGCAACGTCAATGCTGGTTGGTGGTGCCCGGACGCCAAAGGGGAGGGGGCGTAACGAGAGGTGTCCGCCGCTTCCCACCATGGCCGGGAATCCCGTGTCTCAGGTTCTCTTGGCCATGAAGGGGGATCCGTCCAGTTAGCGGGGGGCTTAGGGTTTTATTTTTGCTTTACACTAAAATACTCTGAAACTGCACCTACTTGCAACTAAATCAATTAAAAATTCATCAGCTTCTATTTGAAACGCTTACATTTTAAAGCTCTCTTAGACTGGGCAATAGACCTCTGTCCTCATCTACATACACTTTAAACATTAATGTGTTTCTAAAAACAATGGGTTTTCTCTGCAAACCAAAAATATGTTTATTCACTTAAAAATGTATATCCTAAATGATTTTTAAAACATTCTTGGTGGACGTTAGCTGTCCTCCCTGCACAGGGAAGGTTTGTTAAATTAGCGTATTCGTTTAGTGCAGGCTGATTGACGTCCAGGGACTCCAGGCACATCTGAGGCTGTTTGCGGTCTGTGGATCTCTTTCACAAACATCAGCATCTCATTAGAGCTAAAAAAAAAATACCCTCTGGGAAGGCGTTTGGGCAGGTGTTATCACCGTCTTGCTTTTGGGAGGAGGAAGGAGACCTTAGCCTGCCAGGCTCACAGGGTGGTAGAGTGAAGGCTCAGCCCCCCTGCCCGCCCCTGGGGGAGGCCGCTCAGGATCGAGTGGGGAGCCGGACCCCCGGGAGGGTACCTGAGCCCCTCGCTTCCTACAGCAGGGATGGTTTATTGCTTTCAGTCCATCGTCTCATTGCATGATATTTCTCTTTTAATAGTAATGACTTAATTGTGTTTGTAAAACATGATACACGCTCCTTATCAAGAAAAAGTCAAGTTGCCCAGAAAATTACCAAGAAAGTAAAAACTTGTCTAAAATCCAACCACACAATCAGATTCTTCTTTGTACATACTCATAGCTTGAAAGAAAGAAGAATTTATTTCAGAAAATTGGAATAATATACTATTTCAACAAAGCATTACAAATGAATTTTACTTGAAATTGTTGATGAAAAGAGTCAAACTCTGTAAAATATTGGAAGAGATTTATTCTGAGCCGAATCTGAGTGACCGTGGCCCGTGACACAGCCCCCAGGAGGTCCTGAGAGCATGCGCCCCAGGTGGTCGGGTACAGCCTGGTTTTATGCATTTTTAGGGAGGCATGAGACAGCAATCAAATACATTGAAGAGATAAACTGGTTTGGTTCAGAAAGTTGGGACAACTCAAGCGGGGCTTCCAGGCTGTTGGTGAATTTAAACATTTTATGGATGACAATTGGTTGAGTTTATCTGAAGACCTGGGATCAGTGGAAAGGAATGTTCAGGTTGAGATAAAAGATTGTGGGGACCAAGTTTTATTGTCCAGAGGAAGCTCTCCGATAGCAGACTTCAGAGAGAGAGCAGGTTGTAAAATGTTTCTTATTAGACCTAAAAGGGAGCCTGGCTCTTAGTTGGTTATCTCCTGGATCTGCAAAGAAAGGAAACAAAGGGGAAGAGGATTCTTTACAGAATGAGGATTTTTCCCACAGGAGACTTTGGAGGGCAATTTCAAGGTATAGCAAGAAAATATATTTTAGGGTAAAACATTTCGATGTTTTCGCTTGTTATGCCAGAGTCAGATTAGATAGTAAGTCACGATATACAGGGTTAAATGAAACCCATCTGATGAGAATTTACGGTTTGTAGGGCATGACTCCCCAGACTCCTTAGATAGGAATTTGGGCAACATGAGAAAATCAGAGCTTCATTCTCATCACAATCATGGCTGAAGGGGAAGCAGCACCTTGTTCACAAGGCAGCAGCAGGGAGAAGTGTGAGCAGGGGAAATGCCAGGCGTGCAGATCTCGTGAGAACTCACTCACTATCACGAGAACAGCGTGGGAAAACCACCCCCACGATCCAGTCACCTTCCACAGGGTCCCTCCCGCAAAACGTGGGGATTATGGGAACTACAATTCAAGGTGAGATTTGAGAGGGAACACAGCCAAACCATATCAACATGCAAAGCACACAGTATGAGTGTTGCGTCCTAGAGCCGTGATTCTCCCAGTGCTTAGCATGGAAGGGGCTCCCGGGCAACATCGTGGTGCTGTGACTACCCAAATGTGAGGTTCATTCTGGCTCTGTCTTGGTTGGGTGGACTCTGGCAATAGTCAGTTTTCAAGAGCAGTTCTACTGCCCAATTCCTTGGGTTCTCTACATGTATGATGGCAGCTCATGGGTGTGATTCCCTCAACCTGCCACATAAGAGAAGAGTTCAAGGGTGTGATTCCCTCATTCCCTCCACACGGGAGAGGAGCTCACGGGTGTGATTCCTTTATTCCTTCCACATGGGAGCAGTGTTGACGGGTGTGATTCCCTCGGTGCCCTCGTATGTGAGAAATTCCTGCTGCTGTCTCTATTGCCTGGGATTCTATTTTTGACCATAGTTTCCTTATGCAGAATTCACATGTTTCTGGGCCTTGGGATTCTGTGGGAAGCCTGTGGACAGGCATCTCTTTCCCCACATGTGACCTGCTTTTTCTGCCTGAGTACCCATAGGATGCTGTTTCCTCCTGCAATCTGGGGAGAGGCCTCTGCTGGCCGTGCTGTCGTGTCTGCCTGGGTGTTTCAGGACAGCGTTCATCGTCCACGGCTTTGTGTTTTCTGTCCTGGGTTTCTGTTCTTTCCCCGGGAGCACCTCTGTGGACCCCCCGTGTCCCTGCATCTCCCTCCACTGGGACTTTGACTTGGTGACTTGGTTCCATTCTTTTGCGGCTTCTTCAGGCCTCTGCCGCTTCCCCAGCTCTGCTTTTGCAGTCCAGGCCTGTCCACAAGGCTCTCCTCCCTGCCATGGGTGTGTTTTTCTCTCATTCCTTCCTGAGCTCGGCGTTGCGGTTGGACCCCGGCTGCTCTTCCTGAGAGTTTTGTGGAGAGAGGTGCTGCCGCTGTAGGGCTCGGCCACGTTCCCATCGGAGACTCTGGTGGATCCTCTCCAGCCTCACGGGCTCTGGGTGGGGATGGCCGCTGGCTGAGGAGCTGGGGAGCTGCCTGCCCTGCCCGCCACCCTCTTTGCTACATTTTCTCCCCACAGTGGCTGCCTCCATCTTCCTCCCAGGCTGGCCTTGGCCCAGGAACCCATTCAGCTCGCAGGGTTCCCTCCAGGCCCTGTGGACCTCCCCTCCCCTCCTGCCTTCATCACGCCTCGCTCTCACGCCTCCCCAGGACTCTGACGCTAGTGGGTTTTCAGTCAGGGTTTGCAGCCCCGCCCTGTGGCTCGGCTGGCCTTCCTGTGTGGTCTTGAGAAGGCTGGGTTGCAGAGGGGGTGCACGACCCTGACCAGCACTGTCAATGCCTCCACTCCTCCAGGGCCGCATCTCTGGGCAGAGCTGGCCCTCCTGGCTGCCTGACCCCACACGCCTGGGCCTTGGTCGTGAGGCCTGGTGGCCACAGAGCATGCAGACAGGGTCAGGTCTCAGACATGCAGGAGCTGAGTGGGGGTCTGCTGTCGAGGCCCCCAGGCTGCCCAAGGAGCATGGAGGGTGGAGGTGCCCACCCCCTTGGAAGAGAGGGGATCTTAGTCCGTCTGTGTTGCTATAAAGGACTGCCTGAGGCTGGTAATTTATTTAAAAAGAGCTTCCTTTGGCTCACAGCTCTGCAGGCTTCACAGGCCGCGTGGCCCCGGCATCTGCCTCTGGTGAGGCCTCAGGAAGCTTCCACTCTTGGTGGAAGGCGAACGCAAACCAGCATGTCATGGGGACGGAGAAAGGAAGAGAGAGGGGAGGGAGGTGCTGGGCTCTGTTCAACAGGCCGCTCTCTGGGGAACTCAGAGCAAGAACTCACTGCCCCAGGGAGGGCACCAAGCCCCTCCTGAGGGATCCACCTGTGACCCACACACTCCCACCAGGTCCCACCTCCAACACGGGGGATCACATTGCAACACGAGGTTGGGAGGTCGCACCACAGCAGAGGGTTCCCTGGGCTGGCATGACCGAGGCGCTGTGACCAGGCCCTGCTCTCTGCACACCTGCAGGTGTCTGCTCCCCGGGACACCCGTGTCCACTTTCTCCCTTGACCCACAGTGACCCCGGGATAGCCACATTCCCATGAGGAGGGAGAAGGGGGCAGGGAGAGGACAGTGTCCATCACAGAGAGGCCCCTCCTGGGCTGGCCTTCAGCGTGAGCTGCCTGGGGGGCTCCAGCAGAGGCAGCCCCACTCCCCACTCCCCACGCCAGTGACATGGCCCTCCGGCCTCTGTGCTCCATGAGGCTGTGAGCTCAGGTGGGAGCTACTATAGAAACTCTGGGCTGTTTGGCAAAGACGCCCTCTGCGCCCAGGCCTCTGGAGCAGGCGAGCCCCACCTGTCTGGTGCCTCAGCACCTGGTGCCCAGTGATGGCCTCCGTGCCCCGGCTAGCTCTTGCCCCTCTGTTACTTTCTAGGTGGCCGGTCAATGACCCCCACCACCCCACACGCCTCCCGCCACCTGCACCCACAGACAGATCTCAAATCCCAGGATGGAGCCCTTACAAGGGCTGGGTGCCGGCTCCCCTGATCGGCTCAGGTGGGATGCCCCTGCCTTACCCCCAGGCTCCAGGCCAATCGACTGATTGATCTGACAGGCAGTTGTGGGAGCCTCCATGGAAAGACCGGGCTGGTGCTGGGACCACAGCGTCGACAAGTCAGACTGGCCCCTGTCTTCGGAGCTCCTGCTGGGGGACCCAAGTGAGCACACAGTGTGGGAGACAGGATGGCCTCTCTTGGGAGAGGCCTTGAACTGAGCCCTGGGGAGTGGGGGAACGGCCATGCTGTACCCCTATACCAGGAGTGGGGGAGGCTGATTCCTGGCAGGGGGATGAGCCAGGACACGGGCCCAGGGCGAGAAAGAGCTGGGCTCAGAGAAATCGGAGCAGGAACATGTGGCCAGGCCGGGAGGATGGACAGCCAGCAGGAACCGGAGCCAGGAGCCTCGTGGGGCCCCACAGGAGCCGGAATCGGCCCAGTGCAGCCCCGTCCAGCAGGGAGAGGCCTGAAGGAGCTGGATCCGGCCCAGTGCAGCCCCGTTCAGCAGGGAGAGGCCTGAAGGAGCTGGTCCCCCTCTGGCGATGAGTGCCTGTGGTTGCTGGGAGTCCCATCACCCTGTCCAGTTATGGGGATGCTGGGCCTGAGCTCTGCGGGGCTGGAGAGGAACAAGGCTGGGCAGGTGCCTCCGGCCAGGTGGACAAGTCGGCCAGTGGCTGGGCCCCTCAGAGGGGACATGGAGCGCGGCTCCCCTCTTCCATCTCACCCTAAATGGCAATCCCGGCTGGGGATCCACCTCACTGCAAGAGCAGAGCCTCCTGCATCTCTGGCCGCCTGTAGGGTTCCTGCAGTTCCCAGGGAGCGGAAGCTTGGAAGAAAAACTGCCCCCATTCCCACAGCTCGCTAATCACGCTGGAAGACACACGGAGAGCAGAACGCGGGCTCCGGATGAAGAAGGACAACGAAAACTTTAAACAAGTGAAAGAGCAGCAAACTCCCGGCCTGCGTCCCCAGCGGAGGAGAAACCGGCAGAAGCACCTCGCACCTCTTGATGAGCAGACGCCGGGGACAGCGTTGTTCACGACACACGGGAATGTGCTTTAAAAGCAGGTCAAAGACGACGTGTGTGCCAGGTGCCTACATGCCACCCGCGGCCCGGTCTTCTCATCCACCATCAATTATAAAAACCACCTGGGCCTCCAACGCGGCCTCCGCGGCACGGAGCATTCTCCAGCTGCAATCCCAGGAGGCAGCGCCTGTCTTTCCGATGTTCCTTCCACTCTTCCATCTGCTGCGAGATCAGACCTCAGAGCGCCGCGGAGCTCGGCCAGCGGCAGGTGCGTCCTCAAAGGCAGCTCGGAGCCGGCTTCCTGGCCCGCAGTGGGCGGGCCCGTTGAGCTGCATTCTTGAATTCCTGCCTTCAACACCGGAGGAACCAGTGGGCTTTTGATGCGTGGTTCACAAATAAAACGGAGCGGACTCTGAGGGCCAGCGCATAATGAGGGATGCATCCGCCTTCCCTTTGATGGTTGCACAGTGACAGGCGTCCTTGGCTTTTGTTGGAAAGTGCAGACTCTTTTTTTTTTAACAAACCTTTTGCTGTTAGAGGACGAGAACCGCATGTACTGGTGCTAGCTGCGAGTGGTCCTGGAGTTTCTGTGTGAGACTATTTTGTTGTTCTCGAGGCCAGCTCAAATGAGGTGCTTCTAAAGTTGTATTTTTAACTGGAACGTCCAATCCCAGTGACTGGGGTCCAGGCCTGGGAGGCAGAGTCCGTCCTGCGAATGAGTGACGTCTTTGTGTTGAATGAGAAAAGACGAATTGAAGTCCAGCTTCCAAAGCTTCTTGTGCGTCTCCCAACCTGCCCGCGCCTGGTGGGTTGAGGGTGTGTCTGTCTGTGAAGAGCCCTTGGACACCCAGGGGTTCGGTGGGACCAGGCCAGAGCCGGGCTCGAGGACCACCCATGCGTTCTGCAATGGAACAGGGACGTCCTGAAACTCAGGTGGCTCTGAGGTGCCTGCCCTTGTGGACAAGGAGCTCCCGTGTCACTGAGAGACCCCGGCACACGGGACCCCGGCGCCTCCCCCGTGGTGGGCGTGGCCTCCTGTGTCCCGGAGGAACAGGAGGAGCCTGTGGTTTGGGTTTCCCGGCGCGTTGTTGGGTGTCCTGGAGGAACGGGGGAACCTGTGGTTTGGGTTTCCCGGCGCATTGTTGGGTGTCCTGGAGGAACGGGGGAACCTGTGGTTTGGGTTTCCCGGCGCGTTGTTGGGTGTCCTGGAGGAACGGGGGAACCTGTGGTTTGGGTTTCCCGGCGCGTTGTTGGGTGTCCTGGAGGAACGGGGGAACCTGTGGTTTGGGTTTCCCGGCGCGTTGTTGGGTGTCCTGGAGGAACGGGGGAACCTGTGGTTTGGGTTTCCTGGCGCGTTGTTGGGTGTCCTGGAGGAACGGGGGAACCTGTGGTTTGGGTTTCCCGGCACGTTGTTGGGTTGCAACAATCTCTGTTCTTGTGACACCACTCCAGCCCAGGCATGCGGTGAGGTGTCCAGCTGTTTCACGGCCCTCTGGGAGTGTGATGCCCTGAATTCCTATGGCCCAAGGCTCAGGAGCAGCCTCTGCCTTTGGGGAGAGAACCCAGGAAGGGACCGTGTGGCGCTCGGATGACATCCTGGTTCAATATTGTCACGCAGTTTTCGTTGAAGAAAAGAATGGAAAATGCTGGTTCATCTAAACTTTCTCATGTTTTATTTAGGATGCTGAATTATTCACTATGGCCCTGAGCCTCCAGTGATCCAAAACTAAGCTGCCCGTTCATCAGGGACGCCTCCTGGCACTGCCTTTTCCTCTGCATCTCGTGGGGACTCTGGCTTGGCACCCCCTGGCCCCCGAGGCTCTGGTATCCAGGCTCCCCTGAATCAGCTCCCTGAAAAGAAGTCGGAGGAAAGCGGGTGGGGGCATGGCCTCATTCCCTGGCGAGGTGAAACAGGAAGGTGAAAACATTCACACTTAAAAGGACTGCACGGTCCTGCAGCTCTGCAGCCCCGAACCCAGAGCCTGGGAACGTGGCCGGTGAGAATTGGGCTTCAGCTCAAACCCGGTGCAAGCTGCTGGCTTCTCAGGGAGACGTGTTCACTGCTGCTCAGCTGCTCCGTGGCTTGGCCGGCACCTGGTCAACCTGAGTCTCCTCGGGGCAATCTAGACCCTCACCCTTAGGGATGAGGCCCAGGAACTGCGCCTGTGGAGCTGGGCCGGCTGTGGCCGCCCTTGGACCCTCTGCAGATGCCCTCTGATGGGACACAGCGGAGATCAGCCTCCCACCACACGCCCACGGGTCCGTTGGCAACTGTGTTGCCCTGATCCTGGGACTGCTCACTCAGTGTGAACTGGGCAACCCTGAAGGTGGCGATGGCCCTGCCAGGGAAGTGCCAAGCTCCCAAATTATTCACAACATCTAGAAGGAGGGCAGAGAACCCAGGGGTTGGGCAAAATTCCAGGGGTGCTCTATGCAGCCATGTTCTATCCTAAATGAGTGAATGATAACAGGGGTCTTATCCTCCCAAGAGGCCTCAGCTAGAGCATGGCCACCCTGCTGCCCACACCCCTGTCCTCACCAGAGCTACCTATCCCAAGGGAATAGCCCCCGAGTTTCACCATCCACCCACCTACCCACCCATCCACCCACCTATCCACCCATCCATCCATTCATCCATTCACCCATCCAGCCACCTACCCATCTACTCAACCATCCACCCATCCACCCACCCACCCATTTATCTAACCACCCACCCATCCCTCCACCCACCCATCCACCCATCTACCCATCTACCTACTCACTCATCCATTCACCCACCCATCCATCCAACTACCCATCCACCCACCCATCCATCCATCCACCTACCCATCCATCCATCCACCCAATCACCCATCCACCCATCCATCCATCCACCTACCCATCCACTCATCCATCCATCCATCCACCCAATCACCCATCCACCCATCTGCCTACCCACTCATCTACTCATCCACCCACCCATCCACCTACCCACCCATCCATCCATCTACCCATGCATCCACCCAGCCACCCACCCACCTAATAATCTACTCACCCCTCCACCCACCCATCCATCCACCAACCCATCCACCCATCCATCTACCCACCCACCCGTCCATCCATTCATTCATCCACTCATCCTGCTGTTCACTCAACAGACACACTGAGCCCCTCTGACTCCTGGGTACACTGAGGTGCAGAGATGAAACAGATGCACCTCCTGCTCTCCAGCATCAAAACCTCCAGGCGCAGCACAAGTAACTGACTCCTCAAACACCAAGATAAAGGTCAGTGCAGAAGGGAGAAAGTACTTCAAACAAAAGAGATTCTTGTTTCTAGGGGTGGGCTGGGAGAGCAGAAAGGAGCTCCCCAGGAGGCCACATCTGGGCTGAGTCCCACGTCAGAGAGAACTCGGGAAGGCTGGTCCTGCGATCCATGCTTAGCCTGACTACTGGTCAACTGATCATGAAAGAAGAAAAAAGCACCTGTTGCTGACTTTTCAAATGACAAAGGTGACGCCACCCGAGGACTGTGAGCCGGCTGCCTCCCTGCAAGGCCCTCACGGCTTGATTGCTGAGGTCACGGGCTCCACATTCTGTGCCATGCGTTCAGCTCAGATTTCAAGGCAAAGCTGTTGTCTGTGAGCTCTGTGAAGCGGGCTCACAGTGCACTGGTACCAACCTCAGGAGAGGACTCGAAACACCGTGCAGCTCACACACGTGGGGATCAGAGTGTTTGCCTGAGCTGGGCGAGGCAGAGCACTCACACAAGTTAGGAGGAGCAACCTGATTACCCAGACAGGCAGCAAGGGAGAACAGAAGCCCAGGGTTCAAGGCAAGCTGGCCCCCAGGCTCATAGGGTGGGCGGCAAGCCGGTCCCCCAGGCTCACGGGGTTCACGGCAAGCTGGTCCCCCAGGCTCACAGGGTTCACGGCAGGCTGGCCCCCCAGGCTCACAGGGTTGATGGCAAGCTGGCCCCCAGGCTCACAGGGTTCATGGCAGGCTGGTCCCCAGGCTCACAGGGTTCACGGCAGGCTGGCCCCCCAGGCTCACAGGGTCGGCGGCAAGCTGGTCCCCAGGCTCACAGGGTCGGCGGCAAGCTGGTCCCCAGGCTCACAGGGTCCACGGCAAGCTGGTCCCCAGGCTCACAGGGTTGGCGGCAAGCTGGTCCCCAGGCTCACAGGGTTGGCGGCAAGCTGGTCCCCAGGCTCAGGAAAGCAGCCCAGGGCAGGACGGGCCTCGTCTGCGTGTGCCCCATGTTGCACTGCCGCAGAGGGATCCAGAAGGTGCTGCTCTGGGTCCACACCGAGGGGACAGCATGCACCAGGCTTCAGTATTGCAGGACACCTGCTTTGCCTGGGCCGCGGTGCTTCTGGATACCCTGCTCTGGCTGTGGTCCCACAGCATACCTGCTCTACGGGGGACAGGAACAGAGCCCGGCTGCCAGGTCAGCTCCCCCCTCTCTCAGGATGCTGCGTTCCCAGCAAGAATCTGCAGTGGTTCTTGAGAAGTACAAGCAAGAAAGGCGGTGGGCACTAAGTGGGTCCAAGGCCACTCAGAGACTCACCCGGCCCCACTCAGCTGCAGCTGAGAGCCTTGTGTGTCTAGTTCTGTGTCGCCGCTGGACAAGAGACGTCCTGCTGATTTTTCCAAGCCAGCATAGTAAATCATTAATAATTGTGAGCCTGTTTAAACCATTTACTTTTGGAAAGTAACATCAGGATTTTAAAGGCAAGAATTGCCAGGAAATGCGGGTCTGTTGGTAACTATTGAGTTTTGTCCCCAGAACACATTGTAAGGCGGCAGGCAGCAGGCCCAGCAGGGCAGTGAGTGGGCTGGGGTTGGCCCTGTGGACTGGGACTGGTAGACATGTCCTCTGCAAAGCCCCCGCTGGAGCCTGGGCCTGCCTTGCTGGTGCAGAGGAGGCTGGTGCTGCGGGATTCCTGTGAGGAGGCGGCTGATGTGGGCCACGGGGCATCACCGTGGCACCTGAGGGGCCCCACTGGAGGAGCCAAGCGGGTACCCACACAGAGTACCTGCCCCTGAGGAGAGAGATGGAGGCTGCAGTCCTGGGCTCCCCATTCCCTTCTTTGCCTAACATCCGTGTGTCGAGGAAATCCTGCCTCCCAAGCAGAACACATCCCAGCTCCTCACTGGGGAATTTTACTGCCCTGTGTGGCTCCCAGCCTGCATCAGGCTACGAGCTCTGCCCTGTTCCTGGCTCCTCTTGCCCCGAGAGCTGTGGGTCCCACCCTTTGGCTTCTCACTCAGAAGCAAGGCCTCGTCCTCCACCCACCTCTCTCTTCAGGGCCTGCGTCTGCCCACACTGGCCTCTGCTCTGACACTCTCCTGGGGGTCGGCTGGCCTCCCAGGCCCACCCGGGACCCTCCCCACCTACACACCCCATGCTCCGTGCTCGGCAGGGCCCTCCTTCCCTCTTTGTTTGGCAAAGGCTCTGTCACCCCAGATCCCTCCAGCTCCCACACTTGCTCCCGCCCTCACTTAGGCTTCACCGACTGCACCTCTGAGCCCATCCCTGCAAGGGGGGGCAGTGGGGGCCCCTGCCTCATCCTCCCCCCACCAGGACCTGGGCTTCACAGGTGTGCAACAGGTTCTTGGCAAATAAACAGAAACCAAAGATTAAGCGTGTCCCCAAATGCCAAAATGCCACATTATCTCCGCTGTTTCAGGACTCTGGAGGAAGACCCTCCCAGCCCACTGGCCGCTGTGCACCTGCAGGTGAGGGGATGCACCTGCTGTGTGAAGGGATGCAGGGCGCATTGCTGCAGATGGGAGCCATGGCCCGGGGATGCCACCTCGTGCCGTGTGGAGAAGACCTCTGATGAGCCCTCCTCATCCTCTGTGTGGGCGCCAGTGCTGTCCCCAGACAGGGCTGGGAACTGCTGGACAGAAGGCAGGGAGCTGGCGTGATGGGAGCTGCCCCATTTTAAGGTTCACTCCCTCGTGCTGATCAGATAACACAGGGTGTCCAGCCTCTCCAGGGAGCCTTAGGGAGATTGGAGGGCTAACCTCGAAAACCTTAGTCTTCATGTCTTGCCGGTTACCTTTCCAAATGTTACGGAAATGAGACATTGGATGTGACACCCTGTGGTCCCAAAGTCAGGCAGGAGCGGGAGTGGCCACAGCCTCGAGGGACGCGGAGGGAGCCCGGTGGCCACATCTCCGCAGAGCCGAGCCCCGCCAAGTGTTACTCTGGGACTGCTCTGCCGGGTCTCATGGCAAAAGGAGATGGTAAAAATAACGTGGCCGTAAATCCTGGACGCCCAACAGGCCATCAAGTCTGCTGCAATGCCCGCTGCTGCCACTCTCGGTTGGGGCCCCTGCCAGCATCTCCAGAGCTGACTTCGTTGTCGGGTGTGTGACTCTGAGATGGGAGGGAACAGACCTCTGCGTTCCGAGGCGGGAGGAGTGAGAGCTTCATGGGCGGCAAGAGCGGATCCAGTGACATTTCGATTGTTATTTAAAAGCGATTGAAAGCTTGGGGCAAAGTTTTACATGACTGACTTATGCTTCCTGGAGACAAAGGAGCCGATTTCAAGTTTTCAGAGACAGTAAGTGTTCAATTCATGGAGGAAAAAAGTCAAAAGCAGTGTAAAAGTAGGATGCTGCCTTCAAACTGCTCACTGAACCCCCGAGACAATGCAGGAGCTCTCAGGGACCTCTCGGGAACGCTCAGGGGGCAGTGGCCCCGAACCAGCCAGGGCAGATGCTGTTCCAGCTGCAGGATCGATGCAGACTCAGGCAGCCACGTCCGACCTAAGTCAACAAAATGGTGCCACCCCGGCCCTCGGCAAAGCCCAGAGACCACCAAACAGCCCCTAGAGGTTTCATACCCCAGAAAACCTCTGCTTGGAAAAATGTTTAAAGCGAAACTTTGGGTTTTGGCTGTCTAGAGGAGAACGCATGTTTCTGGCAAGATGAGGTTGTTGTGAGCCAGGGGCGTTTTATCGCCAGTCCTCACGTCTCAGCCCCTGTTTGGAGTACGCTCAGGTCAGCCCAAGCATCTTCAGGAGGAGCCACCTTTCTGTGAGTAGGAAAGACAACGGTGCCCACCCCAGTCACGTCTTTCACACTTTCATCCTGGCAATGAGAGCGAAGACCCCGGGGCTGGAAGGAGCAGGAGCTTGAAGACCCCGGGACTGGAAGGAGCAGGAGCTCAAAGACCCTGGGGCTGGAAGGAGCAGGAGCTCGAAGACCCCGGGGCTGGAAGGAGCAGGAGCTCGAAGACCCCGGGGCTGGAAGGAGCAGGAGCTAGAAGACCCCGGGGCTGGAAGGAGCAGGAGCTTGAAGACCCCGGGGCTGGAAGGAGCAGGAGCTTGAAGACCCCGGGGCTGGAAGGAGCAGGAGCTTGAAGACCCCGGGGCTGGAAGGAGCAGGAGCTTGAAGACCCTGGGGCTGGAAGGAGCAGGAGCTCGAAGACCCCGGGGCTGGAAGGAGCAGGAGCTCTCCTCTCAGTGGTCACACATGCAGGCTCAGCAGCCAGAGACCCAGGACAGTCATCTGTGGCCCCACCTCCTTCCGCTGTGGCCTGGAACACCGCCGTCCCACGTGGACTTGGAACACCACCACCCCACGTGGACCTGGAACACCACCGCCCCACGTGGACCTGGAACACCACCGCCCCACGTGGACCTGGAACACCACCGCCCCACGTGGACTTGGAACACCACCGCCCCACGCGGATCCATCCACAGGGCCCCGGGCACAGGTTGAGGCTAAGACAGGAGCAGCCACAGCTCTGGGCAGCCTCCCTGACACGCAGGGACCCACTGCACTTGGTGAGGCCCCTGGTCATGTGAGGCCAGCCTGGCGTTTTTGGAAGGTGTGCGTGGGTTTGCGAACCATGTCTGTTAGTCATGGCTACCCGAGGCTCCGCTCCAGCTCGCTCTTGCCGTGGTCACGTTGGTGTCACCTGATTTCTATTTTGGCTGAGAAATGCTGCAGACGGCCCGGCCAGGCTTGGGTTGCGAGTGTGGGTGGTCGGTGGGACCTTTCATGGAAACGCAGGTGCTGGCCGGTGCCTGGGGAGGCCTGGACCAGCCCCACAGGGCACGGGCAACAGCTTCTGTTCCTGCGCTTGAGGTGGACAAAGTTGAAAGGTGCTGATAAAAGTGCCTGAGCCAGAGACGTACGAGGGAGAGGGAGCGAGGCCCAGACACCTGCTCAGCCATATTGAGACAATCCTGAAGCCAAAATCTCCACTAGGCCCCAAGGCCAAAGGGCTACTGGGAACCTCCCCTGAGCAGTAACAAGACCTCAGCAAATTCTTTCCAAATAAATTGTTTTCCCAACGGCTGAGGGCAGGCTAGCTTCCCGAGGATGCTGGGTAATCTGATTAGACGCCAGTGGGGCGGGAGGGAGGCAGGAAACAGCCCTCCTCCGGCCCAGAGCCGCCGCGGCTGACGGATCATTTGGTGGAAATGATTTTTAGCTGCTAGAAACCCAGAGTTGCCCAAGTGACAGCTGCGTTTCTGAGTTTGTAGGTAATGATTCAAACTTAATTCTGCAGAGCAGTTTAAGTCCGTTTTCGCTGTGAGCTCTGCCACCCATGGCTGCGGTGCTTGGACCACAGTCCTGAAGAGTTTAAAGTCCATCCAGACTCCCAGAGCCAGGAGCCTCAGACCCGCTCCAGGCACCCGGCTTTCCATGAGCTCCAGAGGCAGATCGGCCACATCACAGACGTGTGTCTGTGTGAGCACCTCTGCTCCTGACGACAGGGTGGGGGACTGCGGGCCGGGTCAGTCCCACTTCCAGGTCAGAAAGGGCCGACTGCTATCAGCCTTTGCCCTGCAATGTCAGGAGGCTGCCCGTGTATTCTAAAGAGGGTCAGCTCAGAGAGGACCCAGCTGACGTTGCCCTGGTGGGGTCCGCGGGAGAGCGTAGCCAGGCCGAGGGCCGACTCCGGAGAGCAGGACGAGTCGCCTGGGCCCTCAGCGGAGACAAGCGCGGTGGCCTCTTTCCGCGGCCCCCATGCAGAGCCGGCCCTGCCTCCCTTAGGCTCCGCCAACGCCTAGAGCTCCTCGTGGGTGACGGCGGGGCTCAGCCGCCCCCGAAGGACATCGTGGGGGTGGGACCAGCGCCCGCCCCGTGCCTCTGCATGCTTCAGGCTGCTGCGCCGCACATCAGAGAGAACCGTGCTGGGGCTGGTGGGTGCCCTGAGACACTGGAGGGGAGGGAACGGAAGTAGAAGGTTGTTCTCGGCCTGCGATCACGCGCGGGCAGGTCTGACGTGGCGTAGACCCCGGGTCCTTCCTGTTTATGGGTGTAATGTAGTTTATGGGTTTAATGTGGATATGTTATCACAGTTTGTAAGCTCGGATGTCTGCCAAAATGTCTGGAACACCCAAACTTGATTAGACCAACCGCGTTGGGGGGTTCCAAGGAGGGACGATGTCACGAGCCAGGCGCGCCGACCTCCAGGAGAGCCAGACACAGGTGGATGCCGTCGAGGGACTGTAGAAAGAGGATTCCCCAGTCAGCTCAACCCGCTGGCTGAGACGCAGACTTGAGAGGATAAGACACTGCCACTCAGAAAGGGGCCCGGAGTTGGCCGCCAACCTCGACGCTGGAGGAACCATCCCCGGAGACCCAAGGTCTCCCGCAACCTCCCTGTGCCTTATCGGTGTGAGAACTTGACCTTTCCCTAATGGTGAAAATGAGAAGCTGTGTGCAGTGTGACTGGGATAAACACCTACACTTGTTAGGAATTGTTTGTGCCAAGAAACCGTGGGATTCAGGCATTAAGCCACAGTGTCTCTCGTCCTCTGCCACTTCACCCGCTGCGCACGCTGCTGCCTCTCTAAATTGTTCCGCGCGTGGATCCCGGCACGTGCCAGGCGTCCCCTTGGAGTGCCCGTGCCCAGTCGGCAGCGGGGGCCTTGCTGAGGAGCTGGTGCTGCTGCCGGCCTCGCTTTCCGGTCCTGACTCCATGCCCAGGCCCGCCGGGCGTCGGCCGTGACCACAGGTGACATTCACGCAGCAGCCAGCGTCCTGGTGCCTGCCCGTCTGTCCCTGCTCCTCCCCAGCCCTCCCTCAACCCAGGGCTGGGGCCGGGACCGCGGAGGGGCTGACGGGAAGGGCGGCCGTCACCGCAGACAGGTGCAGACTGGAGCGACCAGTCTCAATCACACCAACCAGCCCAGGGGGAGGTTCTGAGCATTTGGTTGGCTTTTTGGAACTGGAAACACGCGTTCCCACAGAAGCACTGCTGTACAAATAGCGTTCCCAGCTTCTCCCCAAACACACACACCCTTGGAGAAGGTGTCCCGGGCAACAGCACTGCTGCCTCTAACTCCTGGAGCCACCCCCTCTCCTGACTCCTTCAGGGGAGAAGGCGGCCGTCCCCTGGGGGAGAAGGTGGCCGTCCCCTGGGGGAGAAGGCGGCCGTCCCCTGGGGGGGAAGGCGGCCGTCCCTTGGGGGAGAAGGTGGCCGTCCCCTGGGGGAGAAGGTCGCCGTCTCTTGAGGGGGAAGGTGGCTGTCCCTTCGGGCAGAAGGGTGGCAGTCCCGCCGAGAGCCCCATTCTCTCCTTTGTCCTGTCAGGGCGGTGATGACTTCTGCCCACACGGCAGGAAAGGACAGAGAGGCTTCCACCCGCGGTCTGAGGGGCTGTGTCAGGAGGCGTGAATCCGCACCCTGGTGCCTGGCTGGATGGGGGGCAGGCGGGATCCCTGGATCTTGGGGTGAGGGGAGGCCCTGACTTCACTGGCTCGGGCTGGACCTCAGGTGGTCTGGGCCACTGGTCTGTGGCTGTGTGAGTGGCCCAGCCCATCTGGTGCTGCTCAGGACATGATTGGTCGAGTGATCACCTACGAGGGCGCGGGCAGAGCTGGGGATCCCGCTGGGGAGGCAGCAGCTTCTCACACGCAGCGCCGCGTCTCTGCCCCACAGCCGGCGCCCACCCCAGCGACTCGGGTCCTTGGGTGTTGGACTGGACTGCAAGGCGGTGGCCCCGGCCTACAGACAGCGCTTCCCAAAGCAGGCAACTGGACCTAGAATTTCAGAGACCAGAGTTGGGTGCAGTTAGGGGTCCCAGCCCAGCTCCTCACTTGCAGATGGAGATGCTGAGTTCTGGAAGGTTCTGTGCTTTGCCCAAGACCCCCACCAGCTGTGGCAGAGCCCTCACTTTCACCGGTTCTAGACTCTGGCTCTTCTGAAGGCCCTGGGATCCCTGTGCCCTGCGCGGGGGGTACAGCCTGCATGTCGATGTCAGGCGCCCGCCCAGTGACTTGGGGCAGAGGTTGGTGTTTCGGTGGCTCTGACGCCCAGCCTGTGCCCGGCATGGAGCTTGGGTTAGTGACGCATGGACAGGTGCTGGCACCCCTTTGAGAAGCAGCTGTGCAGGGCACAGGTCCTCCCTTCAAATGCCTCTGGAAGTAGCTGGGGGCGGGCATGGGCGGACATGAATTCAGACTGGATGCCCTCTGGAACAGCCGCGTCTCCAGCCACTGTGGGCACGAAGGGACGGGTGCTCCCAACATGCAGCTGTGTCTGAGGATGAACTTCAACCCGGGTATCTCCAGCAGCGCACATGCTGTTAGCGGCTTGGAGCACAGGGTCCCCCACTGGCTGGCCCAGGAAGGGGGCAACCCCAGCCCTTCTGAGGATGAGGGACCCCTGTTTCTGGCCTATGTTGCCTGCTACTGGGAGGGCAGCGTCTTCGCCATGGTGGACTTTGCCTTTATCCTGGACACAAATGTCACAGCTGCCCTTAGGGAGGTGCGTGGAGCCTCCCCACCCCCCGCCCAACGCACCACAGGAGAGGCCCCAGCTCCACCTAGGCCATGTCCCGCTCGGGTCCTTCCCTCCAGCCTGTGGCTGTGTGAGGCAGGGGTGCATCCGACGGCCACTCGCCAGCCACCCCCATCCCCACGAGGATGCCACCGCCACTCCAGGAGCCAGGACACCAGCTGCACAGAGTGCGAGGCAGGTACCCACATCCCAAGGGCCCCGCCTGCAAACCAGCTCCGAAGGCAGCAGACGCCCAGCGCGGAAGGTGCCGGAAAGAGTCTCAGGGATGTGTGCCTGATGCATGTTTATGCTGCATGAAAAGGAAAACATTTCAAACCCCAAACAACCTTCACCTTTATCTAAATCTGGAAAAGTGTATTTTTTCATTTGTTCAGAAAGAGCATCTCTCAGAGGCAGCCTCGGCTGTCACTCGATATTAAACTGTCAGAAAGAAACTCCAGCCTCATAGCTCAATAAACCATGCGGAACAAAAAAGAAATCACAGGCTCTTTTATAGATTTTACAAAAGCAAGATGATGCTTTTTTTCAGGATACAAAAATCCCTTTTTTCTCTTTTAAGAAAACACAGTGTATAAAATCATGGTGCTAAGAATCAGATCAACAGCCTGGATTTTAATGTGGGGGAAGAGCATTCAGCAGAGAAATCCTTTTCTCCCCAAACGAGAGCTGCGGACACCAGAGACAGTCCCGGGGCACCAGACATGTCGCGGCTTCTGGAGCACGTTCTGGACTCTGGCTCTGGCGGGGGAGAGCCCCCTGGCTGTGATGACCCCCGGCTGACAAAGAGGACAGCCCCTGGGCCTGGGAGGCGAAGGCTCCGCCGGGTCTTCCTGAGCACCTGGTGCCCCCGTTCTGGAGCCCCCCAACCCCCGAACGTTTATGCAGCAGCAGGAGGGCAGGTCCCTGCACACGGTCCCGGTCACCACGGTCTCTGTCACCACGCTCCCTGCGGGTCCCGCTGTCCTACTAGACCCGTATGTGGCATCCGTGTCTACCAGACGCCCATGTGGCATCCGTGTCTACCAGACGCCCATATGGCATCCGTGTCTACCAGACGCCCATGTGGCATCCGTGTCTACCAGACACCCATATGGCATCTGTGTCCATTAGACCCCCATATGGCATCCGTGTCTACCAGACGCCCATGTGGCATCCGTGTCTACCAGACGCCCATGTGGCATCCGTGTCTACCAGACGCCCATGTGGCATCCGTGTCTACCAGACGCCGTATGTGGCATCCGTGTCTACCAGACGCCCATATGGCATCCGTGTCTACCAGACGCCCATGTGGCATCCGTGTCTACCAGACACCCATATGGCATCTGTGTCCATTAGACCCCCATATGGCATCCGTGTCTACCAGACGCCCATGCGGCATCCGTGTCTACCAGACGCCCATGCGGCATCCGTGTCTACCAGACGCCCATGCGGCATCCGTGTCTACCAGACGCCCATGCGGCATCCGTGTCTACCAGACGCCCATGCGGCATCCGTGTCTACCAGACGCCCATGTGGCATCCGTGTCTACCAGACGCCCATGTGGCATCCGTGTCTACCAGACGCCCATGTGGCATCTGTGTCCATTAGACCCCCATATGGCATCCGTGTCTACCAGACGCCCATGTGGCATCCGTGTCTACCAGACGCCCATGTGGCATCCGTGTCTACCAGACGCCCATGCGGCATCCGTGTCTACCAGACCCCCATGCGGCATCCGTGTCTACCAGATGCCATGTGGCATCCGTGTCTACTAGACCCCCATATGGCATCCGTGTCTACCAGATGCCCATGTGGCATCCGTGTCTACCAGATGCCCATGTGGCATCCGTGTCTACCAGACGCCATGCGGCATCCGTGTCTACCAGACGCCATGCGGCATCCGTGTCTACCAGACGCCATGCGGCATCCGTGTCTACCAGACGCCATGCGGCATCCGTGTCTACCAGACGCCATGCGGCATCCGTGTCTACCAGACCCCCATGCGGCATCCGTGTCTACTAGATGCCCACGTGGCACGTCAGCACCTGGCGCCCGGAGTGGCTGGGGTCTCTGTGAACGGAAGTGGTGTGTGGCCATACATGAGAAATGGTTGGACCCCTCCTTGCCAGGCTCAAGGTGTCCTTGGAGGCTGGCAGCCCCGGCCAGAACCGTGCAAATTTTTCCAAGGTGGCGCTGCCTCACAGGTGCCTGCACATTCCAAAGACTCAGAGAACCGCATGCGGCCCCCTCAGCTGCACGGGGGATGGGGAGACCCGCAGGGAGCGTGGCGACAGGGACTGTGGCGATGGGGAGCGTGGCGACGGGGAGCGTGGCGACGGGGAGCGTGGCGACGGGGACCGTGGCGACGGGGAGCGTGGCGACGGGGACCGTGGCGACGGGGAGCGTGGCGACGGGGACCGTGGCGACGGGGAGCGTGGCGAGAGGGAGCGTGGCGAGGGGGAGCATGGCGACAGGGAGCATGGTGACAGTGACCATGGCGACAGGGAGCGTGGTGACGGGGAGCATGGTGATGGTGACATGTCTGCTGCCCAGTCGGCCTCCAGTCCTTGAGCCTTGGAGGGGCCAAGGGATGAAGGGGGACGACGGTGAGCTCCACCTGTGCCCAGCCCAGCGGGAAGGAAGGAGGGAAGGAGAGCGGTGGGGTCAGTGGTGGGGCAGCAGCTTCCTGGCCTGTTCCTGGCTCTTTCCTGGGTATCTCGATGCTGCGCTTTGATTGTAAATGGTCCAGCACAAAGGTGGAGACGGGCAGCCCTGGCCTGCTCGCCCAGCGGATGAGACCATCTCAGGGGCTGGCAGTGGGGAGGCAGGCGCTGCCTGGCTGGGCCCGCCCTGGATGCAGCTTCTCCACGATGCCCGGCCACGGCACAAAGGACAAGAAACACGTTTGTTCTGAGTCTCTCAAATAGGCATTCTGGAACATTCCCTTCCACCTGACTCTCCCCAGTTCCTAGTCCCCATCGACACACCTCACTGAGGGCCCCAGACTCCTGGAGAGCCATGGGCTGGGCTCTGGTGCTCTAACCAGATCCATCAACTCCAGCACTTTTAGGAAGAGACCCCCCGGGGCAGAGTTCCTGGGTGAGGGCTACCCCGCTCCCTGGCCTGGACCCTGCCCACTCCAGGTCCTGCAGCTGCCATGGGGCGATGCCGGTGGCTCTGGGCCTGGGCTGCAGCCGCTTGGTTCACGTTCCGGAGGCCCCGGCTCAGCGCCGGGCAGTGGCTCACGGTGTTCTGAGCAGGCGTTCTGGGCAAAAGCGCCTGCTGGGTAGCGCGGCTGAGGCCTGAGGGTGGGTGGTGCTGAGGTGTGTGCAGAGCTGCCTGGGCTGAGTCCCCGGTGCAGGCGGGCAGTGTCTGCAGCGAACGGAGGCCATTTCGAGTTCAGGTTCCCACAGCCAGAACAACCCTTCCCTGAGGCCGGCCTGTGTGCTCAGAGGTCAGAGTTGCAGGCCCTGGCATCTGCTCTCCGCATGAGGCCCAGAGGCCACAGCACACGTGTCTGGGATCGCCCAGTCCCACCTGGGACAGAGGAGCCTGTGACCCCCGCTGTGCAACCTGCCTCCTGCCCTCGAAGCCATGCGTGGGTGCAGTGCCTTCCCCGACGCCTCCTTCCAGGGGTGCGGACTCTGCGGCGGAGTCTGCAGGCTGTTTGAGCTCCCTCCCGAGCCCCCACTTCTCCAGCCTGTCATAGCCCTGCGGAGGGTCCGAGAGGCAACTTCTGCCAGCGTTTAACACAGCTGAGAGAACACAGAAACTTCTCTTTTTTCATTTTTCCAGAAAGCAAACCCAAGTACTCTTGTCCCTGGCCCAAAAAACCTTCCCAGGACCACCACCAATTCCAGAGTGCAGGCCCAGATGCCCCTGCCAGCGTGTACCAAGTGTGAGTTTACCCATCGGGAGGGGCCTTTCGCAGGGTCTCTGCAGCGTCTGTCCCCCCACCCCTCAGTGTCGTGTGGCAGGAACCCCACCTGCGTCCTGGGCGCCCCCTTCCCAGTCGAGACCCCACTCAGGAGCACCTCGGGTTGCCTGCCCGCTGGGTCCGTCCGAGCCTGGCCCCTCGAGGGAGCTTGCTTGAAAGATGCACTGTTTTAATTAACTAGAAAAATGTTTCGCTTTGGCTTTTCAGTAAATATTTCATTAGTAGTGGCGGCGACGTCAACAATACTTCCGGCTGAGGGGCTTTCTTCCTCTAGGGAGCGTTAAAGAAGAGCTGCATATTCTATGCAGCTTCCCTGGAGTTTATGTTCATCCAGAGGCCCATCCAGAGGACAAGACGCCAGGAAAACTGCAACAGAGACAAGGAAAAGCGTGGAGGATTCACCCTGCGGCCCGGACATGTCCGTCCCTGCCAGCCGCAGTGAGGGCAGGTGCACAGGAGAGGCCTCCGGACACGTCCGTCCCTGCCAGCCGCAGTGAGGGCAGGTGCACAGGAGAGGCCTTGGCCTGCAGCGGACGCCCAGGACTTCCTTCCACCGGAGCCGGCCTGGCCTGCAGGGAGCAGCATCTCTTCCTGCCCAGAGGCAGCCCGGGCCTCCCAGAAGCCAGGGAGGGGCTGGGGCTAGAGTGTCGGGCCCCCATCCATCACATCAGCCATGCCATCTCTTCTGTCTCATGCCCAGCAGTGGCCTCGGAAGGCTGACCCAACCAGCAGGCCTCGGGGACCCGCCCTGCTCCATCCCGGCCCTGCCGCCAGCACCATTGGCTGCCTGAAACTCCTGGTCCCCCTGCAGCCCTTGCTGTCTTGAGCCACCTGCAGCTGAGCTGCCTCTTGGCTCCCGACTTCCCCGCCACAGTGACCCTGACTAACCAGGCTGCCCGGGCATGGTGCATACTGAGAGCTCTGGGACCCCCGAGCCTTCCCGGCCCCGTGCCTCCCCCGCCTCCTAGGCGCCCCTCACGTCACCTGTGGGTGCAGCTCAGACCCAGGCACAGCAGCTGCGTCGTGCGTTTGGGCCTGCTCGAGCCCTGCTGGGCCTTGTCTCTGCCCTTGCACAGGCCGGGTTTGGCAGAGGCTCCACTGGAAGCCAAGTGGGAACCTCTGGAGGCGTCCACCGCAGTCTTCACTGCACCTCCATCCTGACGTGTCCTGCCGGGTGGCCTTGGTTGCTGGATGTGGCCTCCTGGTGTCTTAGACCAGAGGGGCCTGCAGAGCCCACCGTGGCTGTCACCCCACGGTCCTGGCAGTTGTGGGTTTCTGGACAGGGTGAGGACGCTCACATCAGACAGGCAGCAGCCCGAGGCCTGGAGCCCTGGGGTGGGGGTCCTTGCTGGAGGCAGGGCCAAGCGTGGTGAGGGCTGGAGCCTTCTCCTCCCACCTGAGCCTCACACATCCCAATGCCCCGAAGTATCTTTTTTGTCAAGGTTTCTGGACCCTGTGTCACCTGCGTGGCTGCAGCCATCTGGGTGCTGTGCCGTGGTCTGGAGTTTGTGCCAGGAGCGTGTGGCGCGCTGTTGAAGGGATGTTCAGGGCTCTGTGCTCCCTGGTCGACCCTGGAACATGGTGGATATGCCAGCTGATCCCGAGCTCCGTCTCTCAACACTTCTCCCAGGGGCAGAGAGGAACATGCGGGTGCCCGGGGCTGGGCCCCACCCCTCAACACCTGTCACCCCACTCTGCCCCACAGCCTTAATAAGGGGGTCCCGCTCACTGTAGGGACTGTCAGGCAGTCAGAGAGTGAGGCCTATGCCCTCCACGCCGGGCCCAGCTCAGGCACCTCTGCCAGGTGACATCACAGAGGCCACCACGCAGCCCCCGTGCCGCCCGCATGTGCCACCGGCTGCTGGCGAGACCCTGCCCTCCCCGCACAGTGACACAGGTGAGTGCCAGTCTCTGGGCGGCTCCACACGGCGGCTGCTTTCTTCCTCGGCTTCCTCATTCTTCCTCGGCTTCCTCATTCTTCCTCGGCTTCCTCATTCTTCCTCGGCTTCCTCATTCTTCCTCGGCTTCCTCATTCTTGGACCTTGAGTTTTGTCGTCTTCCTGTTTCTTCATCAATTGCCCCAGATCCCTTCCTAATAACAACTGGTTTCAATAACCCAACAGGTGCTACATTTATTTTGTTGATTCTCTGAAGACCCCGTTATTCCTCCTGCTAAACGCCATCCCAGAGCTTCACAAACATCTGTGTGTCCATGTTTTGCACGCAGGGGCTCTCTGGGAATGTCTGTGGCCTGCAGGTCGCACACCTCCGTGGCAGCCCGTCGCTGGCCACCCCACACGCGCGCCGTCTGGTGCTTCCAGACCACCTGCGATGGGAAAACCGTGGCTTTGGGGATGAGCAGACCTGGCGCAGTGCAAACCCCTGACCCATCTTCACTGTGGGTTTTTTATTGTGACGAGCGCTGGTGCCCAGCAACCCCAGGCAGGGTCGGTGCCCGGCCCACACGAGGGGACAGTCAACGCCCGATGCTGTCTCTTGACTTCATTTGGGCCACAGCCCCAGAAAGACCGACCTCAAAGACAGCCTTGGGGCAAAGGGCGGGTAACGGTCGGCGGGGGGCACCCTGGGTGGTCCCTCCTCCTCCCCCATCTTTCCATCACCCACAGAACGCGTCGCAGGAACGAGAGGCCGACCACGCTGTTTTCCTTTCCAGTTTTGAGCCCCTCGCGTTTTCAGCTTGGAAACGTGAGTGTGAAGGAACAGCAAGGGCTGGACTGGGGCACCGACGCTCGGCCGCTCGCTCAGAGCCATGACGTCATGGGGCTGCTGAGTCACCGCGCGTAATTCACGTGAGTGCACGGAGAGGAACTGTGGCTCCTCTAACCAACCCATCACCTCGGCGAGTGCAGGGCAGGCCCCGGACGTTGACCCTCCCGCTCCTTAGGGCACCAGTACCCGCTTCCGGTGCCGCCGTGCCAGGCCTCCGAGAAATTGCCGCCCATGGAGACGCGGCACTCAGATAAGCTGAAGAGCCCCACGTGCTACTGGGGACAGCATTTGCCACGGGAGCCAGGGTCACCTCGATAATAGAAAACCCCAGGGCCACCCCATAATAGAAGACCCCAGGGCCACCCCATAATAGAAAACCCCAGGGTCACCCCGATAATAGAAAACCCCAGGGTCACCCCGATAATAGAAGACCCAGGGTCACCCTGATAATAGAAGACCCCAGGGTCACCCCATAATAGAAAACCTTGCCCTGTTTTAGCAACGCTGCAATACTGATGGTACATTATTTCCATCACATATAAAACCCAGGTTTTACAAATGTACCTAAGACGTAAGGATGTTTTTTACTTAAGTCAGGAGCTAAACATCAGTTTGCACAAAAGCACCTCACGGAAAGGTTGACCCTGATTTTGGCTCCTGGCAGCTGCCCCTGCAGGTTTGCCCCCGTACTTGCCCCGCCAGTGTCCTCGCGCCCTGAGATTCTCCAGATCCCTCCTCACTGCCCTCGGTCACGGTTCACAGGCCCCTTCGGAGAGGAAGGGATTCCACAGAGACTCAGCCTTGCAGCAGCTGCCTGTGCCTACAGTGTGGTTTGAAGGGAGAGGTTCACCATTTGTGAAGATGGCGGCTGGGCCCAGTGCATCTCTGGGGGCTCGGGCAGCCAGTGCTGCCATGAGAACTATCTCTGGAGGACACACAGGAGGCCTGGACTCTGAGGTAAGGGGCTGCCAAGCTCAGACCAGAGGAACCCCCACACTGCAGAGGCCACCTGACAATGCTAATGTCCACTTGAACAGCAGTGAGACATCACGCACGCTAACACATTGCACACTAACACACATCACACACGAAAACACATCACACAAGCACACATCACGCACGCTAACACACATCACACACTAACACACATCACACACTAACACACATCACACGTGCTAAAACACATCACACAAGCACACATCACACACACTAACACATCACACACACGAAAACACATCACACAAGCACACATCACACACACTAACACATCACACACACAAAAACACATCACACAAGCACACATCACACACGCTAACACACATCACACACTAACACACATCACACACTAACACACATCACACGTGCTAAAACACGTCACACAAGCACACATCACACACACTAACACATCACACACACAAAAACACATCACACAAGCACACATCACACACGCTAACACACATCACACAAACACACATCACACACACTAACACATCACACACACAAAAACACATCACACAAGCACACATCACACACGCTAACACATCACACAAACACACATCACACACACGAAAACACATCACACAAGCACACATCACACACGCTAACACACATCACACACTAACACACATCACACGTGCTAAAACACATCACACAAGCACACATCACACACACTAACATCACACACACGAAAACACATCACACAAGCACACATCACACACGCTAACACACATCACACACTAACACACACATCACACACTAACACACATCACACGTGCTAAAACACATCACAAGCACACATCACACACACTAACACATCACACAAGCACACATCACACACGCTAACACACATCACACACTAACACACACATCACACACTAACACACATCACACGTGCTAAAACACATCACACAAGCACACATCACACACACTAACAATCACACACACGAAAACACATCACACAAGCACACATCACACACGCTAACACACATCACACAAACACACATCACACATGCTAACAGGTAACACATTAACACATCACACACTAACACATCACACATGCCAAAACACATCACACATACTAACACACCACACCAACACACACCACACCCACCAACACACACCACACCCACTAACACACATCACACATGCTAACACATCACACACGCTAACACCACAGGCGGATGCAGGAACAACAGGCTCCTGCGGCCCAGCCTGAGCCAGCAGCTGGGCATCTCTGAGCCGGAGACCAGCTCCCACCGTGCCTTTCCCTGGCCCAGGCACCAGCAGCAGCCCTCAGAACCTGAGGCCCAGACCGGTGGGTGCAGCCTGGTCCCAGTGCTGCGGCACCCACAGCTGTGAGACAGACCTTCGGGGAGGGACCTCCAGCCGGCCCACGCGCCTCACACTGGACAGAGGGGAGTGTCCCTGGACACAGACCCCCGGCTCTGAACTGGACACAGGGAACATCTCCGGACACAGACCCCCGGCTCCAAACTGGACACAGGGAACATCTCCGCACACACCCCCCGGCCCTGAACTGGACACAGGGAACATCTCCGCACACAGACCCCCTGGCCCCGAACTGGACACAGGGAACATCTCCAGACACAAACCCCCGGCTCTGAACTGGACACAGGGAACATCTCCGCACAGACCCCCTGGCCCTGAACTGGACACAGGGAACATCCCTGGACACAGACCTCCTGGCTCTGGGCTGCATGATGAGGGACAAAGGCAGCCACCTCTGGTTCCTAAGGCGGAGGAGCCGCTGGCGTTCCCAGCACTGCCGGAGCTGGGGTGGGCTGCAGGGGCAAGGACCGCCCCGCCTGACCCCGCTGGAGAAGGCAGGCCGCACGGACCACAGAAGCGGCAGCATCGCGCTGGCCGTTTTCAGGCTGAAGGCAGGAGGGCATCCCAGGGATTTGCTTTTTGAAGCCGAGTTGTGTTGATTTGAAGCCACTTTCTCTTCCACGCTGTTTGTATCCACAGAACAGGCCGTCAGCCCAGAGGTGTCACCACGCACCGCCTGCCCCAGGCCCTGCCCCGTGCCGCACCCAGTGCTATGAGGAGTGCTAAGTATTGCCTCCTGAAGACAGGACTCTCGGGCTGCTCTCAGGAGGGAGTGTGTGCGGGGCTCGGGCGGTGGCAGCCGCTGAGCAGGGACTTCCCGGCCTTCCCTGCATTGGGGAGGCTGCATGGGCGTGTCTGGCCAACGGAACCTGACTTCCCGAGGTCCATTATCTCAGGTCCAGCCCCCAGGAGCCCTCCTAGCACCCCACCTCCTTCTCTTTCCTCCTCTGCTGACCTGGAGCAGAGGGGCCGGGGAGGAGCCCCAGGTGCCGGGGACAGGAGCCCTGTGCAGACCAAAATATTTTAAAGTTTTCTACTTCCTGCCCTGGGTCTGGTTCTGGGCCACTCCCGTGTGGGAGAGTCACGCCCTTGGTGGCCTGAGGGCGTCACTCACATTCAAGTGTGGGTAACTGGAAGGCTGGCTGGCGCCCTGAGAGAGGGTGGGGCCTGGCTGTCTCATGACCTCTGCAGGGACAGGGCCAAAGGGTTTTCTCCTGACACGTCAGTTTCTCTGGAGAAGAATCTGGCCCCTTCCTGCCTAGGAAAGATGGTGCTGCCTCTGTGTCAGCATGGGCCTCTCCTGGCCCTCCCCACGGCTGCTGTCTCAGAAACCACAGCCCCCAGGACCATTTTTCTCAGGTTAAACCTCCTTCCAAGGCGGGAGTGGGCATTCACAGACATGCTCTCCTGACTCTGAAGTTGGGGAAAGAGCCGTTCTCCTTCAGGCTTATTCTGTTCATGGTAATCACAGCCACATTGAGCCCCAGACATTATCATGCTTCTCTGCTTCTTCCCAAAGTGCGCTGAGGCTGCGGCTCGCAGTGGCGTGAGGGTCGTACCCATCTGCAGGGGCCTGGTGCAGCCCATACCTGATGTTTGCGTCCAGGCAGGCCGTTTGTGCTGGCGTGAGATGGACTCCAGCGAGGCTGTTGTGCTGGGCTTGGGAGTGTGACCTCGGTTGGAATTGCAGAGTCAGTCTGAGAGAATCTGTGCCTGGAGTCCAGGAGAGTGCAGGGGGATGCTTTGTCCACCCTGTGGCTCAGCCTGGCCCTGTGGGTCAGGAGATGTTCCCAGCTGCCGTGCAGTGAGCTAGGGGCCCCTCGAGTACACTCTGGGCAATGTCCGGGTGAGTAGCCCTTCCCCGCCCAGCTCCCGGGCAGCTGCTGAATCTCTTCCCAGGGCTCAGGCTGCTGTGTCCAGACCAGGACCCGGGTTTGGAGCAGAGCAAGCACTTTCGCACTGGATCTTCCAGAATTGCGGGGCCCGGCCTGACACTCAGCCTGTGGCTCTGTGATGTGAGCCGCCACCCCCTCACCAGATCGGGCTCTGCAGCAGTAGGCTCCTCTGAGACCCTCTCTCACAGGCCCGGGGGGCCCGGCCCTCTTTCCCTCCGCATCACCGAGGGAGGTGTGAGAGAGACGCTCCTGGGGGCCCGGCCCTCCTTCCCTCCCCGTCACCGAGGGAGGTGTGAGAGAGACGCTCCCAGATGGTGGCCCAGTGCCGGTCCTCCTGGTCTCGTCCAAACACCTCGCACACCACAGCTGCCCTGACGCTCGGAGCACGGCTGGCGGGACCCTCCAAACATGGTCCCGAGGCAGGGTCTTACCCATCCACCACTCCTGGGATGTGAGAGAAAGGGGAGGCCGGTCTAACCCAATATGTAGATTAAAGGAAAACATTCTAGGCAAGGACAGAGCACTTAGGAGGCTGGGAAACTTTCAGGAGAGAAAGATGAAGCTACGTTCATCAGTGTTGTAAATGTGAATGCTCTTCCTTCATTTTAAGCCTACTGGGTTGTTTTTTTCCACTTTTTTCTTTTGATGACAAGCATTCAGTTGCCGTCTCTCTCAAGTCCTAAGTGTGGGAAACATAACTAAGGCCGTCCCGTGATTACGGACAATTCTTCAGCTTACTGACAATCTGCCCCTCTGTTTCCAGCCCCTCTTTCCAGGGAGGTGCCAGCTGTGCCTAGGCTGTGGGGCTCCCTTTCCTGGGACCCTTGGCCTCTGGGTCAGGTTTGCCCAGAACCCCCGGACTTCCTGCCTCTGCCCAATAGAGGCCGCGGGGGTGGGGCTGTGTTTGGGAAGGTGCCCGGCCCTCTGCCTTGTTCCCAGACTGACTCTGACGTCACCTGGGCCTGGTGGGCATCTCCAGGCTGCCGCCCGGCCGATCTGGGTCCAGGCCTCTGTGCCGACTCACTTGTCCCACACCCTGGCTCTCAAAGGCCACCCAGGCCCTGGGAGGCCAGCTGTGCCCTGGTTCCTTGCCTCAAAGCCTGGCCTGGGTGTCCCCTCCAGGACAGCTTCCTCCCCAGGGACTGGCTGTCACCACTGCCGGCAGGTGAGATTCCTCTCCCTCTGCCATGTGCCTGGCTGGGGGCTGGGAGGGGAACAGGGACCTGGCAGGCAGGAATGTCCCATGTGACCGAGCGCCCTGGGCCAACTGGGACATAAAACCTCGGCCAGCCCCTCCCAAGAGTGGAGGCCCAGGAGCCATTCAGTTGGCCCTGGGTGAAGGTAAACTGAGGCCCGTGTGCTGGGAAGCCCCAGCCATCTCAGATCGGGTTCCGACTGTCACCCCTGTATGATGTGAAGGTACTGTGAATCCTGGGGAGCTCATTTCCTTTCCCCCAAATGTCACCTGCTCCCACCCTGAGCCCCCTGTGCCCCCACGGCAGGCGTGGCTCCTCACCCCCAGGGAGACGCCAAATCCTCCTGTGAGGTGTGCTGAGCCACATTGAGTGTCCCAGGGTCCCAGAGCCTTCTGGACAGCCAGGCAGGCGCGGCTGCTCACTGGGCTGTGGAATGAGCCGGGGCCCTGGCTGCGCTCTCCCTCGGGCCCTCCTCACGGCGCAGGACGACGTCCACCTGAGACCGCAGAGTACGTGGTCGTCAGAAGCTAAACCCTTGCCTGGCCCAGGGAAGGCCTGATGGACTCTTCGTCCTGTGGGGACCACGTGTCCACGGGAGGTCACTTGTCCACAGGAGGTCACTTGTCCACGGGAGGTGGCCTTGTGTGAGTGGAACTGTGTCCCTGGTTCCCGTCTCTCGCTCTTGGGTGTGGCCTTCCTGGCAGACAGGACCTTTCCGAAGGCAAGTGGGTTAAAGTTTAGTCATGGGGTGAGCTCTGGTCCAGCATGACTGAGGTCCTGAAGGAAAGGGACATGTGGACACAGACATGCACTGAGAGGAACGCTGTGGGGACGTGAGGACCCTTCCCAGCCCTGCGGGCACCTTGATCTCAGGCTTGCAGCCTCTGGGGCTGTGAGAGGACAAGGCCTGTGGCCTACGCTGCTGTGCAGACTCCCATCTGGATAGCCAGACCATCTCCTCCAGGGTCCGGAGGAAGCCCCGAGCCACACCAGACCCCCAGATGCTTCTGCGGCAGAGGGAAGTCCCTAAGAAGCTTGTCACCCGGTGAAGGCCTGGTCCATCCTTGGCCACGAGCCAGAGGCTCTGCCCAGGACCCTCTTTCTGGTCCCAGCTGGCACGGAGGAGGAGAGCAACCACAGCTGACACTCCCACAAAACCCTGTGTCTCCAGGTGAGCCTGGTGTAGTGTGGGGCGGGAGGGGCCTGGCTGGGAACAAGGGGGATGACTTCCACAGCCACCTCTGGGTGCAAAGCACAGTCTCTGATTCCCGGTGTCTGCCCAGGAGATGCAAAAGGCAGATGTTGTCTGCAAACCGCAGGACTTTCCTGCACTGAATTGGATCGGGCTCTGGAGACCTGGAGGGACCTGCCCAGGAGGGGATCTCCTCGCATGGTGGCAGGAATCTCCCAGATATTAAATGCAAAATCTTAATAGTCATGTTTTTCACATCAGAGGAGAAAAGCCGTGTTTGGGATTGGTTTTTGCTCCAGGAAAATAGATAGTTGAGCACTTATGTCAACAGGAAAAGGACCCCAGCAAACAGGCCCCAGATGCAGAAATGGGTTCTCTGTCAGGAGACCGTCCCCCGTCAGGCGCTGGATCAGTCAGGAGACCGTCCCCCGTCAGGCGCTGGATCACTCAGGAGACTGTCCCCTGTCAGGCGCTGGATCACTCAGGAGACCATCCCCTGTCAGGCGCTGGATCAGTCAGGAGACCGTCCCCTGTCAGGCGCTGGAGCTGCCAGTGTGGGCTGAGCTGGCGCGTCGAGGTGTGGGAAGCAGCCCAGGCTGTGGTTTCCAGGACACACCTCACGCTCGCACTGGTAATGATTTGTTTCTATTTTCTTCTTTGAAGACTCGTCCCATGCGACTTCAGATGCATGATAAGCAGTGATTTCCCTTTATCTTCTAATTTCCTCTGCTGTCATTTTGCCTGTCTCTGACAACAACCTCCACAAAAACAGAAAGGCGGGACAGTTAGGGCACGACTCATGGCCTCTGGAGGCTCCTTATGTGGGAAATGTTACGTCCAAGCCCACAGAGGGTCATTTGCAGACACAGAAGCTCTACTGTGTCTCCAGAACTGTGGCGTAGCCCCGCAACACCTGGTGGTGATGCCGCACACAGGACACCCGGCTTCGTGGGGCTTAATCCCTGGACATCCACACCCATCACGTTCCAGGCACGGCTGGAGAACTCCCACACCTGACCTGCATGCACCAGTGCTCAAGCCATCCCTTCAGAGACACGCTTGCCTGGACCCGCGGGAAAGGCTCACTGTGATGATGCAGCCTCGTCTGGGGCTAGAGGCTCCCTGGGACCAACAGCCAGTAGGGACACAGCGTGTCCTGAGCCACGGGGCCACACAGCGTGTCCTGAGCCACGGGGCCACACAGCGTGTCCTGAGCCACGGGGCCACACAGCGTGTCCTGAGCCACGGGGCCACACAGTGTGTCCTGAGCCACAGAGCCACAGTCTGTCCTGAGCCACAGAGCTACAGGACCTTGGGTGACATCTGACTCCCCCCGTCCCCAGCATTTTCTACAATGTTGCAATGAGCATCGCTTCCCACCTGAGACAAGAAATTGCTCCTGAGGAAAACAGTAGCAGGCTGCCACTTTACATGCAAACCAAGCAATGCACACAGAGGGTTTTGTTTAGTTCTGGAGGATGCATCATGGGATGCAGCATCCTGGGCTGACAGGACCTAGGGAGGGCCCACGGCTGGGGGTGCTTCCCAGGACTTCAGCCCTCCAGCTGGGTGCTACTTCGGCTCCCAACTGCCCACGTCTGGAGTCCACGCCCATGCTTCCTCTTTCATGCGCGTCCGTGTGAAGAGACCACCAAACAGGCTTTGTGTGAGCAACATGGCTGTTTATTTCACCTGGGTGCAGGTGGGCTGAGTCCGAAAAGAGTCAGCAAAGGGAGCTAGGGGTGGGGCCGTTTTATAGGATTTGGGAAGGTAATGGAAAATTACAGTCAAAGGGGGTTGTTCTCTGGTGGGCAGGGGTGGATCTCACAAAGTACATTCTCAAGGGTGGGGAGAATTACAAAGAACCTTCTTAAGGGTGGGGGAGACTACAAAGTACATTGATCAGTTAGGGTGGGGCAGGAACAAATCACAATGGTGGAATGTCACCAGTTAAGGCTGTTTTTACTTCTTTTGTGGATCTTCAGTTACTTCAGGCCATCTGGATGTATACGTGCAAGTCACAGGGGATGCGATGGCCTGGCCTGGGCTCAGAGGCCTGACATCCTCCCCCTGCCCAGTGGCCTCTGCCCAGAGAAGCTAACCAGCTAAGCAGTCACCATGCACACTGCATTTATTTTTTAAATAAATGTTTAATCTTAGGATAGCTTTAAATTTACAGAAACCCTGGAAAGATGGTGCAGAGACTTCCCATGTGCCCCGCCTCATGGAGGGGCTCTTTCGGTTGACATAACTGTGGGTGTTTTGTCTTGATTTCTTTGTTCATCTGAGCACTTCCTTGCTTTCTGGCACTACAAGATGCCCCAGTCACACCTTGTGTGTTTTTTGCCCCAGTCATAGGATCGGGAGCCCTGGCTGCTTTTACTGGAGAAGGGTGTTTGTAAGCCGAGGTCTGGGTGGTAGGGTGCTCACCCCTCCTGGGGTGTCACTGATTGCAGACCCCCTCTGCCAACAGAGCAAGTGAGTGTATGTGCATGTACCAACTGCACTCACACCTCAAACGTATGTGCGTGTACTAACCGCACGCACACCTCAAACGTCTGTGCGTGCACTAACCGCACGCACACCTCAAACGTCTGTGCGTGTACTAACCGCACTCACACCTCAAACGTATGTGCGTGTACTAACCGCACTCACACCTTAAATGTTTCCATGTGACCGTTCGTGAGCAGGCTAGAGCAGCTCCATCTCAGATGCTAGTCCAACATGTTGGCTTCTGATTAACCCCAGCTCCAGGGATGTGTAAACCAAAAATGAAGTTCTAAGTCCCTCCAACCATTTTAATGGGCCCCTCCTCTCAGCCAAGGGCATTCCAAAGTAAACCTAAAAAACCAGTTCAGGCCATGTTGGGATGGGGTGGGTTGGACGTACTCATGACACCCTCCCCCTTTTGGAATTCAGGCACAGGTGATCAACATTAATGTTAAACAGAGACCTGAAGAATTTGTAGCAGTAAAACACCAAATTCCAGCCTGACTGTAGTTTAGCATCACATGACAGAGATCAGGCCCTGAAAGAAATCAAAGTATTTTACCCTAAAATCTGTTTCTTTGACATATTTTGCAATGGCCCTGCAAAGCTGTCCCTCATGGGGAAAACCTGCATACTGTAGAGAATCCTGTTCCCTTTCCAAGTCTTTTCCCTGATCCAGGAGAGAATTAACTAAGAGTCTGGCACATTTTTAAGTCTGATAAGAAACATTTATAACCTATTGTCTCTGAAGCCAGCTACCTGGAGGCTTCATCAGCATAATAAGAACCTTGGTCTCCACAGCCCCTTATCCTAATCCAGACACTCCCTTCTATGGATTCCAGGTCTTTAGATAAACTCTTTCAACCAACTGCCAGTCAGAAAATCTTTGAATCCACCGATGAGTTGGAAGCCCCACCCCTTCCAGTTGTCCTGCCTTCCCAGACCTAACCAACTGATTGATGCCTTATGTCACCCTAAAATGCCTAAAACCACGCTATAGTCTGACCACCTTGCATACATATTCTCAGGATCTGTTGGGGCTGTGTCATGGGCCATTGGTCACTCATATTTGGCTCAGAATGAATCGCTTCAAATATTTTACAGAATTTGACTCTTTTCATTGGCAAATTCCTCTAAGATTTCTACTTTATCTACTGTTTCCATAAATCCTGCCCTCAGGTCAAAACAACCTCAATCACAATGCTGCCCTCAGGCAGATTCACAGAGCGGCCTTGCCTTTCCCTGAAGGGTTGACTTCAATTTTCCTGGAAGTCCCTTCCCTGTGGGGTAGAAGTCCCGGGTCTGCGGGGTGGTGGCTGGGGATCCACCATCTCATCATCCTGGGTCTGCGGGGTGGTGGCTGGGGATCCACCATCTCATCTGGTAGCTGCCCAGGACATTTGTTCTGTTTTTTGAGATGGAGTCTCACTCTATTGCCAGGCTGGAGTGCAATGGCGCGAGCTAGGCTCTCTGCAACCTCCGTCTCCCAGGTTCAAGCAATTCTCTTGTCTCAGCCTCCCGAGTAGCTGGGACTACAGGTACATGCCACCATGCCCAGCTAATTTTTGTATTTTTAGTAGAGATGGCATTTCACCATGTTGGCCAGGATGGTCCCGATCTGTTGACCTCGTGATCCACCCGCCTCAGCCTGCCAAAGTGCTGGGGTTACAGGCGTGAGCCACCACGCCCGGCCTAAATGTTTCTTTCTAAGAAACTGGATTTGTTAGCCTCTTTCTTTGGCCTCTCAGCTTCCTCAGCCCCAGGGGTAGCTTTGCATAGACCAGCTCACCATGGAAGAGTTTGTATCTACATGAAACTAAATTTGCACGCATGCTGAGGCTCCAGCTCTAACCCAGCACCACATGCAATTCCAGCCCCTCCTTCCTCATCTGTCACCTCCCACTGCATGGTGAGGAACCCAGCTCCCACCATCCACCATCCGTGCACTTAATTGTTCGATTCCAGTGTGCATGCACAGCAGCATCAAAACCCAATGTAAGAGTCTCCGGAATATCTTATAGTTGAAATCACAGAGCCTGTAAGTTCAGACTGGCTTCTTTCACTTAGCAAGATGCATCTAAGATTCACCCCATCTCTGCATGGCTTAATAACTTACTGCTTGACCTCGGTCCGACCACGGCCTGAGAAATGACCAGCACCTTCCTCTAACAGCCTCCGTCAAACAGCCCTTTCAGCAGAGAGCAAACCATCACTTTGCAAGTCACCAGGAGAGAGTGTCCAGGCATTGGGACTGAGCAGGACACTCTCTCTGCTGGAGCACCCTAGATTCTGGCTTCGGGATGACGGAGACTCAGGAGGTTTTACTCCCCCTCCCACCTGTTATCTGCAGAGAGCACCCTGCCCTGAACTCACCCCACCAGCTGGGGCAAGTGGTGTGAACCCCGCGAGGACGTCCCACGGCCTGTGTGACCCGGCACCCAGCAGGACGCAGGCAGCCCAGCCACTGTCACACAGTCACGGGAAAGGCCAGGGGACCTGGGGACTGTGGCCCAGAGCTGATAGCAGGAACCACCTCCGTTAGGCAGAAATGATGCACGAAGCCGCAGGTGCACTCATGGAACCAGGGAAAGTGTTCCAGTCTAAGTTTATCTGGGGGAAGTGGAGGTTATAAAACAGGAAATGTGTATAATGAAGCACTCAGATTTTAAACTGATGGCTTTGCACACCTTTTTATTAGCTAACGGGCATAAATGATGCCTCATATCTTTCCTTGTATTAATTTGTGGCATGATGTAAGTGGCTTTGGCATCTGAGGGAGAATCTGAACTCCTCTGTGTTCTGATACATGCTGTTCCCTGAGTCGACTCCCGGCTGCAGCCCTGCAGGGCAGTGCGGGGGTATTGTCTCTTCAAGCACATGGGGGTCCTGGGGAGGGGAGAGCAGCCGCCGTGTGCAGCCGTGTCTGGAAGGGTCTGGGGTGCCAGGGTCTGTCCAGCCACTGGTCAGCAGGCTTTACCAGAGGCTACTCAGACCACCCTAAAATCAGGAGAGGACAGCCAGGCGCAGTGGCTCATGCCTGTAATCCCAGCACTCTGGGAGGCCGAGGTGGGTGGATCATGAGGTCAGGAGTTTGAGACTGGCCTGGCCAATATGGTGAAACCCCGTCTCTACTAAAAATACAAAAATTAGTCGGGCGTGGTGGCGCATGCCTGTAGCCCCAGCTACTTGGGAGGCTGAGGCAGAAGAATGGCTTGAACCTGGGAGGTAGATGTTGCAGTGAGCCGAGATCGTGCCACTGCACTTCACCCTGGGTGACAGAGCGAGACTCTGTCTCAAAAAAAAAAAAAAAATCTGGAGAGGACATCAGGGCTGAAGAAAGGGCTCACTGGCCCCTGAGGCCTGCTGGGGCCTGACTCAGGCCTGAAGCCGTGCTTCCTGCCCTGCGTGGAGCAGAGGTTGTGTGGACCAGCACTCCACAGCCCAGGGTGCCGAGTTCCCCAGGGAGAATGCACAGCTCCTAGGTGCTGACATTTGTCAGTGAAGGGCTTGAAATAGGCTGTTCTTGCAGACTGACTTTAAGTTAAAGACACTTGAAACACAGCAGGTGCAACCAGGTCACTTTGACCTTTGTGCTGTTTCTTAAAAGCAGAAGATGAGATTCCCAAGTGGAAAACACCAGTCCTATACTAGAAGGAAAGGCAACGTCTTTATCTTCCAGGACAAGAAGTTCAAGAATACAGTATTCTCTTCAAGGACAGAATACCCTTGAGACCTTGTTAGAATAACTCATCTTTCCAGCTTCCTGTTTCATTCCATTGTATGTTGCTATAACACGACACCACAGACTGGTTAACTTACAATGAACAGAAATGTATTTGGCTACTGTTTCTAGAGACTGGGGAAGCCCCAGGGCGTGGTGCTGGCCTCCAGCAAGGGCCTTCGTGCTGTGGCAGCCCATCGGGGAGGGCAGAAGGACTACAGAAGGCAACAACAAGGGGGCAGGAGGGGAAACTCACGTTCCTAACAAGCATATTCACAATAATGAACCCACTTTGACACTAATCTGCTCACGAGGACAGGTCTCGAGACACGAGGGCCTCACTGGGAGGCTCAGGGGATGGAGGTGGAGAAACAGGAGGTCCTCGCCGGGAGGCTCAGGGGATGGAGGTGGAGAAACAGGAGGGCCTCACTGGGAGGCTCAGGGGATGGAGGTGGAGAGACAGGAGGGCCTCACTGGGAGGCTCAGGGGATGGAGGTGGAGAAACAGGAGGGCCTCACTGGGAGGCTCAGGGGATGGAGGTGGAGAGACAGGAGGGCCTCACTGGGAGGCTCAGGGGATGGAGGTGGAGAAACAGGAGGGCCTCACTGGGAGGCTCAGGGGATGGAGGTGGAGAGACAGGAGGGCCTCACTGGGAGGCTCAGGGGATGGAGGTGGAGAGACAGGAGGGCCTCACTGGGAGGCTCAGAGGATGGAGGTGGAGTTCTGCCGAGCCTGCCCTAGCTCTCCAGCTTTGTCTCTGTGGCCAGCCTGGCTGGATGGGTCTGATCCAGGCTGGGTCTCCTCTCATAAACCAAACCTGATATTGGCTGGACCTAGGAATGCATGAGGCCTGTCAGTACTGCCCAGAGGACGAGAGGGTCCTAGGAAGACAGTAGAGTGGGAAGACCCGGCCTGGGGTCCGCAAACTGGTGGGCGTCCTGCAGATGGGCTCATGGTGCTGAGCTCATGGTGCTGAATTAAGTGGACACAGCCTGGGGTCCATAGCCTGGTGGGCATCCTGGTGGGCTCTAGGAGATGGGCTCACGGTGCTGAATTAGGTGGACACCCTCAGGCAGGAAACAGGAACCTTGACTTAAACCTCACACCTTATGTGAAAATTACCTCAAAATGCACCATAGGTTTAAATGTAACACTTCTAGAAAAAAACAGAAGGAGAAAATCTTCAGTATCTTTGATCTCTAGGGCTAGACTTGACACCAAAGGCATGATCAATAAAAGGATAAAGTGATAAACTGGACTTTCAAAATTCATAAAAATGGAAAATACGTGTCCCGTGAAAGCCTGTTGTTAAGAGGATGAAAACTACAGGCTAAAAGAAAATATTTACAAACCTCATTTCTAACCAAGAACCAGTGTCTCGAATATATAAAGAACTCTCAAAACCCAATAGCAAAAAATCCAATTATAAAATGCACAGAAGACAGAGAGGGACATTTCACCAAGAGGATCTATAAATGGCAAATAAGCACACGAAAAGATGTTCAATATTGTCAGCTGTTAGGGAAGTGCAAATTTAAACCACAATGAAATATCACAACACACCTATCAGCATGGCTCAAATAAAAAATAGCATCAACAGCACATGCTGGATGCAGAGAAACCGGATCCCCATCACCTGCCGGTGGGAATGCGAAGTGGCACCGCCTCTGAAAATAGTTCGACAGTTTCTTAAAACATTAAAGGTACATGTAGCGTGTGCCCCAGCAACTACATTGCTGGGCATTTATCTCAGACAAACGAAACTTATGTTCGCACAAAAACCACACAAAAATGTTGATAACAGTTGCATGCATACTAGCCGCATCTGGAAATAACCTGGATGCTCTTCAAGCGAGTGTTAAACACACTGAGATCCATCCATGGCGTGAAGAGCTACTCAGCAGCGGAAAGGCGCGAACCATGGGCGACAGGACATCCTGCACGTATGTCCAGGGACCCATGCTGTGGGAAAAAGCCGGCCCCCGAAGCTTGCACGTGTTATGATTCCACTGACAGCTCAACAGCTCAACGTGGAGAAAGTATACAATTGGGGAACAGATTCCAGTTGCCAGGGGTTGAGGTGGGGCTGGGGTGAGGGCACAGGTCTGTGTGGAGGGTGTGTGTGCAAGTGCACAGGAGGCCCACAGAGGGTGTGCACGTGCAGTGTGTGTGCAGCAGTCAGCAAGCATGGATGTGAGAGGCACTGCATGCACGACTGTCCCCAGGTGTGCACGTGTGTGCTTGTGCCTGAGTGCACACGTGTGCATGTGTGTTGTCTGTGCGTGCATGTGTGTTGCCTGTGTGTGTGCATGTGTGTTGTGTGTGTGCATGTGTGTTGTCTGTGTGTGCATGTGTTGTCTGTGTGCATGCGAGTGTGTTGTCTGGGTGTGCACACAGGTGTGCACTTAGGTGTGTGAGTGCGTGCCTGTCCGCTTCACTCCTGGAATCTGACCCAAGATAGGTGACTTCATTAGATCGTGGGGCCAAATGCTTTCTGGAAAAGTATGTGTCTGAAATGACACTGGGAATGGGGAAATGGGACTCTGCAGAATGTTCATTTTACACATTGTTTCTGAACCAGATCAAATATGCAGAATAAAGCCAGCCCTGCCAGAGGCTGCAGGGCACCCTTCGAGCCCGAGTGAATACAGCCGCTAGTAAACTGCTTATGGCAATCTGGTTTAGTTCTAACGTTAAACCTCAACTGTGATAACAACATCTCCTGCATCAAGGAACAGCAAGTTCCTTTCAAATAGAGAGCTCGGCCTCAGAACATATTTAGAATATAACTCAATTAAGCAAAAATTAAGTTATGCACAATCTGTCAGAGCTGCAGCTATAATGTTGAGCAAAGCCCCATTCATCGGGCTTATAAGTCACGGGTCAGCGTGAATTTGTCTTTATTAACTGCAATTATCTCCCCACCATCCACTGGACAAGCTATGACCTGCTCTAGCAATCAGCTTCCGAAGGAAAAGGCCGAGCATCTTGCCACATCTCGACAGGATTGCTGCACGTCTCTTTTTCATACATGAGTTTAAAACCGGCAGAAATAGAAATCTTCCATTACTACAAAGCTGAGTTAAGCAAATCCTGGTAGAGTGGACCCTGCAAACCTTTACACGGAACGTCCGAAGGGGCCGACCTCGGAAGTGCTCCTGAAAAGGATGGTGCCCCTCAGTCTCTGTGCGTCCTCGGTCAGCCCTGACACACGGTGTCCCGCACAGAGGCTGTGCCGGTCAAGGAAGCCACCTCCGGGCCGGATGTGTCCAGGGACACCACAGCTCCCGCCACAGCAGCCCGGAGCAGAAGCCGTGAGGCTTTTCAAAGAAAGCTGGAAAGATGATGTTTAAAATCAGAGGATGGAAATGGACGGTGACAGAGCTGAGGGTCAGGGCGGGTCACCATGGGGTCAGGGTGGGTCTCCGTGGGGTCAGGAAGGGTCTCCGTGGGGTCAGGGTGGGTCTCCGTGGGTGGGTCTTCGTGGGGTCAGGGTGGGTCTCCGTGGGGTCAGGGTGGGTCTCCGTGGGTGGGTCTTCGTGGGCTTTGGTCAAAGGCCACCCAGGCGCACCAGCATCAGGCATGCTGCGGGGCTGTGCAGCCGACCTGGAGACTCCCAGGAAGCATCGCTTTGACACGGGGCAGGAGGTCCCCACCTAGGGGAGGTCGGCGTTGAAAAAATCAGAGGGGTCGTGGAAAGAATCAGGGAGAGGGCCGTGGCACCAGCTTGTGGGGGCACAGAGGATGGAGCCCACGGCATGGGGCCCTAGGTTGCCAGAGGGCATCAGTCTGGCTGGTGAGTTCCTGATTGTGAAGGCAGGTGACCGGCTTGGGCAGAGCGTGCTCTGGAGATGTGACTCGCCCAGAATGGCAGAATGCACAGGCCCCTGGACACACCCCAGGTGGTGGACAGGAAAACCCAGGCCCTCCAGGGGTCAGAGGTGAGGGACAGCAGCCCCAGACACTGCCTGGGCCTCGGGGCAGCGTCTCTCATTCCTCTGAAGGACGGAAGCCGAGGTCTCTGCTGCCCACTGCGCCCCTGCCGCCTGGTGTCGGCCGCTCCTGTCCAGCCCCGGGGTCCCCACACATCAGCAGGGAGTGAGGAAAACAGTGCAGCTGGCCGGGATGCATCCATGCAGCATTTTAGCAACAACGAACACACAGGGTTCTGAACGTCCAGGTCCCTGTGCTGGTGAATGGCCATTGCTGGGAGCCGATGTCTGGAAGGTCCCAGTGCTGGTGAATGGCCATTGCTGGGAGCCTATGTCTGGAAGGTCCCAGTGCTGGTGAATGGCCATTGCTGGGAGCTGGCATCTGGAAGGTCCCTGTGCTGGTGAATGGCCATTGCTAGGAGCTGGCATCTGGAAGGCAGTTGCTCCCTCTGCCAGCCATGACCCACTGGAAAGCCAGAACCAGTGACTTTTGAATCACGGGGTTTTAGAAAACTGTCTTTTGTATTTATTTTATTCTCTTAACAGCAATGACTTCAGTATAGGCTGATTTCTTGCACAGACATGGCAGAAAAGGCTGGAACATTTGGAAAAGCCGTAGAAAGCCGTGAACCAGCTATGAAAGCCCACATGGAGGTCAGGTGTGAGGGGAATGCAGCCGTCCCAGAGGACGCACGGCTGAGCTTGCCCCACATGGAGGTCAGGTGTGAGGGGAACGCAGCCATTCCAGAGGACGCACGGCTGAGCTTGCCCCACATGGAGGTCAGGTGTGAGGGCAATGCAGCCGTCCCAGAGGACGCACGGCTGAGCTCGCTGGGATTTACCTTCTCCTGGGCCTCAGGGATTTCTTCTTATTCCTGGGGAAAATCAGGAATTTGGACAAGCCTTCCATACACAAACTTATAAAAACAGCTCATGGTACCGAAAATGGGCCCATCCAGAGGACACCCTGGCATCCGGGATCCCGCACCCAGGTCCCTGCCGCAGTGGCCAGTACCTCTCCCAGTGCCGAGCCCTGCCCCTGCTGAGCTACCCCACGCTGGGTCCCTTCCGGGCAGCAGCATCTGCAGGCTGTGAGGCCTGGGCCTTCAGAGGCAGAGGTCTCTGTCCCCGAGCTCAGGAGGAGGCCACTGCCGGGACGCCAGGCCGCACAGGCGGCATTTCCAGTACGAAGCACAAATCTGGCCCTGTCAGCTCAGGGCACTGCTGGGAAAAAACATCCCTCGGTTGGTCCCACCGGAATGTGACCTTTTTTAAAGCTTGTCACTTTTACTTCATTAGCATCCGACACCAACGCTCTCCCTGGAAGGATGCAGCTTCAGCCCCCCCAAGTGCAAGGAAACCACACGCTGGGCCTTAAGGAGCCACTCAGCTTCCCTGAGGCAGCGAGCTCGTAATCTGGAGCTACGGGAGGCACCACGCAGCTGGAACAGGAGCTCTGGTGGGTTTGCCCCGCTAATGACAAGGTGTCAGGACTTAATGAGACGCGGAAACGCTGCCTCCTCAGGGCGCATCCTCATCTCCTCTCTCCCTCCCGCCCTTCCCACCCGTCGGCCTTCCCCGCTGCGAGCAGGAGCCGTTCTCAAACCGAAAGCAGCAGCCCGCAGGCAGCAACCGTCTCCAGAGGCTTTGCTCCAACTGCCTCCCGGTCGACCTACTTGATCCTCCTCCTAACCCGGGTGCTGTTATCACCCCAATTTCACCAATGAGGAAAGAGGTGCAGAGAGCGGAGACCCACCAAGGCGGCCCTGTGAGGATCTAAGAGTCCACAGTTCCGCTCGAGAGACAGCCGTCACTCCCGCCAGTGCGCTCTGGGTCTGAGACGTGAAGTGAAGTCACGGATGCTTTTCATGAGCTTTACCTGTGAGTGGGGGCTCGGCAACACCATGGTGAGCAAACGCCCCACATCTCAGGGGATTGAGACCACGAAGGTTTCATGTCACTGTGGGCTTCTTGGGCTGTGCCCCCAGGTCCTCCCTGGGACCCAGATGGCGGAGCCAACCCTGCCATGGCCGCGGCCTGGGGGGCTGAGGCCGGGGCAACGAAGTGGGCTTGAGACATCCCCTGGAAGGTGGAAGGTCACTGCCAGGTGGAATCCTAACTCACTCACCACATCAACCAATGGAGTGGTCAGCGATGGTGACGGCAGTGGGTGGGGTTCCGCTGAGACGCGCCTCGTCACTCGTCTTACTGAATTGACGTTCCCCCCATGAAACCGTGAACCTGCACTGGTGCTGAAGGAGCGTTGCGGTTTCCGCTTATCGGGACTCACCTGCAAAGCATCCCGACGGGCAGTTAAAAGTCCACGCAGTGTGCGACGCTGCCTCACACATACTCACACACACTCACACACACTCCGAAGACAGATGCCGCAGTGTGCGATGCCGCCTCACGCACACTCCGCAGAAGACAGATGCCCACAGGTGGCACCAATGGGGAATTCCCGACTCTCATGCAGTTTCTCTTTCAAAAGGACGTGGACCTCCCAGCGTGGCTCCCTCACGGCCACCACCGTATCCCTGAGCTGGCGCCCCACCAAGAGCAGGACCAGGGAGGCCCAGCCACACCACACAGCACCCTCAGGGGCCAGGCAACATCAGGGAGGCCCAGCCATGCCACACAGCACCCTCAGGGGCCAGGCAACATCAGACCTGCTACCTCCGTGGGCCCTACTGCGGTACTGCCTCCCATAGCAGGCACCGTCCCCCACTCTGGGGAACGTAGCAGGAGCTGCCGCAGGGTGGGAGATGGCCTGGCCTGGCCATGACCTGTGACCCCACGGCTTCAGGAGGGAGGGATGGGGAGGCCCTGTGAGGCCACGGCCATGGGGGACCCTCAGACACAGCTGACTCTCTCAGACACAGCTGACTTCCACCGGCAAAACACACCCAGAGCCTTACGTCTCAGTTCCTTCTATTTCAGAGAAAAGTACATCTTCACAAATGCAGCTGGATCCACGCTGGAACAGAGGCCACTCGCCCAGATCCATCAGCCACGGATGGCCTCGCCCTGAGAGTCTCCGCCCAGGTATGCCTGGAGTCCGCCGGGGGCGGGGCTGGTGCTGGGACGGGCTCAGGGTCATCACAGCACGAGGCTGCGTTCGGGGTCCTCACGGGGCGAGGAGGGGCTCTCGCTGCCGCCTACAGGTGCCCTGAGCTTCCCCTTCAGGCCCCCAGTCCGTGGGGCCCTCCTTCCCAGCCACACAGTTGGTGATGCCGAGGCCCCCTGAGTTCACTGTCTTGGTCCCCATTGGCAGGGCCTGGGGAAAGTCACACCCAGGACCCTCACTCTTCCCCTCAGTGGGGGTGGCCAGGGATGGCCGGGGATGTGCGGGCGAGGTGGGTGCTGGCCTGTCCAGCCTCAAGGACGGGAAGCGCACCACGGCTGC